>NC_000011.10:7332727-7635757 GCF_000001405.40 Homo sapiens | reverse complement strand
TGCACATAAAAATAAAATGGGAGAGAAAAGTTGCGTCTTTCCTCTTGCCCTCTTACTCCTTACAGTTGGCACATTTTAAGGTTATGAAAACTATGACTTGCTAAATTAAAATACTAGCAAACAGTGTAACCACAAATAGACGACGGGGCACGAAGTCAATGTACCTTGGGTTCTAACACCGGGAAGGGCTGGTTCCCATCCATACACTATGGAGTAACATGAGGATTTCGTTTATGTGGAGAAAAAGAGACTTGTGTTATTCACAAACAGCAACAACTCAGGACTACCTGTTTGCTTAAATCTGAAAGGCGCATCCCCTCCCTCCACATCTTCATGTCAAGTAATCACCATCCAGGGCAGGAAAGATCCCTGTCCAACTCCATGGACAGATGTCCTGGGCAGCTGCCAGCAACATGACCATGGCAACCGAGAGACACGTGACCATGGGAGCAGAGCCACTGAATGATCCCAGGGCTCCTGCAGACTTCAGCCTTTATGGTTCTCCACTGTATCAACAAGGAGGCTGATGAACATTATTGGAGACCAAGGGATGGTATGCAGCACAGGCTCACTGAAGGGTCTCTATCAGGGCAGGCTCCCTTGGTCTCTAATGACCAAGCTCAAGAGCCTGCTACTGTCCCCTGCAGCATGAGGTCCACCCACATGATCAAGGGCTACTCCTATATAAGGAGCCACAAGACCCTCCTCCATCTTTCCAGACTCTTACAACAGCTCACTCTCCAACATCCTGACGATCCCACATCTTTCCTTGGGATCATCTCCTTTATTCACATTAATTCATCATTAAAAAAATCTATACGATGTCCCCAAGTGCCCCAGGGATATAGGACTAGTAGTCAAGATCTTCCCTGGCTTGATCTGTCTCATGGCTCTGACCTTACCTCCTCCTACTCTCCACCATCTTCCAAAACCTGCTATTGCTCAGCAGACTCTAACCAAGCTTTGCTGATCTCAACATCTTCTCTCATCAACTCCAGGCAACATTTCCTGAATTGTCCTTCCTCTAAGATGCTTTGGGCCACACCCAGTTAATTTTCTCAAAATGTTCATGTAATTCCTGCTTCCTCTACAACTTTATAAAATCCTCTACAAGGTAGGGACCAGGACCTGCCTGTATATCCCAGTACTATGCTAGGCCCAAAAAAGTAACTCAGTCATCTTTAAGGATAGGTTGATGAGCCGACCTTATCCACAGATTCACTTCTCAAGTCTTCTAGACTACAAGAGAGCTTTTTCTGAGCCCTGAAAAAAACACAAAAGAAAGAAATAGTTATGAGAAGGAGGTACATGTTATCACTCATGCAGAGGACATTTCAAATGCTTAACCGATGGTCTTGGGCTTAGGTTCAAAGTCAAGAAAAAAAAATACCCTCTCATAATAGCCTTTACATACAAAATGAGACTGGCCCACCTTGGGGGACAGACTGGTCCAATAATGTGTTAGTAAGGGCATGACAGGGTCACTTAAATCCAAATGAAATGTTCTTGGCATTGCACAAAAAGCCAGAATACACTCAATTCTGCTGCACTGAGGTGACAATTGTGCGGTCATAAAAGGCCAAGGTCTACAGTGTCAAAAGAGGGGAAAGGTGCTGATGCTGGGCTTGTCTGAGTCTAAGAGTAATCCAGGGAGGAGGGACCTGGGCCTCCTTAGAGTAGAGATGAACACATTAACCAGCCATGGCTCCAGAACATCACTTGCTAGGACCCTGCCACACTCTGCTCTGGATCTGCATGCCCATCTAGTCTGCTCAGACTCATCTGGCTCTCTCAGGGTCTATTTTGCAGAGAAAGGCACCAAATGTGTCAAGAGGCAATGCCACCAGTGGTCACAAGGGTAACCTGTGCCAAGTCTCCTTGGCAGTCATATTTCTCAGATTATACGAGTAAGTCATCATTTTAAAAAATATTAGTCTCTTGTAAATCTGGTCAGTCCGAGTTCCTTGGTGTTGACCTTTCCCTCAGTGAACTCATAAACCACAATTCTTATTCTCCAAAACTAAGGACTGCCTGATCAACTTCTCTAACATTACCATTTTCCTCTGGGCTAAAGGCTCAAGGGAACAACTGCTTTCTGGAAAGTGGACTCAGAGTGCAGGCTCTGGAGACTCAGCACCATTCTGGGGAGTTTCTGTGATGCTTGTGGTCATCTGCCCCAACACCTTAGCTGAAAGGCAGCCTGGTAGTGGTTGCCAGTACCTTGGTAGTGAAGCCTCCATGTCTCCCTTACATGGGGCTCAATTTCAAAATGTGTGCTGAAGTACGGACATAGGGAACTAGATTTAGGTTTATTTTAGAGGGAACAAGACAGATGGCAGTCAAATGACCTCAGAGGCGAGCCCATTATTAGTTCATTGTTGTGAAGCATCCTTAAAGCAATTAGACCAATTGCTATGAGAAGACATGGCCTTCCCTAGAAAGCTTCGACTGTCAAAGGGCTAAATTCACTCTAAGAGCAGGAGGCAGAGGCTGACAAAAGGAACACACATCACGGGATGCTCTCAGCTCTGAGGAGCTGCTATAAGACACAGATGAGTTGCAGCCACCTCTCCTCTGAGGCTCTAATCCTTGGCCAGATCCTTTCTCAGTGACAATGATCCACACCCTCAGCCTGAAGGATGAGAAGCCCTTCTGTGGCCAAAAGAGGTAGGCCTGGTTTGTAACTGCCCTAACAACAGAGGGGCAGGTGCACCTAGGACTCAGTGGCCATGCTCACCATTCACGGTCATCACCATCTACTTCGGCAGCCCCAAGGCAAGCCTGAGAGCACAGTGGCTGTGGGGAAATGCCCAGGCCTCTTACCTGGTTTCCAGTGATTTCTGTGGCAATGGAGGTGGCCCCACTGTAGGAGAGCTACATCTTGGAGGCATCTGCACCAGAGACAGAAGAGTCACGGTAGAGGACAGTCTGTTTGGGGACCACCCACCATCTTTCCCCCTGCTTCACATGATTCCTTTTAGGGAGACATTTCCTCCCTGGGTGCAGCCATGGTGGATACATCATTATAGATGCCTTGCTCTTTCAAGATGCAAGGGGGTGTGGTAGGCTTATCAGTCCATCTGGGCCAGCTTGCCTCTCCTTCCTGGACCCTAGAGCTTAGATCATGTTCATATCCCAGTAGTACAGTCCTGAGACCTGGGTTCTTGGGCTTTTTCTGCTCCTTCCCTTTCTGATCTTGGTTCTTCAGCTTTTCCTTTCATTCAGCGAGCCACTGCAGACTCTTTTAAAAACATTCTTTTTGGCTTAGGTTAGCCAGAGCCAAATTTTGTTGCTTTCAATGAGAAAATCCCATTTGATATGGTCACCCGACAAACATCAGCAACATCTACTCCCTGCCAGGCCCTGTGCCAGGTCTGGAGCAAGCACTCCCCACATCTGGGAGACAGACAAGTACACTAGGATAACAGAATAATGTGCAATGCTCTTATGGCTCCAACACCTGTAACACAATATGGGAACAGTGGGAGAGAGGGGCTCCCTCTCACCAGAGGGAAGGCTGAGAAAGCTTTAGAGAGGAGAAAAGCTGAGCTGAATTTTGAGAAATGAGAACTGGTTAAGGCAAGAAAGGAAAGAACATTACAGGGGGAAAGACCATGAGCTAATGATGGTATGAAATAATACAGTCCCGTGTCTTCAGTATTGTACCTACCACAACACTGTGCCTTCAGCAGTGCACCTAGCATCACAGGCGGAGCCACCTTGAGCTAATGGAGGTTATGAAAGAAGACAGTCCCATGTCTCCAGTACTGCCTCTTTTCTCTAGATCCTAGCATCCTCTTGGTCTACTATAACAACAACGCTGGCATTATAGTATAGTTTTAAATACCTGGGCATTGTGGTCAGACCTGGGTTCAAGTCCATATTCTGCCAGATACAATGTTCATCACAGTGACCACGTGGAGGTATCCAGTAAGACTTGGTAAGACTTGGACACCGCTATTCTGTAATTGCCAGCAATCTGGGGTGCTTGTTCTGAGTCAATAACTGGCTCACTGGATGATGCTTTTGCTCCTTAATTAAAAAGGTTGAACTGAAGCACTAAGATTCTTTTCAATTTGATAGTGTGACGTTTTCAGGAATCTTTTGGACCCTAGGCTGAAGCCCCTCCTTCACCTGAGGTCTTGTTTATTTGTTTATTTGTATCTAGCTTAAGTCTAGAGAGATTCATACAATAGGACCAGATTTTAAACAAACGAAATAGATGAGAAGGAAAATCTGTGTCCTGGCTATAGGGGCTGAAGGGCGTATCTGTCAAGCAGGAATGCGGCATTTCAGAGGTTGCAGTTAATTCCTCTAAATGAGCAAGACATGTTCGTTCATTCAACAAATATTTGTTGAATTCTACTGGGTATCGGGCATTACTGCAGACCTTGGAGAAAGGGTGGTAGATAAATCAAACATCACCTTTGGTCTATGCTTACATTCCAGAGAAAAAAAAGATAAAAATAAACTAGGAGCCTGATTAAAAAGGAGAACTCCTATCCTTGAAAGTTCCAGTATCCACCATGCTGCCTCCAACCAGAGCACAGGCCAGAGCCTCAGCCTCTTGCTCGCCCATCCCCATCACAGCCTGAGGGGCACTATATTAATTTAAGTATTCACCTGCCAAGATGTGCACCTGACACGTGTCTGACTAGATCCTCCCTCAAGCTCAGGGCAAGCTCGGAGGACCTGCTGAAACCCTACGTCATGGATGGAAACACAGTACCTCTTGTTTAAATAATTCTTCAGGGTCCTTATTTGTAGCGTTCCACTTGCTGAAACCTCCCTCCGGTTCTTCTTCATTGATTGAGAGAGTTCTCTCCGAAGGCCCTGCAAGCATTAAGGTAGTAAGACTGAATTGTTGAATTCATGTTCAGAAACCTATAATCGTACCACAAAATTCTAACATTGTTTCTCCTTCATTAAGAAGGACTAAGAAATATATAAAGGGACAGTAAGAGTGTGATTCTGAAGATTCTTCAGGGCATCTGAGCAAGGGCTGGCATCAGGATCATTTCAAGGTCAAAGTTTATCTGCAGAACAGAGGTAATGTACCCCTGCCTCCAAACCTCTCACTCCTTAGCTATAGGCAATCAAGGCCCTGAGAGTGACTTGACCCATGATCTTAAAAAGATGGCTGTGAGGCCAGGTGCTTTGGCTCACGCCTGTAATCTCAGCACTTTGGGAGGCTGAGGCAGGCGGATCACTTAAGGTCAGGAGTTCGAGTCTAGCCTGGTCAACATGTTGAAACCCCATCTCCACTAAAAATACAAAAATTAGCCAGGTATAGTGGCCAGTGCCTGTAATCCCGGCTACTCAGGAGGCTGAGGCACAAGAATTGCTTAAACTTGGGAGGCAGAGGTTACGGTGAGCTGAGATTGTGCCACTGCACTCCAACCTGGGTGACAGAGTAACACTCCATCTCAAAAAGAGAAAAAAAAGAGGGCTGTGTGTGAGGGCTGGCAGAGGCCCTGGCCAGTGACCAGTCAGTCACATCCTGGCAGAGGCTTGGCTTCTTCCCAAGAAGCAGCAGAAGCTCAGCCAGAATCAGAGGTTCCTGAATATCCTTCAAAGCAGCCCTGTGCTGTGAAACAGCTGCTTCCTCAGGATCTATGATGGGAGCCCAGGTCAATGGCATGAACAATGAAGGCAGCCCGGCACATGCACCACTATGCCCATAAGAACCCTGATGCTGCTTGCATGTTGCATTCAGTCTGGGCAGCAAATATAAAACACAGCAGCTCTCTCTGTCCTGTGACTTCCTATAGCAACTCAGGCCCAGCAACTCGAGGAAGGCTCCCAGAGGGCCCTCTGAGTCTGCTGCGGAACTTTAGATTTTCTAGGAGGTGGATGAGCTCTAATCCCCAATGATGGCACTGAGTTGATTTTTGATCCAGGTTTAACTGCACTTGCTGCCTCTAAGGCGTGTCCTGGGAAGATGCATAAGAGACCTTCCAAGGGTGGGGAATTCACAAGCTTTATATTCTTGGTGATCTGGATAGTCCCTGAAGGCCCTAAGCTGACTTCCATTTGGTAGTATTTCTGGAAATCAACAACTGCTAAGTTCTCATCATGCAGAAAAGTCTAAACAGCTCTGTTCTCCAGTAGGGAGTCTTCTCTGAAACAGAGGTGAAACAGCTGCTAGCAGAACTGCCCCTGGCTTTAACACAGCTGATGGAATATCTTTCAGAGACAACGGTAGGATCGCCCTTGCTCTTACCTTGAGTGACCATCACAATCTCCTTTACCTTCCGGTACTGGTTTAACAGCCCCGTAAGCTCCTCTATCCGACGGTCCTGCCATAGTGCAAGTAGAGATTTAGATTAATGCTATGCTGGCATCTCAGATGATTTCATTTTGGAACCCACGCTATGTTCTTGGCACAAGGAGAAGAAATCCCACGTGGAACCAAAGGAAAAGAGTGTCCAGGCCCCATTCCACAGAGCTGGGATTTCAGTGGTCTGCCTCATAGGCATCTGCAGGCATTCACGCTCTACCTGAAGACTGTGAGTCATCTGAGACACCCTTCACAGGGCTTAAACATTTTCAGAAGCACGAAACTCACTGTCTCCCTACCTTCCTGAAGTGGCCATTGAAATCTGCCTTCTGGTCCTAGTGTTGCCCTCTGGAGCGACACAAAAAAAGACTAAAATAAAGCTGTCATATTTATCTCAATATACTCATTTGTTCCCTAGGAGTCTGAGATACCTCATACTACAGAGGAAATTCCCAGAGAAGATCGTTTCTTTCAAGGCAAAGGCCTTGAAAGGAACTTGGGAGACCACACAGGTCATAGACAAACTTGGGTGTGAAAGCTGGCTGTGCTATTTACTAGTTACCTGACCTTGGGCCAAATTACTTAAGCACTCTGAGTCTGTTTCCTCATCTGTAAAATGCAGGGTTGTGATCCTCAGAGATGATGTTTATACCAGCCAGGCACTCTTTATTTATAGAGGTGGCTATTTATGACTGTGCCGAAATTAGATGCGAAGGATATAAGATGGCAGGGTAAACTGAGGCACTGCATACTGCCAAGTGTCTCTATGATGGTTCTATTGTCAGGTCATGCACATGGGAGACTGGTGGGCTGTTGTGCTAGGAGTTCCAGCAGGAGCTATGATATTGGCAGTGATCACAGCAGTATTTTTTTCCCCCCACACCAGCAGGAACAGGCAGGGCTATAATCTGCCTTTAGGAGATTCCATTTAGACAAACTTTCCAGTTATCAAAGCCAAAAACAGGTGGCTGAGGCCAAGTCTCTAGAAGGCACAAGTCATTCTCCTGACATATCCCTATGTCAATGGCATGATAAGCATGGTCCTGTCCAGAATATCAGAGACCAGCAGGGACCAAACACAGCCAGGGATGTAAGCATGGAAAAGACAGGGCTACCCAATGACCATCTTACCTTATCTTCATTGGCAAGCAGCAAAGTTTCCATCCCCATTTTCAGACGTTGAATTTCTTGGTCTAAAAGAATTCAGGTATAGAAATAATTATTTATATAAATACAGACAGCTATCCGCACTTGCTATGATGTCCCCCAAGTTCAAATGAAGACTTGCCATGTGAACATGGCTCCTTTAGTTCTTTAAAGAGGCCGGGATGGTGTCTGCTACAGAATCGGCCTCCTTAAATATTTGCTAGACTACTAAATGAAGGAAGCTAGTACTCTGTCTTCTCTTTATAGACATTTATGGGCAAAATCAAAATGCCCATGTACTCGAGAGGACAGAGGAAGCCAAAAATCTTTCAAAACCAACATCTCCTAAGAATATAGACATTTTTATCCTTTACAACTTGAGTAGGCATGCACCTGGGCTTCTGACTGGCTTTGAAGAAAATCATACAGTCTGACAAATTGTAGGAAGAGGAGAATTTAACATTTAAAAAAATCTACAGTTGAGTGAAGACTGGGAAATAAAAATTATGTAAAAGAGTTGGTACTTGGCTTAATTTAAAATGATATAGTCAAAATTGACTAACAAATGTTTAGATGTATTGGGATATATACATATATGCAAATGCTGGGTTGAGGATAAACAATCTTATTTCATCATAAACCAGAATTTCCCTATGGGCTGAGAAATCTCTGTTGGTCTGTGGTGGAAAATCCAAGGCCTTCTCTCAGTTTGGACCCAAGAGGGACTCTGTTGATTCCTTAACTGTTTTGAAGAGCCTAAGGAAGCTGGAGGTCATTTGCCAGATACTCTAGGAATTGGCACATAGCTAGATTGTTCAAAGAAGGATCTATGCCTCTTCCTAAATGGGAATAGGGATGTCTATATAAAAAAAAAAAAGTACAAGGGAACAAATATATAGGCCTCCCATTTTCTTTTGGGATGCTTGTTGTATCTAACAAGAATAGCAACAGTAGATCTATGGACTTTGTGTAAATAGTTGTGGAGATTCATTTTCAGAATAAAGTGGAGAATTGCTTGCTCATTATTTAGGCTCTAGGTAGCTAACATCAGCTCTGCAGCTCACTTTGCTGGGGAGGGCAGTAAGCTCTAGATGAAGACTGCCAACCCTGATCCACTGGTCAGAACCTACCTTCGGCAGCAAATGACCCAAGGACCAGCTCTAGAAAGTACCCAGTAATGGAGTGGGGTAGGGCCTGGGAGGCTTAGACTGTGGGAAGAGGAGGGGTAGACTGGGAAGGCTGCCTGGCCTAGAAGTTGTGGCATGGGGCACTCTCTGTCCAGGCTTAGCATCAGAGATAGTCCAGGGTGTCTTAGTAGAACCCAGCCTCTACAAGCAGGCCTTGGCAGGTAGGCAACACACCCAGTGGCTTGGGCGGACACTGAGAAAAGCTCGGAGAGGGACGAGCACATTGATCACTAATTTCCTTCTCCAGCCTAAGCCATTGTTGCATGGCTTCCACACCCCAGCTGGGGATCCAAGCTAAGCTTGCAGTGCTGAGGCCAGGATGTGACTAGGTAGTGGCACCAATCCGTAGGACTATATGATCTTCGGCATTGCTCTGCAGCCTGGTAGTCAGTGGACAAGTTGAAAGGTGTATGATCACTTTGTATACATGGCAAACAGCCATAAAGATTTATGTGTTCATTACAGTAGTTGAGGATTTATCCTCTATTTTTGATCAGCAAGACTTGAACTCCTCAGGGACCATTCACCATCCTTTCACTTATTCAAGAAGTATTTCTTAGGATCCTACAATGGGCCAAATATTGTGCTGGGCTTTGTAGATATGCTCTTAAACAAGAAAAATATAGTCCTTACCCCTGAGTGGGGATAACACACAACACTGGTAAGTTATAATAAGTGCTAGGCAGGAAAAAGGAAGGATGATGAATTAGAGAATAATAGGACTGGGAGCACCTATTTGAGTTAGGGTGGCCAAGAAAGGTCTTTCTGAGAAGTAAGATTTGAAATCTCAAGAATGAAAAAGAACTGACTTGTTTCTGTAGTCTCAGGGCCTTATACAGGCATCAGGCAGGTATCCATGAAATGACTGAGTAAATTTCTAAAGCCTCCCCTTTGGTGATGACACAAAAGTAAGGCCTTTCAGTCAAATGAAAGAGTTAGGTATTTCCTACATTTTCAGTAAAAGCTCCAGAGGTGGCTGCACAGAACTTCTGTGCATCTGAGAAAAACCTTCTAGTTAGGGGAGGGTTCCATGGGAATGATTCCACAAGAGCGCTGCATTATAGGGACACACACAAACACACAAACTGGTGCATCCATTCACTTGGCCACGCTTGCACACATACATGCATGTCCATTAGCATGGCTACACACACAAGCACATATGCACACTCATTTATAGAAACACATGCTCACTTATAAGAGTAGACCCAGGGACCCAGACAACTGCATTTTGTCAGAGTCAAGCTAGTCACCTCTCTCTGTGTGACTCTCACTGTGGAGAGCTGCTGTCCGGGAGAGCTGGCTGTGCAGACGCTCAATTTCTGCATCTTTCAGGGCCACCTGTTCTTGCAGCTGGGCGACTTCAGCCTGGAAGAGCAACAGAGGATCCCTACCAGGTCAGAAGGACTGCCAAATCATGATGAAGTGCCTCCCGTCAGAGTCCAGACCCCATCAGGCACCAGGGTGCATCAGGAGTTAGGAGAAGAGGTGAGCAGGAGCAGGGGCTCACTGCCCTCTCCACAGGTGGAACTCTGCTGAGTGAACTCACTCTTCTAGGCCATCCTGGCCCTCCCCACGGCTCTGGCCATCAATGTGCTTCTTCCCCTGCATCTTCCTACCTGACCAGTTTCTCTCCCCTGCACTGTGAGGATTAGGATTGTGATGAGGAGCTGGGATTGTGTGCAATGGGAGGGCTGTCCTTGGTGCAGAGGAGGATATTCTGGACATGGTCTTTCTTCTCCCAAGATACTCACTCATACAGTAACATTTAGAGACACCACTATAACAAGTGCATGCAGTTTTCATCTTTCCAACCCACAGAGAAAATGCAGCGGAAGCCAAATCACCACTGCTGAAGAAAAGGTAAGCCAAGGGCTCCCTCCCTCCACACGCTCCTACCCTTTGGGTACAGTCACTGCCTCTGCCCAACCTCCAGGCATGTGTGCACGCTCACTCATATACAGATGTACAAGCATTCAGGAGTGCTTCATTTACATACTTTTGCAAAAAAAAACATTGTATACACAGCTCATAAGTACACACATACATTCATATTTGCACACAAACAGGCAGCTGCACTAGATGGTTCCCATGTCGCCATTAAGTAGTGCAGGTTAAATCCACACACAACACTAGGTGTGGTTGTTCATGCTTTCCCATACTCATCAGGAGATCAGAATTGTATAGGTCCTGTCCGAAGAGGTACCTGGATTTTGGAGTCAAACAAACCTTGATTCTCTCATTTCCTAGTTGGGTGACCTTGAGCAAGTAAGTTAACCTTTCTGAGTCTCAGCTCATCTATAAAATGGGAAAAACTACACCTACTTCATGGGACTGCAATTAGGTTTAAGATAATGGTTATCAACAACCTAGTCCAATATTTAGTATATACTAAGTGCTCAATAAATGCTACTGCTATTTGCTCCTCTCATCCTATTCTTTTCTTTGTGGATAATCGGTTCAATTCTCTCAGCATCAAACCAGGTAAGAAAAGGGATGAGCATCGACCGTGGAGCCGGTCAATAAAAGACAGCAAAGGCTTCTCCTCTGGCCACCCCTTCCCCATGTGTTGGCCCAATCATGTCCCACTTTGGTCCTCAAGGTTATAGTATGGGCTGTTCAATTCCACAAAGGCCCAAGTTAATATCTGACCAACCCCAAGTAATTAAATGAGTACTGGCCCTGTTGGCAACTCTGTTGCTGGACAGGCCTTGTGTTCAGTTTCAGCGCATGGACTGAGCACGCACCCTGATCAGCCCCCGTGCTCACTGCTTTCTTACATCAAATCCTCACAAGCAACCACCCGAGGAAACAATATCTCCGTAAGTCATCAGGGAGAAAACGGGAGTAGTACAAGATTCTGTGTCAGTCACAGAGCTACTTGGTGACCAGGCCAGGATGCAAACCCTGGCCTGCCTGCTCCAATGTCAGGGCTCCACCCACCACCGTGTGTCTGCTTCTGAGTTAACAGGACAGATGAAGGCCACTCTTACCAGGCTTGGGCTCCCTCAGCCCACCGCAAGGGTTTCTGAATAACCTTCCCTAACATCCCCCAAATGGGACAGGGATGACCATATAAAGAGATGACAAGGGGTAGGGTTTCCTTATTCCAAAGTTCATAATGAAGCACTGTCCCTCCA
The DNA here is from genome assembly GCF_000001405.40 of Homo sapiens. Taxonomy (NCBI): domain Eukaryota; kingdom Metazoa; phylum Chordata; class Mammalia; order Primates; family Hominidae; genus Homo; species Homo sapiens. Next base: position 7,624,004 of record NC_000011.10, on the reverse strand, counting down.
CTCTGGGCTCCACTCACAGAGGCCAAGAGCTGGGTCCTGCTGTGTAACCCACTTTCTGAGACATGCAGCTATGGAGCAGTTTATCAGAGCTCACTCAGGGCAAAGATGCCCATGGGCTTATGACTCATGGTGACAATGGCTTCTGAAGATATTAGCTTTGGGACTCTCAACCTCCATTTCTACAAAGGCCAGATGATTCTTGAAAGATATTCCTTTAACTTTTCTTGCACCTCTCCATGCCCATTTCTCCCTTTCTTTGTGGACAGGATGGGCACTCGTCTCTGTTAGAAATCTGGATACCTGATGCTTGTCTGCTGGCCCCACAGTTGGGAATTCAGCAATGTGGACCGATCAAGAGAGAATCTAGCACGTGGCACTATGAGGGCTCTCCTTCCTGAGCCCTGCCTCTATGGGAGGTCCTGTAGGTATATACCATGGACCCTACAGACCAAGTGACTGGGCCCAACCTGCCTTGTGCCAATTTCCACAGAAATAGGCCAGAAACTATAGGTGCTCTGTTATCCTTTGAGCGATCTCTGTCTCCGCAGTTGGGAAGGCCAAGAACAGTCCAGAGACCTTCTACTTGACTGTGTATGCTACTGCCACTGTTCCTATGGCCACAGTCACCATGGCTAGGGCTGTGTGGCACAAGGTCTGAGATAGCTATGCAGACAGGCAGTTGGGCAGAGACGGATGCTCTGGGTCCCTGCAAGTGCTGTGCCTCATTAAACCCAGGGACCATGCCCTACTGCCATTGCACTGGGAGATGAATCCCCTTCAGAGACTGAGAGGCCTGAAGCAGAAAAGTGAAAAACTTCCAAAAACAGTGCTGGTTTTCTCTGCAGGGAATCAGGATGATGTTGGAAACAGCATGAAGGCACGGGAATGACAGAGACCCAGATGTGAACCTCAGCTTGGCCACGCTGAGCCTCTGTTTCCTTCCCAGTCAAGTGAGAATAAAAAAACATATACCTCACTGGGTGATTTTATGGATGATAAAATGTGTGCAAATAGCTTGGTACATTCTGGCACATAGGAAGTGCTCCACACCTGGTAGTTATTAAATAACCCTTAGCATCTCAAAGGTCTACATGCCAAGACAAAGAGCTGGGGTGTTAAAAAGAAAAGTGTTATTTGGTTTTATGACAGAGGGCGGTATGTACAACTTCAAAGGTTTCCCCAAGACAGGGCTTGTTTGAGTGGGGTGTTGTGATGGAAGGTTCTGAGCTACTGGACAAAACCAGTGCCCCTAGAGCTGGTGCCTGTGAAGCATACACATACAAAACTACACTCAGATACACACAGGCCAGGACACAGATGGGTCTGACTGCCCAGGCTTGGTACCAAATAGCTGTAAAATCTTGGGAAAGTTAATCTCTCTGTACATCCATTTCATTATCTGTAAAATGGTTAATCAAATGATTTTATATTTATACACTAGATTACATAAATATTTATATATGTTCAGTGCTTTCTTTTGATAACATGAGAAGTCATAAAATTTTAAGTAACAGCATGTTATAAAATTGCATGTAAATTATCAACAATAAAAATTAAGAGACAGAGACACTGAGATAGAGAGACCCTGATGTTTGAATATTTGTTCCTGCCAAATCTCATGTTGAATTGTAATCCCCGATATTGGAGGTGGGCCCTGGTAGGAGGTGAATGGATCATGGGGATAGATTTCTCATGAATGGTGGCACCACCCTCTTGGTGCTGTCCTCGCAACTGTGAGTGAGTTCTCACGAGATCTGGTGGTTTAAAAGTTTGTGGCACCTCCTCTCCTTTCTCTCACTTGCTCCTGCTTTTTCCTTCTGCCATGATTGAAAACTCCCTGAGGCTTCACTAGAAGCTGAGCAGATGTGACCACCATGCTTCCTGTAAAACCTGCAGTACCCTGAGCCAATTAAACCTCTTCTTTATAAATTACCTAGTCTAAGCTATTTACCTGTAGCAATGCAAGAATGGCCTAACACAGACCTAAAACAGAAGAGAATAATACACGGAAGGAAATATTAGCAATGGTAGTGCCTGGGTGGTATGAGTGCTTTTTATTCCTTTAATTTTTTATGGTTTGAAAATTCTCTATAGTGTGTGTTATTGTTTTTATAATAATTAGCAACTAACTTGCACAAAAAATAAAAATACAAACTAGAAGTTAAGAAAACTCTAATAAAAACATCCAGTAATGCCCTTGGGTGGCACTGCAGACACAGTAGGGGAAGGCAGGTGTGAGCCTCCCACCTCCCCATACTCCCAAAGGAAACCTAACTGTAGCCTAATGTAAACTTCCTGAAATTTAAATAACAATTTAACGTTTTAAAATCCAATGTGCAGGCCAAAAAAATTCATGGGCTGAATGTAACCCACTAGTTTTGATCTCTGCACTTTAGTATAGGAAAAGAAGGAAGAAACAAAGGGGACAGGGAAGAAATTTATTTCACAATAGAATTTATTATTGGTGTCCTTTAAATTGCAGGCTCCCTAGTTTAAGAGAAACATGATTTGATTGAAGAAATAATTCGAAGTTTATGCCATTTTTAGGAATATATTTTGTGCCAAATATAAAGCATGCCTATTTTTTTGAAAAACTGATTCTAGAAGGGACTACTGAATTTAAAATGATGCATCCAAGATCTGCTTTAGGACGCATGATTCACTGCCTGCCACTCACCTGCTCTCCCCACTCCTAGCCCCTTCTTGGCCCAGCTTCAGCCAGGTGCTATGGGGTGCAGGGAGAGGAAGCAGACTGGGTTACTACAATTGACCAATTCATAATCTCACGGGCATTCTCCATGAGGATCTTTCCTGGATCAAGTCTGTCTACTGCACCATCTGGGCACTGCTGTGTGTCCACACTGGAGGGTTGATTTGCATTTTCAAACTTAGGCTACTGGAAACCCCCAAGTTGGAATGCAGACCCTCCCCACAAGGCCCTCATACTCTCTCCATAAGCATCAGGAGTGCCGTTTACCTTAGTGGCCTTTAGCTTCCATTCATACTGATTCCTTTCATTTTCCAACTCTTCCACTTTGATTTTGAGGTGCCTGAGCTCTTGCAGTAACTCCTAGGGGATGAGGGAGAAAGACAAAGTTCTGATGGTTAAAAGATGTGCTCTTGATTTACCAACCTGGTTAAGCTCATGCATATGGGGTGCAGCAACCACATCAAGCTCCACATAACAGCTTTAATCTTTAAACACGTCCCTTGTTTCAGGAAAGCTGTATGGCCGTTAAAAAACAAAGGCCAGGGAGTTCCAGACATAAGAAAGTGAAAACTTTCCTTTTAGTTTTAGAACCTGTTCTGCCTGCCCCTTTCTCTGACATCTATGTCCTCTGTGGGGTATGCCAACATCACACACATGAGTATAGGCAGGCAGGCGAGGCTTCGGAGTGGGAAGAATAGAGATGCTGAAATGAGGCAGCTTCTTCCCTGTGATGCAAAGTAGTAGAAAGCAGGCTAATTGGGAGCATCTCTCTGTGCTGGGAGTGAAGGAAGATAGAAGAGGGGGCCTGTGATCCTGAAAGGCCTCATAGAGGAACCCTAAGGGAACAAATGTTAAGGGCCAAATATAGATGCCAAAATGGGTGTTCCAGTTCAGAGGAAGAGATTGATTTGAAGAAAGAAGGGAGGGAGAAGGCATCCAGGGAGGAGTAAAGATAGGAGACAGAAAGGGAGATAACTCATGCGGCTAGAGCTGAGGGTGTAGGCACACAGTGGAAGATGAGGCTGGGAAGTTAAGGTGAGGCCCTAAGGTAAAGGCTTGAGGATGAGAATACACATGATGAGTTCCGATGCCATTCTTTGGGCAGTAGGGAGTCACTGAAGGTTGCTGAGTGGGGAAGTGACACAAACAATTTTCTCTTACTCATTTAGCTAGTAAGTGGTGGAGCTGGAATTCAAGCCCATATATTCTGACTCTAGGACCCTTGTTTGTGAAACTACTCCTTCTATAAAGATGACTCCACTAAGCACTGTTATCTTGAACCAAGATTTCCTTAACAGACAATTGGTCCTGCTGACTAGCTCCCATCAGAAGAACTGGCATAAAGATAATTACTTCCATAGGCTTTCTGAACTGCAGTCTCACACAACAAACTTCCTACTTAACATCACATGGATGCTGCATAGGCACCTCCGGACTGTCAGGTGCCAAGTGGAATGCTCAACTCCCCTCCTAGTTACTCTCATCTCACTAAATGCCATATCCATCTATCTAACGGCCTATCCAGAAACATAGGATCTATCCTCTGCATCTCCCTGTCCTTCCTCCTCTATGTATGCAATTCGTCCCCAAGCTTTATTAATTCTACTTCCAGGAAAACAACTTGAATGTCTCATTTCTTTCCCACTCAGGCACCACCACTCTGGTCTAGCAATTAGCACTGACAGCCTGGACAGTCAATTCATTGGTTGCTCCTCTGTTGTCTTGCTCCTCTCAAAGCAACTGACCCCATGGCATCTGGGGGAGTGATATGATCAAACCATACATCAGATCATGGCACTCCCATGCTTCTCAAAGCTCATAAACTTCAACCCGTGACCTGACAGCTCCCTGCCTGCCTCTTGGATCACTCTTTCTCCCTAGTTATGCTCTAGCCACATGGATAATTTTCAGTTCCTCTCTCCAACTTAGGTCTTCGCAGACAACATTCCCTCTGTCTGGAATTTTCTGCCAGGTTAACTCCTGCCCATCCTTCAGGTCTCCCTGAGTAAAGCTATCCTGACCTCCCTACTATATCAGGCCCCTCTGCTATATTCTCTTGTTGTACTCTGTGTACCTCCTACATAATTTGCAATTAAATATTTATTTGTATGACAGCTAATAGCTAGCTCTCCTACTAAACTGTAAACTCCATGAGGTATTTGCTAACCTCTGATTATCCTGCAGTGCCTGGCACATAGTAGGTGTATACTATTTGTCAATGAATGCACACATGAAACTTAAGTCATTATTTAACTGGCCTGGAGGTCTTGGCCTTCTGAGATAATCCACCACAAAGTTGACATTGCTTACCCTTGAATTTTGTAGGGTCATTTTTTAAGATTGCCTTCTAGTTGAGGTGAGCATATGCTGATGCCCGTTAAAAACAAGACAAAAAAAAAAAAAAAAAAACTTCTGGATGGCATGGTGGCTCACGCCTGTAATCCCAGCACTTTGGGAAGCCGAGGTGGGTGGATCACTTGAGATGAGGAGTTCGAAACCAGCCTGGCTAACATGGTGAAACCCTATCTCTACTAAAAATACAAAAGTTAGCCGGGCGTGGTGGCAAGTGCCTGTAATCCCAGCTAAAAAAAAAAGAAAAAGAAAACTTCTCAGCTAAGGTTATTGCATCCATGATCTGCATCACTGGATGTCAAGGCCTCAGATACCTGCTTTGACTTGCAGCAGACCCAGAATCATTCTCTGAGGACATTATTGGCCCTGCCTGAGAGGCTCCAATGCCCACAAGTTGAGGGTTCTTCTGCTCAGCCTTGTATCCTAGCCAGGTTACTCAGTTTGTTGGAGAGGGTGTCAGGCCAGCTGATATCAGAATCAGAAGTGTACAGGTTCCTACTGCCTGAGGGGCTGCCACTGTGGGTATACAGAAATCATCCTCTCCAGGCTCCGTGACCTCTGGAACATCCTCTTCCTTCTATGTTACTTGTTGTCCATCATTGACTACCAACATTAGTACACACACGTTTTTCCTTCCTTTAAAAGTCTTGCTGGAGTAACCTACTCAACATAGGTCATGCGCCAACACCCTCTCAAGGCTTCTCTATCCAAGTCTACATTTACATCTTGACTTTCCTATTTCCCCGCTGTCCTTTAATGCAGCAGGAAATCTTTCCAACCAAATCCCTTCCCGCAACACCTATGTCTAGATTTTCAACAGGCTCCCTAATTGAGTATGGACCATAGTAACTTCCTACAGAGCCAGGGTATCCTCTGTAGTACTCATGGCTGCTGTGACCTCGGTCTTTTCTTGGGGGGCTTCCAAGTCCTCTTCAACAGGAGGCCTCCTTCGAGGCATAGGGTTATCTCTGCTGAAGCTGCCATCACCTGCCATCAGCAAAGTCACAGAGGACCAGGTTACCCCCGTGTGGAGAGCCAAGTCCAGAATCCCAGTCAGATAGAGCCCCACATGGCCCTGTTGTTATAAAATCACCCTGATGTGATTATGTGGGGGGGATTTTTCCTGGAAATTCAGATGATGACTTAATTATTCACAGCATATGAAAACTTGTATTTTATTTTTTCACTGGGGGTAAACCTCTTTGAACATAAACTTGAAAGGATTCTTTTTCATAATACTTCTTTTCCTTAAAAAAAAAATCATGTGAAACAAAAGTTTGTTTAATCTCCCAGCCTGGGAAGAGGAATCAGTATCTGAGTCACATACCTGAGAAGGGGAATCATGAGGCTTCCTGTGGCACAAATGCCCCATCACTCGGAGCACCTGGTGCACCTCATTCCCAGCCCTAAAGGAGATGAGTGCCACCTGTTTGAGGGTTGGCCTCACCTGCTCAGACCCTGCTCAGTGAGGGTCACTGAGCTCACCTCACATCCCAAGAGGATTGAGTGAGTCCAAGCTCTGCCCAGAGGTAACAACAGATCCATGCCAAGCCACTGCACTCTGTTCTGGTTAGGAGAAACCCCAGCCCCTCCACCAGTGAAATGCCCCACACACGCATGCTCTGATATACTTAAGTGTGGTTCCTACAGGTGACCCCTCCCAACAGGCACAGTCCTGGCTGCAGGGCTGGGGCTCGGCCACACCGTCGCTGGCCGCCACCTCCTCAGGGTGGTCCCTACTGAGTAACAGGCGCTCTTGAATCTGCCTGTGGATGTCCAGCTGCAGCCTACACATCTGCTCCTGCAGCTCACTGATCACATTCAGAACCGACTGTAGGAAGGAAAAGAAAGAAGAGAAAAGCACTCCAGGTCAGACAGCTCTCAGACGCAGAACTCCTTAAGAGAACAGCACAGAGGAAGTGTGCATGGGGCAGGGAGCAGGTGGCACTCAGTGGTCACTGTCGACGGCCCTCCACTTTCCACAACAGAACCAAAAGACATGGCATTTTTCCTCAGGCCTGCCCCATCCAGATGCCTGTCTTGCAGTTCGAACAAATCCCCAACAGCTCCTTTGTGCCATATTGTTGTGTCAACACCGAGGCATGGAGTCTAGAAGAAACTCTTCATCCAAGCAGAAGCAATAGCAGAGATGGGTGCACACTGGGGCACACACACAAACACGTCCTCTCTCCACATATGCATGATACACACACCGACTCCCCTTACCCAAACACCCAACGTGTCAGCACCTATGCACAGGGGACATATGGCACACATCACACTTATCCATGACAATATGTACCCAAACCCTGAACTCAGGCATCAATATGCCTATTTCAGTATATTCATCTTCTATTCCTCCATCCTGTCTACAAGATTATCTCAAGCAACGTTTTTGCAACACTTCACTGAAATGTGGATTTACCTGGTCTACCACACGACACATTCCCGGCCAAACCGATAAGGCCAATCTGACGAGACTCACTCCTTGAGGACACGGATCCCTACTTTGTCTCCTCCCTTCTTGCAAACCATCATAGAGTTGGCCCCAAACTCAACAGACTAAAATTTACTGAATCTATCAAACTTTTGCCATTTTGAAAATCAAGAAGGAAATGGTTCATTTCCAGTTTTCTAGCAACTCATTTGATTTTCCTGATTCCTTAAAATTAACTTATAGCAAGCACTTTGGGGGACTATTGTCCTAAATTTTTTGTATCTGTCAGAGGCATCCATGGAATCAAGTCCATTTTTTCTTTTTAAGAACATAACTGTGTGTGGGTGTTTGTGTGTGCGTGTGTATGTGTGTGTATGGCTTTGTGTTGTCCTCAGCATTGTCCTTTAGTTTCGGATGTCCCCTTCCTGACACTGGTCATGCAGGTGCACTTTTGTCTTTAGCATATGTCCTTTCTGCCTTTTGTAGAAGCCCCTCTGAAAACTACTTCCTTTCAAGAGACCTCTAAACTCTTCCTTTTTATTGGTATTATCTGTGAGATTGCACAGTCAGAATTATATTTAAGTAGTTCAATATTCTTGGGTCTTCCTCTATTCGACAGTTCCCCATCCATTTTATTTTTAAATTGTCAGAGTTATGATTTACCCAAGTCTACAGTGCATGTCTGTTTATGCCTAGTTTTTCCATGCTCACTCTCGTGAACATTCAAATAACAATGACCACTTTCTCTCAAGGTACCTATCACTTTTACTTCATAAACCAGTTTCTCCTTTTGCTTCAATGTTGGAGCTAGAAAGGCAGTTTTCCTAGTTTTGTCTTCTACCCTCTGAGTAGAGTGAAAGCAAGTGAGAAAAACAAACAAGTAAACATTCAAATGCTTCAGAATTCAGCTGGGAGATATTTAGGAGCTAACAAATAGGTTGCTACTCCCCTCCCTCCATTACTGCCCCTTGTGTGCATCAGTCAGTTTGGAGACCTGCATCAGGAACACATCTATTTTCATCCCTCTGCTCAGTGTGTGGTGTACCCAAAACTTCTGGGCTACTCTGCCTTAATTCTCCTGAGCCATGTGTTGTCATTGTTTTCTGGTATGTCTGTCCACAGGCTTGGCATTTCAACTTAGCTTTATAATTCTTTTTTTTTTTTTTTTTTGAGACGGAGTCTCACTCTGTCTCCCAGGCTGGAGTGCAGTGGCACGATCTCGGCTCACTGCAACCTCCACCTCCCAGGTTCAAGCAATTCTCATGTCTCAGTCTCCCAAGTAGCTGGACTACAAGTGTGTACCACCATGCCTGGCTAATTTTTGTATGTTTTAGTAGAGATGGGGTTTCACTATGTTGGCCAGGCTGACCTCAAACTCCTGACCTCAAGTGATCCAGTCTCCTCAGCCTCCCAAAGTACTGGGATTACAGGCATGAGCCACCACACCTGGCCTAGCTTCATAATTCTTTATCTCCAGGGCTGGCCCACCTCCTAACAGGTCTGTTTCCCTCCCATAAAGCAGACCCTTTTGTAGCTCTGTTCCATTCTGGGTTCCACATCATGATGTCTAGGTGGCATTTATGAGGTTATAATTGCTGTCCTGTGTTTTAACCTCAGCTCACTTTGTTTTTTAATCACACTTTGCCAACCATTAAAGTTCTTCTTTATGGTTCTTTTCTATGTGAAACTACTGGGCACCTCCCATAATCACAGTTGTTTCCAATTCCATCTTACCTGTTAATCTTGTACACAATTTTACTTAGTTCTTTCTTTTTTCAGGCTCAGTTTATATACATTACATTGCTCATGGGAATATAACCTCTATGTTCTAGAGAGGGCAATTTGGAAATATCTGTCAAAATTTCAAGTTCATGTACTCCTTGACCCATAAATTCCACATCAATATCTTTACATATATACAAGATTATTCACTACAGCATTATTTGTAATAGCAGAAACTTGGAAACCACCTAAATGTCCACTGAGAGACGACTGATTAAATAAATTAGGCTATTGTTGGATGGTAGAACAATATGCAGACATAGATATGAATGAGGAAGTTTTAAAAAACATACTTGGTGTAAAAAGAACTCCAAGACTGCTAAATTTAAAAAGAAAGGTCTAGAATAGTGTACATTTGTATAAAAATGAGGGAAAGTGTGTGTGTCTGTGTGTATCCACATGAATGTACTTGTCCACACATAATATAACTCTGGACGGATACAAACTGATGGCACTGCTTCCTGACTGCTGACTGGAGGACAGGTGTTGAAAGAGACCTTTTGCTATATACCCTTTTGAACACTTGATTTTTGAATTGTGGGAGTATATTTCCTACACTGATGCAAATGAGTAAATAAAGAAAATAAAAACAAGAATAAAAAAACTCTCCTATTAGGCCAGCTCATCTCTGAGCAAACACAATCTTCCCAGATCTCACTCTGTGTTCCAAGTCCATCACTCTGTTGCCTCAGTTCAGAAATCAGAATCCCTTTCTCCCAGGGTCCTAACCACAAGGAAGAAGAAATGATGGCATCATCACTTGTGCTGTGAGATGTTTCCATTTTCTGCAGGAAATCCTAAAGATTCTTCCCTGTTCTCTTCTTGCTCACGTGTACCCCTGATCAGTTGGGCTGACTCCCCTTCCTAGCATATCTGGGGTCCCTGCTCCCTTCTTAACAGGCTGCTCTGATAGCTATTCACAGAACCCTCTAGTTGCCACAGTGGGGTCCAACTGCAGGTTGCTGGCACCTCCACAGCATGGAGAAGCCAGATTTCTTTCTTGGGGAAGGCCCATCTGAGCAACACGCCTTTGCAATGCTTTGATCTGTGTCCACACAGAGGTTTTCCTTTACCTCTGGATCTCTTTCTTTCATGCTTCATCCTCTTGATTTTGGTATTTACTTTCCACGTCAATCACTCTTCTGTAGTCCTACTTTTCAGGAATACGTCTAATTCACCCAATCTTCAGTACCCTCATATGACCCTGAATCATTGCAAAAGGCTGATGAGAAAAGGTAAACAGGAAACCTAGTATTCACCCACATCTCATCTGGGCCACTACTCACTCTTGAGCAAGGCTGGCCATCAAGGAACCTGCGCCTGCAAGTCCCTAGGTCTTACAGAATGACTGTCGGTAATCATTTCCACAACTTAAAACAAGCAGCAAGATGCTGGCTTGGGCTATGATCAGAATCAGAGAAGGAGCAGTGTGAACTAAAATTAGAACTAGAACTAAAACCAAGTGATACAACTGAGACTAATTTCTAGTGACATTGTGGTGGCAATGCTCTTGCCACAAGCATTCTCTTCTTTTCATTAAAACATAAAACAGAATTTGAGGATAAAGCCTGAGCTAAGCTGAGAAACTGTATTTCAGATCTGGCTATCTCACACCTGAGGGGGAAAAAAAAAAGAATCCTGCCTGTTCCAAACCACACACAATGAGCCCTTAGGCTAAATACACTCACTGGAAAAAACAGCAGCAGTATAGTATGGGAAGCAGCGTTCCCTTTATTCATGCAATTACAACCTCTGGTGACCTTAGCAAAATGTCTCACTCAAAATAAACATCTCCATGCACATGACAATAGTGCAGCTTAAGCAGTACCCTGTGGTTTTAAACCCCTGGTTGCTCCAGACACTCACAAATAGAGGTAGAAGTTCTGTGCATACCAGCAAAGATTATGTGCAATTACAAGAACGAGGAATTTGTTTCAGGCCATGTGGCTGCTCACTGATTATCACAGGTTTGAACAGCCTACAGAATTCCTCCACGTGGAAACCTAATATTTGTACTAGCAACTGGGAAGGGCTGTTATCTGGTAGGACTGAGGCCAGACACTCAGGGTCTACGTCGCCTTATGTATGAACAGACTGATGAAAAACAAAAACAAAAAATTCAGATTTAAAAATAGTCCTTCAGAAAAGAAAGAAAAAAGCAAACAGTAAAATGACTGCATTAGTGCTTCTTGTCCCAGAAGTGGGAGCTCTCCTTCCTTTCTGATGTCCCTGTAAAGGGACTGCATTATCCTAGCTTGGTGCTAACTCTGTATACTTCCACACACGGGCTGACTTTCATATTCGCACCTCCCACCCCTCATGCACAGATCCCTGCGGTGACTGGTGTAGAACCAGGTATATGACCCAAAGTGGCCCAATGAGATGCAATCTTGAGGCTTTTGCTGGAACCTTTGAGAAAGCACCTCTTTGACTGCAGAAGTTGCCTGGCTGGCAGGATATCATTCCGGAGCTACTGATGGCTATCTCTGTCACCACCTGGGGAGAACCTTCTTGAGAATAAGGCTAAAGCAGAACCAGGTGATACAACTGAGACTAATTTCTAGTGACACTGTGAGATTACCCGGATCTAGTCATATTGTATTCTTTCAAACACTAGACTTTTCAAGTTATGTGACATAGGTCTCTCTCCTCCCTTTTTCTCTTAAGTGACTTTGAGTTGAGTGTCTGCCACTTTAAGCCTTCTCACAGAGTTTATGGAATTCTGCCCCCAAAGTCCTAATGTATGTTCACATACAATTGTGCAGGTTGAAACATTGGTAAAATACTTCAAACCAGAAGAAAATTCAGTTACTTCTCCCTCAACATTTAATTCAACTAGCACTTCACACAGATTAGCTTTCAGGCTGTATAAACTTTGCAATATGTAAATAATGTATCTATGTCTACATTTTCATTTCCAACATGCTTAACAATACTATCAGTAAGTGATCAATAAAAGCTAACTATTACTATGCTAAGGGTTCCACATACATTGTCTCATTCACTCCTCAGAATAACCAAAGAAATTGGAAGTATTACTACCTCCATCTTACAGAAGAAACAGGTCTGGGAAGTTAAATTACGTGACCAAGGTCACAAAGCCACTGAGCTCAGTTTAAAGCCAGGAGATCTGATTCATCAGCCTGGACTCTTAGTCAATACAAGCTACTGTTCTCAGCTTATTGGGGATATCTTCTTTTGGCAACTGTACTTCTAATTAATGAACATGTTCTCAAAAGCAATGCAAGGAACATGCTCACACATTAGAAATATTCTAATCACCAGTGTGTTTACTCAGCAAACATGGCAGATGTCAGTATGCACTAATGCTGGCACTTATCAGAAGGGAACAATATCCATCTTTAGCCTAAATGAAGGAAGGAGATGAAGACATACCAGGTGCTCACAAAATGCCAAATACTATGACAGGTACTTAACTTTCACGATTTTATTTGGACTTTACCACACAGTTATCCATTTTAACCAGATAAAGAAATTGAAGTTCAGAAAGATTAAGTAGCCAGCTTGAAGTTCATAGAACTATTAAGCAGTTAGGTCAGTAAATGAGCGAGGTGTTTCTAAACCTAAAACCTATCTTCTTTCATATCTCTCATTGCTAGGTGTGAATATAAGAAGAACTTAAAGGTAGAGGCACAGGAAGACGGTTATCTAAGGTTAAAACAGGCTGCCTGCTCTCAAAGGAGCTCTGAGTGTAAAATTCTCTAAACATTTATTTAAAAAAGAGTCTGGCATGTTCCAGCCAATGGCATACAAAGACTGAAAAACAAAATTAGGAAAACATTCTCTAAGAGAAGGCCTGCACATGGCATGCTCCATAAGACCCATCAGGAAAAGAGAAACACATCACCCGAGGTTCCATCTGGGTCAGTGAAACGCACGTCAAGAAACGTTTCCAGACTCCTTGGATCCAGTGTCAATGGCCTATTGGGAGGCTGACTTCATTCCGGTACGTCGTCATTTCCTTGGTTCTCACAGAAGACATCTTGTGTCCCTCCACATTTTGTCTTATTCTTCCCCAACTATTGCTTCTCTTTCCATCCTTGTCAGCAGTTTGAGGGCAGATAAAGCCTTAGAGCCAAAACTGGCTGGTTTGGATATTGCTGAAATTTGCAGCCACAGCAAAACCTGATAACTTGGTATTAACAGATCACTGCATCTCTAGTGTATAGATATTTCTGGCACCCAATAGCTTCCAGGCTGGGAGTTGACCAGATGGCCTAAATTCACATTATGACAGCCTTCCCAGGTCTGAGCTTAGGACAGTACACACTCACCCTTACCTCTGCTTTTCTCTGCTTCTCCTCCTGCTCTCTCTGCTCCTTCTCCATGCCAACCAGCTTGAGCTTCAGCTCAGACACTTCAGTCATCAGATCGAGCTTCTGGGTCTCAAGAGATGTGCGGCTTAGCAGCTCCTGCAAGCAAAAACAGATCTCGAAATCAGAAACCACTATGGCAATAAGAACAGCTCTGGCTTCATTTACAGCACATAAGGCAACACCTAAGTTGTGTGTTCAACAACACAGAATTGAGACTGCTACATGAGAGTCACAGGCCTATTATGGATGGGCCTGGGCTGATGCTGGGCTACTCAGGGATAGCGCACCCCCAATACCACCCACTGTGCTTTGATAGACAAGGTGAGCTACATTTCTCAAATGTGTTTGCCCATAGAGACCATTATTCATTATTTCCATGTAGAGAAAAGTGAATGGATACTTTCAAAGAACGAAATTTCTCAATTTTTTAAAAGACAAAGCAGTAGGTCCTCGCTTAAGTTAACAATATATTTTTTTCAAAGCCAAAATTTCTAGATCACTTTCTGGGCTCAACCAATGCTCAGCCCAGTTTTCAACATGTTCCAATACAAGACTTCACTGCAATGAACCTAGACAGGAGCTAGAACACAAAGTAGATGTGCAAAGAGTGTTGAATGATTACATAGGAATCTTATGTGAGATGGATCTTTCCTGGGCTGTTCCAAAATTACAATCTGGCCACTCTGGAATGTAAATAAGAAGATTGTTCTTTCCCAATTGTGAAGACAGACCAGGGAGGTTATTACTAGTCCTGCCATCACTAGAACAGTAGCAGACTATAACCAAATAACCCAGGGCTTTGACAACAAACCTGTCACTAATAAAAACACTTCATAAGCATAAACAAGGTAAAAAATAAAGATGATAGGCAAGACACCCACTTAGAAGTAATATGAATTATAAAGGACCTCAAAAATCAGGAGCATTTCCTAAAGTCCAGGGAAACATATTTTTCCATTGGCAAAGGGCAATGTCCTATGAGGTCCAAAATCCCGGCACATGGTAGACACTGGCTACAAAGGTTGTGGCAAGGAGAATAGACACAGCAACCAGGAAAGCAATGGGCCAAATGAACAGAAGGAAAATATACGATATCCTGCCATGGTCTGAACATTTTGTATCATCTTGGGCAACCCAAGCTCAGCACAAGAATGGCAATCTCAACACTCTGACTCAAACACTATGAGGTCACAGATTTGGAACCGTCCTCAGATTATGAATCAAACCACACGGGACAGAAATTTTTGACTTGGAATACATGATTCCCCAGGCCAACAGGCTGGGCAACAGCCTACCTGGGAAAGGTAGGCAACAAACTGTTCATCTGCTAGTCTGAGGGGATGGGTATCTCTCTTGAAGCCCAGCAACTCAGCATAATGAGCTCCCCGAGCTCTGGGGTAAGGAGGCCAGCTCTTCCTGGGCCAGCCAGACTGGAAGCTGGCTCACAAGGCAGAGGTGGAGCACTGCAGCCAGAGCACAGGCTACTTGGCCACTAGGAGTCAGCCAGATGAGTGCGTCCAATGCAATGGAGAACTGAAATTTGTTGAGTGCCTCCTCTGTACCAGAGACTGCTGGTGCTTTTGTATACATCTTCTTAATAAACCCTCCAAATGAGTTGGCAATAAATATTATCCCAATTTGACAGATGAGGAAACAGGCCAAGAGAGAGTACATAAATCTTTTGGCCAAGGACACAAGCCAATCAGCAGCAGAGTTATTTTTGTTTGTTTGTTTGTTTGTTTTTTTGAGACAGCGTTTCGCTCTTTTTGCCCAGGCTGGAGTGCAATGGCACGATCTCGGCTCACCACAACCTCCACCTCCCAGGTTCAAGCGATTCTCCTGCCTCAGCCTCCCGAGTAGCCGGGATTACAGGCGCATGCCACCACGCCCAGCGGATTTTGTATTTTTAGTAGAGACGGGGTTTCACCATGTTGGCCAGGCTGGTCTTGAACTCCTGATCTCCAGTAATTCACCCACCTCAGTCTCCCAAAGTGCTGGGATTATAGGCGTCAACCACCACACCCAGCAAGCAGAGTTAGTGTTCAAACAAAAGTCTGTTTGACTCCAGAACTCATTTTAGTCTATTGTATCACAGTTTCCCAAACAGAGAAAGAAGTCCAAGCATTTTAAGAGACATTTAAAAAAACATGCTAAAATAGGCAATCAACAAATATTCAATGAGCCCAGGAAATGCCCACTCAAATTGCCAAGATTTCATTGAGCACATACTACCTATCAGGACCCAGTGCTAAGGCTATGCAGGCCACAAAGGGCCTTAAGCAGTTCTTCCCTGAGTGTGAGGGCACATAAAATAAGTTATCTGAGTCTCTGAGTCTTGAGTACGTGAGTATCTTAAGATGTAATCATCCCCCACACCACCTACTCTCTTACCCTTCTTTCCTTTCCCTACCTCCCTCTCTTTCTTTATTACCTCATTCTCTAGTTCTCCATCCTTCTGCCTACCTACCTTATTCCCAAAATGTGTTTAGGCAGTTTGCAAAATAGATATTTCAAATTAAAAAATAAATCATAAAAATTAAAGCAGGTAGGAAAATAAGTTAAAGTCAGAGTTAGTAGAAAATCTATGCCATAAACTTCTATAAACAGCTAGAGATGGACTATAATGTACATGTGAGCTTCCCAGCTGCCAATGCAAAGGGGAAAAGGAACAAGTGCACAGGTCAAGGTCCACAAGAAAATGTCTTCAGACTACTGAGATCTCAGGGAAAAAAAAAAATCCCCCAAGAGACTTCATTCTTTTATTCAACAAATATGTTTTTAAATACCTACCAGATGCCAGTGCCTAGATACATGACAATTACTAATAAAACAAAGCCACTATTGAGTACTTGAACACCTTAAGGTGATGCTCAGCCTGGGCACAGTGGCTCATGCCTAGCACTTTGGGAGGCTGAGGTGGGTGGATCATTTGAGCCCCAGGAGTTTGAGATCAGCCTAGACAACATAGTGGAACCCTGCCTCTACAAAAAATACATACGCAAAAAAAAAATTAGCACCCGTGGTGGCATGGGCCTCAAGTAGTTCCAGCTACTTGAGAGGCTGAGGTGGGAGGATTGATTGAACCTGGGAGGTTGAGGCTGCAGTGAGCTGTGATCATGCCACAGTGCTCCAGCCTAGGCGACAGTGAGACCCTGTCTTAAAAAAAAAAAAAAAAAAGGCCGGGCGCGGTGGCTCACGCCTGTAATCCCAGCACTTTGGGAGGCCGAGGCGGGCGGATCACGAGGTCAGGAGATTGAGACCATCCTGACGAACATGGTGAAACCCCGTCTCTACTAAAAATACAAAAAATTAGCCAGGTGTGGTGGTGGGCACCTGTAGTCCCAGCTACTGGGGAGGCTGAGGCAGGAGAATGGCGTGAACCTGGGAGGCAGAGCTTGCAGTTAGCCGAGATCGTGCCACTGCACTCCAGCCTGGGCGACACAGTGAGACTCTGTCTCAAAAAAAAAAAAAAAAAAAAAAAAAAAAAAAAAAAAAAAAAATTCATGCAGTTTTGTCTTCTGATCAGCATTCAAAATACTGCTTTGATGTGATTTTTTAAAGTTTCATAATGTATCTCTTTTGAAAGCTAAGAGTCTACTCTGCTTCCATCATTGCCAAAATCCCTATTTTAACTACCAGGTTGTGATTAGTCATACCAATGGTTCCAGCTGATGAAGACAATATTTTCACTAGTTCCAACAGCCATTCCAATTGGTCATGCCAGTGTTTGAATTAGCCACACTAACATTCCAAACAGACATTCACAATTGGACACACTAACATTTTAATTAGAAACCTGAGGTTGCTTAATTTCATATAGTTCACTAATAACAGAACATTTACTTATTCTCTTCTAGCTTATATCTATTAGCATGTGCTTCTACCTTTCATGATCATCTTCCCCTTGCCCCTGTCATGATTACTGTTTTGGTCCCTAAACTCAAAATCAGCCTTCAACAAACTTATCCCAGTCCAGCTCTACTTCCCCATCTCCAGATCCAGCAAGGCCCGTAGCCACTATTATGAACTGTGATCTCTAAAATGTGTGCTTTAATAGGAGTTAACTTATCCTACATCCTCAATTGCTCCTTCTACTTCCAACATAAAGTGAATCATGTTTTTTCAACAATATTACACATTCTTCCCCGTCATTTCAATTGGAGACCACTCAGCTTCCACCAACCCAACTTATAGAACACTGTGCTCCCTATTCCAGGGCTGCTTCCAAGCCAGTATTTTGCCCCCCGACCATCTGCATCTATCCTGCTATTCTAAGACAGTGCTCTTCACTTATACCACATTCTCCCCAAACCGAAGGAACCAACCTACTTCCTTCAGGCTTTTGACTTGATCAACAGCTTTTCTACCTACTTTAGGCGCACTCCGTCTCCTCAATAGCTTCCACATCCTTGTTATTAACTTTCCCATTCAGTATCCACTCTGGCTTCACATTCTTTGACCTCAGCTCCAACAGGCTTTGCTTTCCATTTCGTTCAGCTTCTCAGTAGCACAGTCACCACTTGGATCTCACGTGTATCCAGAATGTGTTTGCTTTGCTTCTAAAATCTTCAGCTCTGAAATTCTCTCCTCTGGCCACAATCTTCTGACCTTTCATCTGTCCCACTTGCTCACTCAACCTCTAATTTCTTCTGCGGCCACTAGTTACTTAGTAACTCTATTTTCCTGGTTTATCAACTTCCTTGAAGCAACATTGTTCTCCTTATCAACTCTGTACCTTGAGGTGAGTCATTCCAATTGTATTCATACCACAGCAGAAAATCCTCATGGGATCTCATCCCTGTAACAGGCCTCATGTGCATTTGTTAGTCTTTTGTCGTGATTCCACTCTCCACAGCTTAAAAATTGCTAGTGAAAGGCAATTAATGATGCCAGTTGGTTTCTGTACAAATTTGTGCTATCTAATTACAGCTGATCTTCCAATACTGCCTGGCAAAACTTGTGTTTGTCTCTGGCTGACTCCTTTCAGGAACTGTTCCAAGTCTTTTCTGTTCTGCTCAAGCCCTAAACCCCTACCATGTCTCCCTCTTCTCCTCAAATAATCTCTCCTCGTATTTGCTGAAAAGATAAAATGCATCTGTTCACTGAATGTAAGTTCTATTTCAAAGTTTCCTAGCATCATCTCTCATTCATATATCTTAAATCCCTGTCTTAGAAACAGCAAGCCCATAGTTCCTTTCCAAGGATAAACTGCGACAATTGTACATTGCCATCTTTTCTGCAGGGTTCTTTCACCTTTGAAAACTGTTCCCTAGTTCAGAATACTTCCAGGTGCACATAAAAAGTACCCATCAAAGGATACAATGCTTCCAGAATTTGCTCCTGAATTGCCCCTGACTGACCTTCCCATTTCTGGCTATTTCTCAGTCTCCTGACTCTTCATACATTCCCATACAACTTGATAAACCTTACGGTAACTTCCTGGTCAACCAGCAGCCTTTGGCTCTGTTCTCTGAGTTCTGGTCCTGTTTCTCCCTCCAGCTGGTAACTCAGAATGGCTCCTGCTCACATGGTCCTGGACTCTCCCTCACTTCTGTACTGCCTTTGAGTAAGTTCCCACCAAGCTCTGTGCTACTCTAGGTTAGGGCCATCAATCATCTACTCTGGCAGGCATTTAATCTCTCCCTCACCATCAGCTCCCAATCCTCAGGCTATAAACATGATCAAATTTCTGACATTCTAAAGAAACTTCCGTCTTGACCTTGCCCTCAAAGCTAACACCGTCAACTCCCATGTCCTCTTGCTGGACAAATGCATGGGTGTGGGGGTGTGTGTGTGTGGATGGGTGGGTGAGTAGGTGTGTGTGTGGGGTGTGTGTGTGTATGGCTGGGTGAGTAGGTGTGTGGAGGGTGTGTCTGTGTGTATGGGTGGGTGAGTAGGTATGGGGGGGTGTGTGTGCGTGTATGGGTGGGTGAGTAGGTGGGTGTGTGTGGGTGCATGTGTGTGTATGTGTGTGTCACTCCTCAACAAGATTTCTGCCTGCCTGAACCTGGCTTCTGCCTTCACCAACTAGGGCACAGAAATAGTCCTGGAACCAATGTACAAACTTTGAGATGCAGCTTGCATTTCTCAGATCTTAACTGTCTCGCCCTTTATCCACTCAATGTAAGGTACTCCTAGCCACCCCAATCTTCCTTGCTCTCGGTTTTCCTGACCTTTCTTTTTTCTTCTCCATTTTCTTTGCTGGCTGCCTTTATTCTGTCAATCCTGTAAGGAAAACATTCTTGGAGCCCTTAATCTCATTCTCACCCAAGACTGGAGTCAACTCTGATCCAGGCTGTCTGGAGCACCCACATCCTCGCCAGGCAATGCTTGCCCCCTGCTGAAGGCTTCCTGACCTTCATGGTGGAATCCTGCTGGAGTCATGCAGCTACCGCAGTATATGGGGAGGGAGTTGAGGGGAGGCAGCGAGCTGAGGATAAGGGGCAAAGGCTTCACAGGCATCATTCTGCTTCTGCTCCCAATTGTTTGAAGGTTCCCTGTGCAAATAAGGAGGGAGGTGGTCTGGGGGAGGGTGGTTTGTTTTACTTACTGTGATGGACCATGAAACTGGGTAATAAAGGTTTAGAAAAAAAATCAATGGACAAAACTGCCACTAACCTTTTCAGAAGGACAAATACTTCTTCTAAGAGATGAAAGAAAGTTTATATCTCGGAGCAACTCATCATTTCCTTTTTCCAAAACTCAGGCTCTGACTAAAGCTGAAAAAAAGAATTTGCCTTTCAACCTATTCTCTCCTTAAAGGGCCACATCTTGAAGCAATTACCTCCATCTTTAAGTGTGGAATATGACCCAGGGTGTTACCGACCAATGACAGAGGACTGCAGCCAGACTGGCAACCTGAAACCAGAATGAAAGAGTGGGCCATGGAAAGGCATGAAAGGAAAAATAAGTCTCTTTGCCCTTTGAAGTAAAAGGCCCAGGTCTTGCAGGGAAGTCTCTTTCATGAGTAACACTGTGCAGAGAAGAGGTGCTTGTAGTCAACTCGAGTTTGAGGCCAGGCTCAGTCCTCACTAACTCAATCATCTCTCTGAACCTCACTCTTATCTGTAAAATGGAGTTAAAGTATCTACTTTGCCCTGTAGTCTGGATTCCCAACATCACATGGGATAAGCATGAAGAAACTCATTAGCTCATAGATCCCCAGAGGGAATTTTGGGGAATATTTGAAAAATTCCTGTTTTCTTCACTTCTGAATCACTGTCTTACCCACCTCAGACAGATTTGTGTTCCCACCGGAACATGTACACAGCTCTGTTTAATATTCTCTTTGAGATAGAAATACCTGCTTAAAGGCTCTCCTGGGAAGTTTACCAGCCATCTACTAGGCCTGTGTCTTAGGCTCAGTGTCTTGACTCACTGTGTGATAGCTCATGCTTAATAACAGTGGAATAACTTTACTATAACTCTGAGAAGTAAGAGGTAGGCAATACAGAGTCCATATTGTCATCCTCATTCTCTACTAATAAGGAAACAGGTACACTGACTTTCCCAGATCAATAGCAAATAGCAAATCTATAGAAACCCATATCCATGAACTCTTAATCCCCTATATTTGTCACTCCCCAACCTCACCTAAAAGTAAAAAAAATGAAGTTGCCTAAACCCTGAAGCTCTGGGTCGGTAGGGAGGATAGAAATAGAGGCTGGTGTTGTCCAAGGTTTCCCAAAAGCAGGATTATGCCCTTACTTGCTCCCCACAGTCCTCCCTTTCCCTGTGTTGTTTTGACATTGAACATTGTTTCTGTTTACATTGATTATATCTGTAAATGGCCAGTCTCTGGAAAATGCTCCATTTGACCACCAGCTCCATGTAAAACCTCTTATCCACCGAGTAGCATCAGCTTCTTCCTCCTCTAGAGAAGGGTCAGTGATCAGAGGCAGAGGAGCTTATTGTGCAGGAACCTACTAGACCCCAGTGAGCTCACAGTGGCTACTTTAGAAAATGCCACCACAGGCCTCGATTATATCACAGACCAGGGAAACCCTCCCCATGATACAGAGATTTTTGTTGCCAGCATAGTTTGAGGCAGTCACAAGAACATCGCTGGTCCATGCCGGAAACCCTAGTGTACAATTCTGGGCCCTGGCCTCTGATAGCCTCACTGTGCAGCTGAGCAATGCCTTGATCTGCTTAAGGACCAAAGAGGCAGAGCCCAGCACTGTGAGTTCTATTTTCAGGCTCAGACAATACCAGACCAGTGAAAACTGACTCAGACTGTCCCTCCCTTAAAGATCCTTTTGAGAAATGACTCTTCTTTTTTTTTTTTTTTTTTTTTTTTGAGTTTCATTCTTGTTGCCCAGGCTGGAGTGCAATGGCGTGATCTTGGCTCACTGCAACCTCCGTCTCTCGGGTTCCAGCGATTCTCCTGACTCAGCCTCCCAAGTAGCTGGGATTACAGGTATGTACCACCACACCTGTCTAATTTTGTATTTTTAGTAGAGACGGGGTTTCACCATGTTGGTCAGGCTGTTCTCGAACTCCTGACCTCGGGTTATCCATCCACCTCGGCCTCCCAAAGTGCTGGGATTACAGTTATGTACCACCACACCTGTCTAATTTTGTATTTTTAGTAGAGACGGGGTTTCACCATGTTGGTCAGGCTGTTCTCGAACTCCTGACCTCAGGTTATCCGTCCACCTCGGCCTCCCAAAGTGCTGGGATTACAGGCATGAGCCACAGCGCCTGGCCGAGAAATAACTCTTCTTAATGGGGAAAGTTTCCTGGGCAATCCAGACATGCTCAGTGAGTCTAAGACCACATCTGACTAGGTGCTTCCATAGGCAGTCCTGAGAGATGCTTGTAGCTGTCTATGTAGACAGCTACAAGGTATGTCTATATGTGTATGTCGACAGCTATGAGATGCTTGTAGCTGTCTGCTTGTAGCAGTCCTGAGAGATGCTTGTAGCTATCATGTTCCCTTCCCATCCCACATCCTGCCGTGGGCTGCAAAACAGAAACATTATTTTGCCCTGAAAAGTGTTCATAATCTAGGTGGGCTCATGTGGACCTGCCCCTTTGCTGGCTCTGGTTGGTTCTGATTTGCCTGTCTAACCCCAAGAGAGGTCTTCTTGCTCTTTCTGGAGGCTGGATGAGTTCATGTGTAGACAAAAACAGATGGGAGTTGGGAGGTCAGCCCTGAGCAGCGACAGACTGAGGATGTTGTGGTTGGGGATACAGTGAGTATATTGTTCATGAACTAGGTAAGGAACTAACTCCTCACCTCTTGTGCTCCTGGAGGAAGGTTGACATTGGTCAGGAGAGCAGCATGGAGAGAGACAGCTCAATGGGGTTCTTGGAGCCCCTTTAAGCACAAGGTTTGGGCTATCCTCATTGATTTGGCTTTCCCCAAGTCCCCCTGGAGTTATTCCAGCCTGTAGAAGGGGCCAAGTCTAGAGCAGAGGTTGCAGATTGGAGGCCTGCAGGCCAGGCTTGACCTATAGGTATGTACTGTATGATTCACACAGCATTTTAAAAAACTTAAATTAGCTGCTAATATTTTAAAAGCAGAGATCCTTAACTCTTTAGATCTGGATTTTGAGTCTCTTGTGAAAAATGAGAATATCTAGCATTACCAGGCCTACATGGGCAGTCAACTGGAGTAGAACAGCAGCTGCTGCCTTCAGACAGGATGTCTCCAGCATGCAGGGTTATCAGGAGCAGCAAACCCCGAGGAAGCACCTTATCTACAGGCAGTTAGAAGGGCGCACACTGAGACAGTGAAAGGATTTCCTTCAGAGGCTTTGAGCAGCAGGCTCGCCTTGGCTCCAGGCAGGAATGGTTTCTGAGGCTGGCAGAAAGAGGCAATTGTTTGCCTCCATTCTCTGCCTCTAGGCCATGAGTCATTCTTGCTCCTACCACCAGAAGCCAAGGGCCCTGCAGCCCAGGATATCTCAGTCAAATCAGGCAAGTGTTTGCCTGTCCCTAGCTCAGAGAATACACACATACTCCAAGCCAGAGATATTGCATCAGCACTGTGGTGCAAGAATCAAGTGTCTTCACAAACAGCATCAAACAGACTTCAGGAAAGCAATAGCATGTGCGGCCGAACATTCAACTTTGGATTTAGATCTGGGAACTCAAAAGATCTCAAGCTCTGGTGCCACCCAGCCCAGCGAACACATGAGTGGAAGATGAGGCTCAGATGTGTCCTATGGCTTGAACTCAATTTGTTAAGAAAGGAGCACTGCACACTGCTATCATTTGACCCTTGACAGTTTGAGAGAATACAATGAAAGCTTATGGGCAGAAAAATAACTTGGTCAAGTTCAGGAATCTTTGAAACTCAGAAGTGGCTACCATACTCCAAAATATGCCAGGTTAAGACATCTACCCTCTATGGCACATGGTACCACACGCCCAATACCAAACCCACAGCACACAGGAAAGAGGGTTTAGAATAAACGGGCTAAAAAAGGTAATTGAGGCCGGGCGCAGTGGCTCACACCTGTAATCCCAGCACTTTGGGAGGCCAAGGCGGGTGGATCATGAGGTCAGGAGATTGAGACCATCCTGGCTAACATGGTGAAACCCCGTCTCTACTAAAACTACAAAAAAAAAAAAAAAAAAAATTAGCCGGGCGTGGTGGCAGGCACCTGTAGTCCCAGCTACTTGGGAGGCTAAGGCAGGAGAATGGCGTGAACCCAGGAGGCGGAGGTTGCAGTGAGCCGAGATCGCGCCACCGCACTCCAGCCTGGGCAACTGAGAAAGACTCCGTCTCAAAAAAAAAAAAAAAAAAAGTAATTGAGTTTATGACTTTAAAAAAGTCTAAAATGCCATCCATGGGATGATGTTTAGAGGAACTAGACAGCCTCTCCCCAGGTGGTGCTGGGCATCACAATCAGACTCCTTGACACAGAGACTTTGACAATGGAGCAGAAACACTGTCATAGAGAGCTATGTAGAGAAGGCTCAGAGAAGCCAGCACAGGCAGTCAGATAACTCAGGCACTACAATGCAGCATTCTGTTGACCTCTGATTATGTGGTTACTCTCCCAGCATAGCCTTCCTGAAACATCAACCTTCTGACACGTTCCCTTCCGTATTCAAATGTTCTTGCTCTCTTTCTGGATTGTTTACACCATTCCATCATCTTCTTCCCTTATCCTTCTCACCTCAAAAACACACCTTGTGCAGACTTGAAAACACAATCTAGTAGGTTGTTTTCTGCACTCTTTGTGAAAATACTTTCATCATTTGAGATTTTTTTCCATCAGGCTATTTTCTTTCCTGGGTCTTCAAAAGAAAGATTCAATTAAAAAAAAAAAGCCTCAATTCCTTTTGCTAGTCAGATTTTTAGGAAATATTATGAACAAGAGAAATGGCACACAACCTAAGTAGAAAATCAAATGGCGCCAAGAATGTGGTAATTTATTAATCAGCAATGAAAAGATAACAAACAAAAGTTCCTGAATCATTGAAACGGGTTTTTATGAAGACATATATATAAAAACACTGACTTACATTTGTATAAAGTTCTTCAAAGGCACTCAAACAAAACTAACAAACACCAGATTAATTCTCATGACATTTGTCATGAGACCAAAGGTAAAATGCAAAGCCTGTGTTCACCAGTATGCTGTCAAGAAACAATCTGAGTCTTATGCTGATCATGACAATTAAAAAAAAAATGCTAGCGCTTTTGGAGGAAAGATTATAAGTAGTCCTCTAATTGAATCCACTCATTTTAAGGAACAAACTTTTGTTCTTTAAGTAATTGTGAGTACCTTTTATGTGCCAAGTACTATGCCAGGAGTTATAAGGCATACACACATAAACTTCAGTCATTGTTTAATTTTCAAGATAACTTAAAATGTAAGAATGACTTAAGGAAAATTTAAGATTAGATATATTAATACATTTCATTTAAAAACCTAATTCGCTTCTCAACAAATTCTGAAGTTTTGATACAATAAAAATTCAACACCCCTTCCTAAAAAATTGTAGCTCATTATTTATAATACAGTAAAAATATTTAGGAATTGAAAAAAAGTTAAGTCAATTCTGATACTTTTACTAAGAAAATCTATTATAGGTGATAGTAAAGATGACAATACAGCAAAAATTTTAAATGGGAAAAATATAATATTAAGCATACAAAATCTGAGGACTAAATTGCATATCTCTTGTGATTACAGATTTGGAAAGTACATGTACACATAACAAGGACAAAAAGAAAACAAGGAGAAGACATTATTTGAATGGTAGGGAACAGTTAAATATCTTTTTCCATTTTGATATCTATTAAATTATACTAAAAGGTTATTTATATAATATTTTTATTTTAAAAACTATATACAGTAGGAAGAGGCAGAGCGAGATGGGAAAGGGGCATAGAATCAGCTGAGAATTGACTTTCTAAAACTCCAGATGGCACCCACAGGATGAGGGTGAGGCCCCCAGCCGAGCGCTCCCTCACTGCACCAGGTCTGGAGAAAGTGCTGTCTGGGAATCTGTCTAACCAGCTCAGCAGGTTATTCATCTCAGGGCAGCCCTTCCCTTCCCTACCCCCTCTGCCACTCTCAACGTTCAGGTTGGTTTCACCTGCTGTATAAACACCGTACAACTGAGCAGCCAATCCCGCCCCCAGGCAGGATGGGAAAGCAGACAGCGAGGGCTGTAGCCTGGGCACACAAAGGGGCTTCAGCACATGAGCTGCTTCGGCACCCAAGGGCCTTCAGTGCACCCGCCCTTACCTGTTGAAGCATCTCTTCAGCAGCATTGAGTTTCACCTGGTGTCCTTCCAGACACACTTCCAGGTCTCGAATCTTTTCTCCCTGGGCTTCTACTTGGTCTGTGAGGACACTCACCTGTTCCAGGAAATAAAGCAATGGTGGAGGACCAGGGATTTGACATGGTGCAGGAAAGCCTCCCCACCTCAGGGGAGCCGTTAAATCTCACCACTGACTCTTACACACAGTGAACGATTTTGATTTTTGCTGAGTGGCAGGTGGAGGAAGTGTCCTGAACGAAGGCAGCTGCAGTTAGATTCTTACCTTACCAGGGAGTCTCGGCCACTGCTCTGATGACATGGGTCACGTTTACTGCTCTTGATAGACTCAAGAGTAAAACACCCAACAGCCACAGGAGCTGCCTCTGGGCTGGACTCCTGCTCCTTATTCCTCTTCCAGAACAGCCCCGACCTCAAGGCACATCTCAGCTGGCTTGCCAGCACTTCTGCAACCTCGTGTGGAAGAGCGGTCCAAACTTCATGGAAACTAACCAATGACCTTACCTCTCTCATAAGGGTGTGAGGACTGCTCACCTATCAGGTGAGTGTTTTGATGCAATTAAGGAATGTGGGCTGTAAAGGGCATGTATTAGCACTGACAAAACTTGGCTCCAGAAAGGTTATTGTGCTTCACAGGCCAAAACATGACTCTAAGTCATAAATATAGAGAAGCCACATTACACATACGGTGGCAGAAAAAAAGTCATCTTTCTGAAGAACGCTGAGAATCCCTATTAAAAATATTAATTAGTAAAAACTCATTTACAGGAAGTCATTCAAATTATGCACTAACTATATATTAACAATGGTTTTCATAGCCTTCTCTATTAGCAAACGGCCCCAGGATCCTTTTTCTTTATTAAGAGATGGTTCAAAGCAAGAAGAGAGAGAATGAGTGTCCTCCCCAAAGTGAAGAAATTAGCAGTTGATAAACTGAGATCCTTTAGACCTTTTTGGTTAGAGTTGTTGCCATTTACATATAGATTATCCAGAATTATTTCTCAGTCTGAAATGGAATAATAGATGGTGCATGAGTTGATGTGAATTCATTTATGAGTGTTTAGATAAACTTTCTGAATTATAAAGCGCCTGTTTAAAAAGGAACTAATCTAAATTAATATGCCTACTTTAAGATCTCCATTTTTATTTTCCCAAATGATTAATGAATTATTGAAACATATTCCTGGAGTTGACACATGGTTAACATTCCACTTTTAACCAAAAAAAATGTTAAAAAAAAAAAAAAAAACAAGAACGGGCTCTTTCTATCAACTTGGTCCACCTTACACGCAAACCTTTGTGGGTGGGTGTTTATTAATCCCTGTGGCCCAACACTCTCAGCCATCCTGAACTAACTCTACTTTCAAAAGGGCAGGACTCTGGGGGTGGGCTTTGCTCACTGGAATCCAGAGTTTCTGTTTGTGAAGGATGTTTTCTGGTTAATCTTATTATGAGGGTTAAACATTTCTATGGTCTATACCATGCCTTGAGGCCATGTGTTGGTGATACTCAAGGAATCATAGGATCTCTAGCATTCTATAGCTAATTGTTCAGCTCCAGGGGCTTTCTGAACCTCAACGCTGATTCTAAGTATTACAAATGAAGGGATGTAGGAAATCCAGACAAAATACATAAAGGTCATAAAATGTGACCTTTGTTCACTAAAAACAACTATTTTTGAGACCCTAATAGATGCTAGGCATAATTTTAGGTACTGGAGGATACAGAAGTTAAAAAAAAAAAAAAAGGATAAAAATCCTTTTCCTAAGGAGTTACATTATAATGAAGATACAAGAGATTCTGGTTTTGTTTTTAACTAATCCTAGAAACAAAGTATTTTGTTATGTGTGATTTGCCTTGTTCTATGAGTAGAACCAGGAAAACTTTCTGGGCCAAGGACTCTAAATTAATTCAGTCTGGCTAAGCTGCTGTGTGCATTAAGCAAGAGGCTCTACCCTGCTGAGAATCTGCCTAACCAGCTCCACTGCAGAACAGCAGTGATCACTTAACAGACACTCCTGGAGTCTGCCCATAAGCTCCCAGTAGAGTAGAAACTACTAGGGTCAACTTCTGACTTTACTGGCAAGCAGCTTCCCAATTGTGTTAGGATTATTTAAATGGGGATTATTCAAGAATTTGGAATTTTAGAAAACTATGAATGTGAAAGGGAGCATTATTACACAGGACTTTGAAAAATTAAATTGTAATCCTCTGTAAATAGGAATGTGCTATTTCAATCATGAAGGGTCCTGGTTCAAAAGTTTGCAATTTCATACTGTTTGCTGCAAAATCTTACATTGGATACTCTTTCATTAATCATGTCATTGGGATAAGAGTTTCAAATTACACATCCCTCAAACATCTGTGCTACAATGTGCTATTCAATCTGGCCCTTGCTACCTTTCTAAAGGCAGCTCGCACCACCCTTTTGAGCACAGACTGCAGGCACAATGGCCACTTGCTGTTCTTCCCACACCCCAAGCACACTCTTGCCTCAGTGTGTGGGCTGGACTGACTGCCTGCTCTGCCTGGAATGCACTTCTCCAGGTATCTGCATGGCTCCCTCCTTGGCTTCCTCCTGTAAAGGAGATCTTCCTTTTACTACACAATCCTCATCCTGCTTTACTTTTTTCCAGCGTTCTTACCAGCACCTGAAATAGTTAATGTATTGGCTTATTGTCAATTCACACTCTCCTTTTTCTTTTTTTTTTTTTTTTTTTTTGAGATGGAGTCTCGCTCTGTTGCCCAGGCTGGAGCACAGTGATGCGATGTTGGCTCACTGCAACCTCCACCTCCTGGGTTCAATCAATTCTCCTACGTCAGCCTTCCGAGTAGCTGGGATTACAGGCACCCATCACCATGCCTGGCTTATTTTTGTATTTTCAGTAGAGACAGGGTTTCACCATGCTGGTCAAGCTGGTCTCCAACTCCTAACCTCAGGTGATTCACCTGCCTCAGCCTCCCAAAGTGCTGGGATTACAGGCACCCATCACCATGCCTGGCTTATTTTTGTATTTTCAGTAGAGACAGGGTTTCACCATGCTGGTCAAGCTGGTCTCCAACTCCTAACCTCAGGTGATTCACCTGCCTCAGCCTCCCAAAGTGCTGGGATTACAGGCATGAGCCACTGCACCTGGCCCACTCTCTCTCTTTCAAATGGAAGATCCACAAGAATGGGAATTTAGTCTGCTTCTTTCACTGCTTTATCCCAGCATCTAAAACCAGCATCTCACAAGTTGTAGATACCCAATTATTTTATAATGAAGAAATCAATGAAGTGAAGAAAAATACAAAACTGGAATGTAAAACTATATATTTGGTATGAGCTCAGTTATTTACAATAGAGGCAAAAGAAAAAAAACCAACAACACTGGAAAAAAGGCCGAAGTGTTAACCTGCTTCTTCACATTTTTAGAATTTTAAAGGTTTTTAAAATCATTCATTACCCTTATGTTCATAAAATACAATGAAAGAGTAAAATAAGTAAGGTAAAAAGAGAAAAAACAAACACACTGCCACCTCATAACCTTAGTGCTCCAAGCTAAAGCCCATAGCCTGGGGTGGGTTCCAGGCCCCGCTCAACCCCTCCCTTCATTCTACCACCAGTCTAACTCATCACCCTTTAAGCTTTTAAGGAGCTGGGATTAGGATACTAGCCTTTATATTTTCCAAATCACTAATTAATATCTGATGCATACCAGACCTTGAGTAAATGCTTGCTTAATCAATTTATATTTTCAAGAGCTAACACAGCAAAGTGCTGGGCCTGCTTCTTCAACAGCCTTCTTATGAGAATACCTAACTCTATGTCCTACCAAGGCACACAAACTTTCAACAGCGAAAAAGCTCCCTTGATGATCTTTCTCCGTAAAAGGTTTTGGAGCTCCTCTCTTTCAAGCAAGACAGCTATCAAAGGCTTAGCCCCTGTTACCAGCTCCAGGGGATTTGGCATTAAAGGGATCAGTCTAGATCCAGCTTCAGACAATTTGGACTTGATTCATTAGCATTCACCCTTAGGCCTGTATCACCCACAGCTCTGTTTTATTAGTGGCATGAGGATATATCTCCCCTCCCTCGCAAGACTCAGGAGCTTCTGGGGGACAGGGCCCATTTTGTTCATTCTTAGCACCTGGAAATCAGCCTGGTCATGGGGCTGCCAGTGTATAGAAGCGGGTGCTTGGGAGTGCATGATAAATGAATGACTGAATTCACAGCCCCCCTAAGCCAAGTCTAGAGTTAAATTGTCCCCTCAGTTACTTAATGTTTTATTTCAGGAAAAGTCTTTTCTAAAAACATAGGCATTGGAAGGAGAAAAATTCCAACAGAGAAAATCTCTTGGGCTTCCCTTCCACTTAGGGGAAGCTACATAGTAGGAGGTAACAGGATAAGCCGATTCTCACCAAAAAGTACCCACCTGCAATATGAGGGACTCCTTATCCCCTTCTAGACGTGCCAAGCGTTCCTGGTAGGTTTCATTACTAGCAGCACTGTGGTGGTTTACCTGGGACTAAAGAGGACAGAAAAAAAAGAATACACTTAAAAGGTTGGAAAAACATCTTACCAACTTCTAAATGAAATAAGGGATGCATGTAATTTGTGAGGATAGTTTCACTGATTATATGTACAAAACCAATCATCAAAACAGGAAACCACAAGATTTCAAAACTACCATGAGGAGAACCAGATCACATGCCACTGAAAAGTGCGCCCTGGAAGTTGGCACAACCACCTCCTGGATGACCTCACTCCTGGCCAGGAGGGCCTCTGTGAAACTCTAGGCCCAGCAGTGCTTGACTTGACATGCTGGGTCTGGGTTAGCCAGAGGCACAGCCTCCAGAGGCATGGCGACAATGAGGGTCTGCTCTTTGAGGAGATTGGAGAGCTGGCACCGTTCTCCAAGGGACTACATGGGAACAGCTTCTGCACAGATCTTGGTATCTCCTAATTCTCATGCCAGGGTCCCCTGAAGCCAAGGCACACCTTGCTGCATGGAGGCCCATCCTGAACATCACAGTGAGCATGAAGGATGGAGGATGTCAACTACAAGGCCCTTCATTCACACGTCCCTTCCCACCCCAATCCCACCCTCCAATAAGAGCTTTGGTAGCCAGGCTGGCAGATCACATTTCCCCAGTGCTAGAGCTGAGAGAAGCAAGCTAAGACAAAACATCTTGAGAAGAACTTAAATAATAGCCAGAGGGATGCCAGAGCAAAAGCTAAGGAAATTACAGGTAGCCAGAAACTATAGAAAAGAGAGGAAAGGGAGAGGATGTGAAATGTCAGAGGAGAGGCAGAATCTTACAAATGTCCCAAGCAGAGAAAGGAGGTGTCACTTTCTTGGGTGTGTCTGACCTGGTTGTGGGCAGACAGGAGAGAAGGAGCTAATGTCACCAAGCTGGCCCCAACACCTCCTTCCTCCATGCAAATGGAAGACTGAAATCAGACTGGTCTGCAATAGGCCACCCAGAGGCTTGGCAGTTTGAAAAAGTAGATCTGATTGCTAAATGTGGAACTGAGTATTATACAATCTGAGCTGGTCCAGTGAAATCAGCACTTCAATATTCACGAGGGAGGTGTCTACCACCCTAGAGGAAAGTCTTAATTGTGCAAAGAGGCAGATGTGAGAGACCCAGAGTTGGGCCACCTTGTCCTAGGCCATTTCCCCACATTTCAACTTTTAGCATGGGCTCTCCCACCACCCTCCATGAGAAAAGGCACCTCCTTCCTCCCCTCATCCCACCCCTTCCCAATGCACTGCATAGGTGAGGGAGGCAACAGAGCCATGCCCAGTCCTAGAACAGAAATGTGGACCAAGCATACCGCATTCAAACCCTGGATGCGCACTAGTGAAAGATTCATTGATTGTTTGTTGAAGGTGCAGCCAGAGGACAGGCCCAGGGGCCACTCCCCAGGCCAGCTGTGCCAGGCAGCACCTGCTGCCACACCACTGTCTTCTGCTCCAGCCCCTCTGGAGCCTATGTCTTGTTCATTGTTATGGAAGCTCTTTCATGCCACAGACAAAGAACCTTAACAATCACAACTGACTTCTTTGTTAATGGCAGTTTATTGTTGTTAAATTAATATTCCGGTTCTCACATGATCAAATTCTCTGACTAGAATCCAAGAATATATTATAATCTATATTTTCTCAGAACCAGAGAAGAAAAGGTAGGAGAATAATTCTTAATAGCAGGTCAACTTCTTCTCTGTCAAAGAACTCACATGATGGTGATTTCCAGTGGACAGAGAATTAAACAGGACCCAGGTGTCCAAGTGAAGCTCTGCAGGTAGAACCCCAGTGCCGAAGTCCACATGGACACGGAGCCACCTAGCACTGGCAGCCGCCCATTCTCTGGCAGGAAATGAAGGAGAGAAGACCAAAGGCAAGACTTCTTCCAGAGACTCCAGCAAGCCACTGTACCAACTATGCCTTATTCAAATGGTGTGCAGTATATTCTTCATTATAATAAAAGGTCTACCCATACAATCACCCAGAGAGGTAACTATTTTTACTAGTTGACAAAAAAAAGAGTAAGAAAGTTGAAATCATAAATTCAGTTAATAAAATGTATGACCTAGATTCTATAGCACATGCTAGAAGGGGGATCAAAAATCTAGATCCACGCTAGCAGCCAGTAAAAAAAGAGAGGCACAATCAGTTAACAGGATCCGCAGATCAGTATGGTAAAATCAAATCAATTGCCTAGGAGAAGCATAATTATTCCGGAGCAAGGGAGAAACTTCACGTTTTCATAGACAGATTTTGTGTGATGGGATCAGCAATATCCATGACACCCTTATAGTAAACAGAGCCCAGTAGAACTCATTACTTTTGTGTGATGTTCTCAGAATAGTTCAGAGGCTAGTGGACAATATGGGCCAAAGGTGAAAGCAATTCCATGGAGACTAATATAATATGGTCCAGGCACAGTGCTGTAAATACACAGCAAGCACCTTGTGCTCAACATGTGCCAGGCACTGTTCAGAGCACTTTGACATAATGTTTGAGTTTCTTACAAAATGTTTCTATTGAGTAATTAAAATATATTTGAAAATCTAGAAGCACTGTTAGAGGACCTAGAACAGTGGTTCCTCATATTTGCCCCTCCTATAACAGATTCGAGGAGCCAACTCCTTTCCTAGCAGGCATACTGGTCCATACAGCAGTGGTGTGCATGGCAGACAGGTCCCTCCCCCACCCCAATCACTGTTCTAGAGGAACAGTGCATCTTCCTCTTCTACAGGTCCTTCAAAATCACCGTTCTCCAGCAAGCTTTTTAAAGGTAAACAGCAGTGAAAGATAATGTTCCAGATGGAAACCCACAGTATCACTATCCTTTGCTTTTGATGAAGTCAGAGCCATGTGTTTTCATGATCTATATAGGACTAGGATGTTAAAAAAAACTGCGTTCTTCAGAAGGGCATAGGCCAGGATCAAATGCCACCTCTGCCTGGAGAAAAACTTGGAAAGCATCTGAGAACAGGGCCAAGAAGAGGATTGTCTTGCTGAATGCTAATACTCATCAGCCTAAGGTAAGGATTTGCCTTTGGGTGAATCTGTATATTCTGTATTCTTATAACCTGGCAACAGGTTCAATCACGTTCTGGTATCATTCTTGCATTATAAAATGACTACATCATCAAGGCATAATAAGCTTTGTGGTTATCAAAATGGGATTCCAATTTATTGAGAAAAATATTTTAAAAGACTGAGTTAGGACACATCTCTGTTTTGCTCTACTTTAAAGACAGCTTGCTTGGTCAACAAGTATACCTGCTTCTTTAATAGTGGAATTGCAAATAGAAGGCTTGGATGGATAGTGGATCCCTGCATGATTCCAGGTTTGAGGTGTCTCTGAAAAGTCTTGTCCATGTTCCTGATTAGGTAAGTCAGCGATAGAGCAGTTGCCCAGCTCTCCACGCATGAAGTCAGGTTGCAAAAACCATGCCCACATTTCACAGAGAAGAAAGTCCAATCAAATTCTGAAGGATGCTACGTGCTAATTTTCTGAGGTTTTTTTTTTTTTGGGAGGGGGTTGTTCTTTTTGAGACAGAGTCTTGTTCTGTCACCAGGCTGGAGTGCAGTGGTGCGATCTAGGCTCACTGCAACCTCTGCCTCCTGGGTTCAAGCGATCCTCCTGCCTCAGCCTCTTGAGTAGCTGGGTCTACAGGCATGCACCACCATGCCCAGCTAATTTTTTGTATTTTTGGTAGAGATGGGGTTTCACCACGTTGGCCAGGATAGTCTCAATCTCTTGACCTTGTGATCTGCCCACCTTGGCCTCCCAAAGTGCTGAGATTACAGGCATGAGCCACCGTGCCTGGCCTACATGCTAATTTTCTATTGTTCCCCACTGTGGGATGGCAAGTGACTATAAAGGAGAGTATCATCCACCCCCGTTATACTTGTTAAGGATGCTCAATCCACAGATGAATATAAGAAAGAGCTAATTTTTACTCAACCAATGACATTAGCCACTAGGCTAGACCTGCCAATGGTAAGCTGTGTTACATATATTTGATCAAACTTCCTCCCCCTCTGTTCTGATGGTTATTGCTACAAATGTGACAGGGAAAAGTCAATCTTCTCATTCAAATTTTCAGACCATTCATTCAAATGGTCAGAGCTATTTCTGATACTGTAATTCAGGTTAGTTACCTAAAAATATAGTGAGAACCATGTGATCTGTGTGCCCTGTGGAGAACTGTTAACTCCAGACATTTCCACATCCTCTTCAATTTTGACTAAAGAATGCCACAGTGAAACATACTACCTCTCCTATATCACGGAACTGAATCAAGACAAGGGCTTCTCGAATGGATATTTTTAAGAACTCAGCACCCTTAGTCAAGATCATTGAAGCCAAGCCACCTTTGTGTCTATCAAGTGTTGCTCTCAAGAGGCTGAAAAAAGTCTTGGACACAAGGAATTCATCCTCTAAAATTCAGACCTCGCGGAGGCAAATATAAAACACAGCACAGAGTTGTCATATCAAGGTCTTCCCTAGGCCTTGGGAGTAATATTCCAGAGTGTCTTCAGAAACAGTGACAACACACCTCCTTGATTCTTACAGGTTATCCTAGGGTCTGTTTCTGTAAGACCCAAACTGCTACCACTGCCGTGGCTGGGCAAGCCTAATGTGCAGCTTGAGCAATTAACAGCCTAAGGTGTGGGTATTTTCTAAGCCATCCCTAACTGAGAGGGGCCTCAGGAAAATGTATCAGCTGTGCAGGGTATTCTATGGTTGGGATCCTGGAGTTGATCATGATAGTCAATCAGCCTCAGCAGGGAGAGGACAGAGAGAGAACTGTGAGTAGCCAGGAGGGAGAGGACTGACTGACCAGCAAGATTCCAGCAGGGATAGTTAAGTCCCCACATAAGGGGCAGTTTGGACCGTACAATGATACTAGCCTAACCTAAACCAGGTCCTGTCCCTACCTCTCCCATCCCTCCCCTTGGTCACTGAGTAAGAAATTTACTCTTGATAAGTTCCTCATGCACAGAGAGCTGGTTGCTGGCATACTCAAAGAAATCAAGATTTCTGCACCTTGGAGAACATTGCATTTTAGGGATGAGATTTTTCAGGGGATATGTCAGGTCCAAAAAAGAAACTTCACCATGAATTGTGGCGAACCCTAGATCAGCCAAATTGTTCCCCTTGTTTTCTTGCTAAGGAAAAGAAACAGAGAAGACTTGTATCAGTCTTGGCAGAGAATCAGCACCCTGCTTTAATGGAATCTATTGTTTGTGTAGACTAGGCTGAGATCATCGCCTTTACTGTAATTATGTGGTATAAATGAGGGCTGCCATCTTCTTAGAAAGATCCTCATCTCCCTGCCACTTGATCCAGGCTTGACTTGTTGAAATCCTTCCTCTGAATTTTTAAACTTGGGAACAGAGCATGGTAGTGGTGGTGCCACAGTTCTGAGGTTGTCAGTGGCCATGTCCTGCTCCACGTGGAAAAAGCTGGTTTGCAGCAAGAGACAGCTATGAACCCAGTGTGCACAGAAAAGCAAACAAAAGCCAAGAAAAAGACTGGAGGCATTCTCATCCCCGGTGCACGCTGCCTAAAGGCAGAGATATATTCCAGCCCTTCCTGTTGGTTCCCTCTTGGCCTAGTTCAAACTGAGTTTCTGTTATTTGCAACCAAAAGTTCTGGTTAATACATTTGTCTCAAAAGGTGATCAACTGACTAAAATTTACTCCTTTGGAAACAGACTTGTAGGAAAGAATTCCTGCTATTTGGATATAGTTCTGAATTGCAAAGGAATTCTGCCACTATTGCTTGATTTGCTTAAAGTGGCAATTTTTAAGACAGGGCTGTCAGTCCTAAGCCAACTATAGTTCAAACCAGGATTATCATCAGGGGCTAATTGAGATCTACTTTGTGGCACAGGGAGTGTCTGTGTGGGATGTACTAGGATAAAAAGGGCACTCAGTGTCCTTTGTGTGTGGAATAGATGGCTTTCTATCCACCACCTGTTTGCTTCCATTCTTATTTCCCATGTAGAGCAAAAAGGTTAAGACAGGGAATGAATACAAGATGCAACAGGCCCATGGGCATCAACCGGGGTTGGTGGAGGTGGGGAGCAGGATGTGTGATATGAAAAAGTAAGTTCAAACAAAACAAGAAATAAACAGGAGCTAAAGTCTAAAAGATATTATCAGAAAATGAATCAGAAAATGAATAAATGAAGGGTAAATAACAGAAATAGATCTAACAACTGTTTAAGAAGTTATGTCGAAAGAATTACATGTCAGACACAGCTGTACAAATGCCAGGTCTGGGCGCTGGGAGGCTGAGAGCTCTGGGTTCCCTGTTCCCCTCATTTGGCCCAGCTGAACTTCAAGTCAGGGGATCCCTGGGGACTTTCTTGTGGTGCTTCCATATTCATTTACAGAATTCCTATTGCATCCTCCTCCCCAAGGGACCACCTTCTCTGCAGAAAGAGGACAAACCAAGAATAATTAGGAGGCTGGGGCTGCACCTAACCATGTGTAATCTCAAGTAGGTTACCTCATCTCAGGCTTTCCATCCTTTCAATAGAAAAAATCATGCTTCACGGAGCAACAGAAAGGGTCAAGTTAGGTCAGCATACCTGAAAACGTGTGGCACTAAAACTACAGAGTGCTCTTTATAGTAGGGTGCTCTAAAAATTCCTGTGTGATATAAACAGTTTTTGAATAATCATAGGAATATGGAAATGATTTTTAAATTATAATTTAACAAATGAATTTAGCTAACTTATAAATGATTTAGCTTTGTTTAATCTAAAAGACCAACATTCAGTTAGAAGCATGAGTTAGAAGGCATCATTTAATGCCTTCTACAAAAAGTTTTAATTAATTCACTCTTTTTGTGTAAGAGAACAACAGGGGCAATATTTCTGATCAGGATGCCTAAGAAATATCTATGAAGATCTGTACAAACAACCCAAGGGAACAATAACCAAAATACTTTCAGGCTTGAAATGAAAAAACAAAACAAAAAGAAAGCCTCTGTGACAGTGACAACGCAGAACCCACCATTAGCTAATAGCCCTGGGATCATGTCTTTGGGCCACATTGCCAAAGATGAGTTCACTTCTCCACTATCCCTGAACAAGTGCTCACATTTTTGAGTCATACATTCATGGCCACATATTTTTCTTTCGTACAAGTGTTTTATTGTGTACTCTAAGTATTATGTGCTACATACATGTTTATAATGAGTACACTGGGAATTTTTATAGCTAGTAATAACCAATCATAAACACTTGGGTTTTTATTTCTGTTCCAATCTAGAGGTTAGTTCAAATTTGGGTTAAACATGAACTTTTCAGCCAAGTTAACCCCCAGCGGCCTCCTCAAAGACATCACCCTCTGACTGCAGTGGCTGTTCAGATCTATGACAATGCTCTCTCCTGGCCTAGCCCTTCCACTGTAGCTTGGCCAAGGGATAGCCATGTTAGTCTCTCCTTGGAGCTCTAGACAGGGTGAGTGCTTGATGCCATGGCTGGGGTCCTGCAGATTTGTGGTGGGCAGCATGACTGCTTTATGGCCTGGCTGGCCATTTGCAAGGAGAACACACTCTTCACATGTGCTCTGGTACACCTCAGGGATGCTGGATGAGGGCAGTTCTGTAGCACTCCCCAACTGGCATGACCCAGGAGACTTCCTGCTGGCACTGTACTTCATTGAACTAGGGGAAGGAGTTGGTTCCAGAGTAGTCAAATGGGGCAAGGGCTAGATCACAACAGGGGTGTCATTGGTATACAAGTAAGGAGTGTGGGAAAACCTAAAACAGTCGGCTCCCCAGTGTGACAGCTCTAGCATCATGTTGGTTTTTGAAGCCAACAGTTGCTTCTCAGAGCTCTTGCCTTGGGATCCTCAAAATGCATCTGCCTTCCTTTTTTTGATATCAATAGTTGTCATCTTGGCCAGGTAAAGAGTTACATTTCCTTCAGTGCTTCTAATAAGCTATAAATTCCAGTGCCTTCAGGATCTTGGCCACAGTACATACACTGTCCCAACTGGTCAGAGCATGTTAAATTATATGATGGCTCTTTGCCTGTAAATACGCTGAGATTTTGAACACAGCACGTTGGGTAAGCCTTGTCCTGGATAAGCCTTAAAATGGTTCTTCCTTATTTAGCCATTTAGATGACATGTATTTTTAGCTGAATAAGAAAACAAAAGAAAATGTGTAGTGTTTCCAGGCTGCCTAGTCAAGAGGATCTTATCAAAATCCAGAAAACTAGTTACAAGTGAACCATAGCTGCCAGGCACAGGGCATCAGGGGAGATATCAAAGTTACTAAGGCTATATCTTAAGCTCAGAAGCACCACTCACATGCAACCCCTTTTAGAAACTTAGAAGACATAAACCTTAAAAGTAAGGGGACCAAAATAAATAAATAAACAAAAATGATTGGATCACAAAAGCTACAGTCAATTCCTGTTACAGGACTCTGGTTACCCAACACCAAGGGAACCCAGTAGTATGAGTGTAGGCAGGTTCTTATAAAAAAGAAAACTTCCCCTAGATTTTTTTATTAAGGAGTTTTAGGGCTTTCTGGCATTTATTATAAACCTGAGTATTCCCAGGACCAGTTCTGCTTTTTCTAGGTGAAGAACGGTCAAGCCAATCTACCATCTTTGTCACAGTGTTAAAGAAATTTCTTCCAAATGCAATGTGAATAGAGTGCAGTCAGATCCTCGGCTACCAGGAGTCCAACAAGAGAAAGCCTATCCTGACCTTGACCCTTATTCCCTCCTCCCCTCAATTATATATAAGGGGAGGTTAAGTATTGCTGATGAGGCTATCATCCAATGATCTAAATGTCCTCTTTTAAGGAAGAACAAAGCAGAGTTCATAAACAGCAAATAAATAGCTTCTTGGTTGACCAATGTTCACATCATCACACGTCATGAATGTATTTATGAAATGACTTGAATAATCCTGAGCACCCACTAGGTGCCACTTTCTGTGCTAAACAATGATTTAGTCCCTGCCCTTAAAAAGCTCTGTAGTATTACAGGGAATAAGGACAGAAGGAAAAAAGAAATCAACCTTTGCAGCAGGATGTAATAAGTACTATCATAAAGAGTTGTATGCACATGAATGGCAGGGGCATAGAGGAGAGACAAAAACATTTCACCTTCAAAAGAGAGAAGAGGCTTTACAGTGGAGGCACCATTTGAATGATTGAGTCTGAAGGCTTTAAAGGAATACCCCTAGGAGAATGTGAGAACAGCAGCTTTGGAAATAGCCTTCCCAATACAGACATGCTACCCATGAAGCTATGACAATCACTACCCTTCAGATATTCTGGTCTTCCAGAACTAACATAGCAAACACAGGACACCCTGAAGATAAACTGGCCATCAGCTCTCCAACCAAGGGGCTGGGATGAAGCTCCTAACTGATCTTCCTGGGGAGCTAGATTTGTAGAGAAACACATTTACCAAGATTTTTTTTTTCCCCAAAATTATAACCTTGGCTGAGCTTGGTCACTGCTAAATTCTCTTTATCTGGTAGCTGGACACATAAAAAGCTTACAGCACTGGGCTGCAGAAATAGCATTTGTATGTGTGCTGGTATCCTGTAATGAGAGGATGTGAAAGCCAGGAGGAGAGTAAAAAGAGAAGACTCTTTGAAGACTGTCCTCACCTTGCCAACTCCAATAGATGCACTGAGTCATTATTACTGAAAACACCTTCAGAGACAGTGCAGCAGGACTGGGTGCTACAGTTAGGGTGGAGTGGGCGCTGTGACTGTCTTAGCTCCCCTGGAGGCTTTAGAGCCTGGTGTCTCTTCGGCATGAAAGATCCAAAGTTTGAGAACACAGAATTAGGCAAGAGCCAAAGTAAGGAGCTGCTCCTCGGGTCACAAGAATGCCATTAATCCTACAAGATTTCCAAATGGAAATGAATACAAAGGAAAATGTATGGGGAAGATTGCCTGGGAACTAGAGGCAGCAAAAATAACATTACAGAAGGAATTTAAAAGATGACTATAGGAACAAAGTTAGTGCTCACTGGCTTCAGGAGTGACCAGGAGGGAGTAGAGATGAACGAGCAGGCTAACAACTCACCAAGAATCTTAACAGTGAAAGGAAGGTAAGTTATAAGGCAGCATGAAGAGACAAGCACAGGGTCAAAGATAGTTTTGATTTGTTTTTTCCCTGAGAATTGAGGAGAAGCATTTTCCACCAAGGGCAAGGGACAGATAGGCAGGGAGGAGCTGAGAGAAGAAACAATCAGAGCAACAAGAGGAGCTGGAACAGGATTGGGTCAAGGACAGGATACTGGGATAGCCTTGGCTGAGAGAAGGGACTCCTGGCCCATGAAACAGGATGCTGAAATACAGTTACATTTTGCGGTGAAAGGGAGGGAGGGTGAAGAGACTCATCTCAGTTTGGCTGGTTTTTTTTTTTTTTTCCTATGA
Source organism: Homo sapiens (assembly GCF_000001405.40). NCBI lineage: Eukaryota > Metazoa > Chordata > Mammalia > Primates > Hominidae > Homo > Homo sapiens. Next base: position 7,582,709 of record NC_000011.10, on the reverse strand, counting down.
CATTGGTAGTGACATCAGTTGAAAGGGGAGTATAAGGTTGAAGACTAATGGAAAAGTGTGAAAGAGCTGCTATGGAGGAAGGGACAGAGAAAAGCAGGGATGAGTCAAAGGATCCCTAAGTGCTGCTGCCAGTCCACAAAACCAACAATGGCTGTGCTGCTCTGTAGTGCCCACAAGTTGTTCAGCAAATGACCCTGGTGTGATGCCAGTTTGTTAAATCCCACTGGGTAAAAGAGGCCTCTCTTCAAGGAGCTGGCAGGAGTTACAGGTGCTGGATGTCAGAGATGGCAGAATTCTAGCTTCTAAATTATACCAGGAAACATAATGTACAGGCATCTCGGGTGTGTTGGCCAGAAATAGGAGGTATCATAGGAAATTGAGGAAGCTAGTGCCCTTGGGTGACCATATCCACTGTTGCCTTTCCCATAGGATTGAAAAACCTCTCTTTTCAGAATCAAGGTTGGGTACCTGGCTCCCGAGTAACCAGAGGTTGTCAGTTCTGATCGATGTCATCCTCCCCATAACTCTAACACTTATAAAGTGCTTCCTAAGCACTTAACATACATTGAATTGGCTGGGCACGGTGGCTCACGCCTGTAATCCCAGCACTTTGGGAGGCTGAGGCGGGCGCATCATCTGAGATCAGGAGTTCGAGACCAGACTGGCTAACATGGCAAAACCCCATCTCTACTAAAAATACAAAAAATTAGCTGGGCATGGCGGTGTATGCCTGTAATCCCAGCTACTCGGGAGGCTGAGGCAGGAGAATCGCTTGAAGCTAGGAGAAGGAGGTTGAAGTGAGCCAAGATTGTGCCACTGCACTCCAGCCTGGGTGACAGACCTAGACTCTGTCTCAAAAAAAAAAAAATCTATCTATCTATCTATCTATAGAATTGTTTATCCATATATATAATCAAGGAAATTGAATTCTAGGAAGGTTAAATAAATTGCCCAAGTCTACACAGAGGTGAGATATGAGCCCAAGGAATCTAGATCCAGGATCCATGCTCTTAACTAGTAGGAACAGCCTTCACAGAAGCTGCTGCCTATTTCTGTAACTTTCACTGCAGTCCAACATGAATGCAAGGCAAGTCAGTGTCTGGAGTGAGGAGACCTCCGTGTCTGCCTTTGCAGCTCTTCTGGCCCAAGTGGCCAGGCTACTAGATCAACCATTTGAGCACCAGATGACACAGAATAAAGTCTCACATTAGCAGCTTGAGTTAATTCCACTTTTTACTGCAGAACCTGAGCCAACTGCATGGGGGACCTGTAGTGATTCCATTTTCTTTGTGACCTACAGTTGGAATTTGCTTAAGCACTGAGAGTGCTGGAAGCCAGGAAGCAGTGTGAAGATGCTGACAGTCTGGGATTTCTGTTCCTGGGAAAATGAACTCTTGCCGAAAGAGCAGTGGGTGGGTCCCACAGACCCTGCTCGGAGCTATTTTTAGAGGTGTGTTCATGGTTGTGTGGGTTGGATCCACTGGACTCAATGTAGAACAGGTGTGAGCTGTTTGTGACTGAGTCCCTCTGGATACTTGTGGCAAGAGACTACCTTATCCCTAGGCTTTGTCTGTTAGGAGAATGAACTAGAGCATCAGCCCTGATCAGCCTTCACTCAGCAACCACAGCCAAGCTGGCCAGATCCAGCAGCCAATGAGGCCTCTGGTCACCTATGGTGGCCCAGGTTGCAGCTGCCTTTTCTAGGTCTTCAATATGCTTGGTTTGAGACCTTGATCTGGAGTATGGGAAGGGTCATAAAGCTGAAGCACTGAATGGCCTGAGAGGCAATTCTAGGAGAGAACCTGGTTCCATCTGTTCCTCTTTCAACTTCTCCCTTCCTGATAATCACCAATAGCAGTTAATAGCAAGCATGTTATTGAGTATTTCCTACATGCATGATACTGCACTAATCGTACTATCTTACTGAGTCCTCATAAAGCCTGTATGTGGTAGGTACTATTATCTCCCTTATTTTATAGTTAAAGAAATCCAGACTTTTGAGATAATTTACCTTGGATCACACAGCTGGTAAACGTGGCAATGCCAGGATTCTAATTCAGGCCTCACTCCAGACTCCATGTTCTTAACTGTAATATTAATAGTATATACTATCCCATCCCACACAGGCCCTGGAGCAAGATTTCTTTTCTGAGCAAATATTTCCCCTCCAGCTCCATGCCTCTCTGAACATAAGTATCTCCCCTTTGCCCTGAGACACCACCACCTTGGACTGCTCAAAGGGCAAGGGCTCCTGCTCTGGCACCAGGAACCTCTTCTTCCAGAATCTATGCCCTCTGTAAAGGAGAATGAAGACGATAGTGTTTCTACCTTCAAAAGCATGAGTTCAGAGAAACCAGCTCTCCACACCACCTCAGCTGAAGCACAGGAGAAAGGGTGGGTGAGCCATGCAGATGGGAAGTGCTGCAGACCTGGGCTACAGGAGGTGGGGAGGGAGGGCCAGCAGAGGTTTCCTGGGAAAAGACAGCCTGGATGGAGTCAGTTGAAGTGGATGAGAGTTAGAGAGGAGGTGGTCATCTGTGGTAAAAGCTCAGAAAAGGGAAGAAATACACTTGGGAGCTCATCAGGGTAGATATAAAAGATAAAACTAAAAAGGTAAGTTGAGGTTGGGCTGCTAATGGTCTCAAAGGCCAAGCAAGCCGAAGGGCCTGATTTTTCTTCCAGATTAAGGGTGAGTCCAGGGGGGCTCATCACTGGGGTCACAGGACGAAAGGGAATTTGTTTTTTTTGTTTTTTTTTTTAAGAAGATTTTAAAAATCTGGCAGTAGTGTTTAGGGTAGAGAATAGTGAAAATACTCTTATCACACTGCCAATGACATGTCTACACTTTGAGTTTTGCTTTTGTAAAATGCTCTTTAAAATTCTAAAAGTAGAAGAAAAATATCTGTTTTGCTATGAGTCATCCTGGGGGTTTCTAAAGTCTCCTTGCTTAAAGTTTCCCTAAGCAAACTTCCAACTGTCCACAGGAGCCAGCATACCCTGGGTCTTGGGACAAGAAGGGCCTTCTTACATTGCATCACATGCAAAATTAGTTCCTCCACACACATAACTTCTCCTGTAGCAGGCAGAGTTACAGTATCTGCCCCAGGGGCTGGGACAAGGCTCTGACAATCCCAGGCACATGTTGGCTGAAAGGATTTCTTGATTAAAAGCTTCATTTGGGATACAGGGAAAGAAGGACCAAGTGATGGTCAGTGCATTTCTTACATATTTCCTTTCAGTATCTCCCCAGTGGGGCTTAAAAAAAAAACCTAAGATGATGCAAACCTTTGCCAAAACGTCTGGTCATCTCAGCATGCTTTCTGGTGACTGTGATGCCCTAGGGGCTGGGCACAGACAGGATTTCTGCTGGGTTCTAAAGCAATAATTTTATACATATTTGGCAGAGAAAATGAATAAAGAGAACTAGACTGGGAGATAGAGAACAGGGTTCAAGACCAGGCTGCACCACTAATAGCTATGACACTAATACCATGAGGTTCTTAGCCCCTCTTGGGCTTTGTTAAATGAGGGGTTTGTACTATCCCATCCCTCCAAGCCCTCCAGCCCTATAATTGTGTTCAGTTGCCTCACTTTTCCCAACATAGCTTACCATATACCACATCACAGCTAGAGTAATTTTCTTAAAATACAAACTAGACCCCCCCCAATGTATCCCATGTCACTTCCCTGCTACAAGTCCCCCAGCACACAAACCAGGTTGCCCAAAAGCCTTACCGTGGCCTTCACTGTCCTGCGTGATCCCAGCCTCTGCCCGCCTCTGTCTGCCATCACTGTGCTCAGCCACATGGGCTCTCTCTCAATCTGGACAATCAGCAGACTCCATCTTGCTTTAGGACCTTTGTATATACATCATCCCCTATGCCCCATTTGCCTGGAATGTTCTTCACCCCATTCTTCACCTGACTCATTCTTACTGCTCTTTCAGTTTTCAGCGAAGTATAATTTCCTCAAACTCCCTGACCGCCCCAACCCCCTTCTCCATCAAAACAGCAGTCCCGTGTCTTCTGTTCTTCCTCCAGGCACACTTATTGTTTGTAATCTGAGGTTTATTTCCTGGGACTGTTTCACCTACATCTCCAGTATTAGGTAGAAGATCCACAAGAGGCTGGTTCTATTTTGCTCACTACTATACACCCAGTACCCAAACTCAGTACAGATTTGCTGAATGAGTGCTGCTGCACTCACACAAAAGCCAGCCAGCTCAGTGTCCGGGAGTCGGGGTCCGGGCATCTGCATGCCCCTTCCAAGCTGGACACTTCCTGGTTCTTCTGTCCTTCTGCAGTTACAATGTCAAATCTCTAACCTGTCAGCTGCTTTTGCCCTTCCTGCCTCTGAAAAACACTCAGCCTAAAATCCCTTCGTGTGAAAATAAATTCATACCTATCTTAGCCAATTTAAAGGCAGCCACAAAAGAGGAAACAGCCTGAATTCTAGGAGTATGATGCTACTCCAGCCCCCAACGTCCGTTCATTCCTTGCTCATACCACACACTCAGGTTTATCCTCTAAAGAAAGGGCATGAACAACTTGCAACATAAACCCTCAGCTTCAGAGCATTCAAAGAGAACTCCCTGAAAGCTTTCCTCCGGAAATGCAGAAGCTCATTCTGCTGACAGCAGATGTGTGCTCCACCGGATAACATCAGAGTGAGAACGAGTTAAACAACTTCCGAATCCAATGCATTTAAAAAGGCAGCAGCTTCCTCCCTGTGTCCTCAAACTGAAAAGCGGTGGGCACATTCTTCTGGTCACGGTGTTTGGAGCCTCTGACTGTTTAGGTGCCAAAGTTAAAATAACCAACTTTCCTCACTCCATTCTTGCCTTTCTGTACAGAGGCTCATTCACTAGAATGTCAGTGGAGAAACAAAGACAGCTGACTGTTTTCTCCCTGGTGTCTATAATTAGATTCTCATGAAGAACTTGGCCACAGCAGGGCTTTGCTGGACAATACCTCCCCCTACCACACACAGGCACACACACCCCAAAACACCCCAAAGCGTCTCCCCCTCACTTATCTCCACGGAGACCCAGACAAAGCAGCCAGTCACTTACCCTCTTCAGCCACGAGAAATGCTTGTAAACATCAATGTCCCCATCCATGCTGGGCACCCATGTCAGCAGTTAGATGCCTTGGTGGAAAAAGCCCTTTTCCTGGCTGGAGACCAGTTCTCTCCTCTTCCTTGCCTCTGCCCCCTCCCCCCTCAAGAACTCCAAGCTGTGTTCAAATTTCCCCACTTCCCTGGCCTGCGTCCTTCAGCCTCTCCCTAGACAGTTTCAGACACACAGCGACACAGAGCAGACCGTGCTGCTTCAGTGTCCTCCCCGACCACCCCAACAAACACACACACACACACACACACACACACACACGCACATACATGCACGCACACGCACCAGGACTGGGATTCAGAGCCCTGCGGAGAAATCAAATGTCACACAAAGGTAGAGAAAAAAGAAAGAAGACTTGGACAGAAGTTGTAAACATGACACACACGCACACACACACGGGACCATTCTCAGTGATAATACCGGAGCCTGCCAGAGGGAAACAGTCCTGAAGAAAATTCCTTGTCTGGCTTCCCCCTTCTGGAGTGGCTGGAACTCATTACTGAGAGCCCCGATTTCCTGTCTCTGCTTCACTCTGCATTTACCCAGGGCTCCCAGCTGCTCTCAGTTTATTTGGGACTGGGGAGAAGACTAAAAATAAGTGCTGCTCTTGGAGGAGCTCACTGGTTCCCACACACAGCCTGACCCCCGCCCTGAAGCCCACGCCCACCCATTTTCCAGGCGAGTGACGGGCTGTGCCCTGAGGAAAGCCTGTTGTTTCCAAAAAAAAGCAGCTCCAGTCTGGGTTCTTGGTCCTGCTGTGCGACGGGCCCAGCACAGAGCGTTTGCTGTCCTTGGCACTGGTGGTACCATCCATTAGAGACCAACTGCCGCAAACTCAGGGGAGTCTGGCCCTGGACTGTTGGCCACCAGCCAGGGCACCCTGGGGGCCACATTCTGAACAGGGGCCAGGGCTGGAGGGTCCTGCCTCTCTGGCTGTCCCCCACTCTGGGCTACCTGCTTTACAAACCAAGGAGGTGGAAAGGTTGAGGCTGCTTCACGTGCATTTCCATGAGACTCAGGGAGCAGTGCTGGGTAGACAGGGGCCTTGGAAAGGCTGGCGGAGACCTGGAGCTGCAGCTGTTTTCCTCCTTTCAGGGCAGGTCACATGCAGGCTCTCCAGGTGGCCCCTCCAGCACTCCCTAGATGCCACCCCCCACCTCCTCCTATTCCCATCTCCTTTGAGAGCTCCCCACTAAAAACAGCTTTTCTCCCTTCCCCAGCCCTTAATGTGTGGCCTTTGGCTATGGCTGATTATCAAAGTGACCTTTGATGTGGGTGCGGTGGGAACTGTGGTTACACGGTGGGAACTGTGGTTACACGCAAGGCCCCGAGCTCTGCTGTGGCAAAGGACTTGCAGATGCACAGCTTGTGACTGCCTGGGCCTTCCCAGTTCCCTTGGGGGTCACCTCCGGGGTTTCCTGGAACTCCCAGTCTGAAGAGCAGTCCTTCATGCCCCTCATGCCGCATGCCCCTCAGCATGGCTTCAATGTCCACCAGGGCCAGAAGCAGGGCCCAAAAGGGGAGAAACAATGCCTGGCAGCACAGTCCCCGGCAGGCTGGGCCAGCCCACAGAGATCACAGAGGCGGCAAGGAGGAGAGCTCTAGCCAGCAGCTGGCATAAGGGGAGGAGTAAATTCCTGGAGACACACCCAGACAGAGGCCAGAAAGGAAAAGCAGGCTTTGCTGCCCATGCGCTGAGCTCTAGCCCCTTGCTCCTCACCTCTGGCCCTGCTCCACAGCACAGTGTGACCCACCCAGCCCAGGTTCCCTGCCCGTGCTATGGCAGGATGTTGCCAAGGAAGAACATCTCTAAAGGTACAGGGGTCAGTAGGTTGGTTTTTCTCTGTCTAAAAGCCTGAACAAGTCAAATGAAGAAATTCATCCAGTCAATACACATTTTCCCCGCATCCAAGGCAAATGAAAAACTTCATGCCCTGGGTTAAGAATTATCATATGGTATGCAATAAAGGTATATCTGGGACTCCAAGGAAGAGGAGGTAGACAAGCTGATTTGGGAGCTGGACAGGGAGAGGTGGCGCAAGGTTCCAGCCTCTACAGGATGGTGGAAAATTCTCCCCTCTCCTGGGAGGAGTGCAGTGCTCTTCCTTAGGTTCTGGTACAAGAGAGGAGAAAAGAGAAAAGAGAAAGGTGGCCAATGTGGCTGCTCTCATCAGCCTTGCTCACTCCCAGCTTACATAGAGCTGTGGCTCAGGTGTCCCTCTTCTATCCCTTCCTGAGCACCTAAATTCCCCTCTCTACTTCATCACTGACCTTGTCACACTGGACCACTCCTATTGCACCAGACTGTCAGAAGTGTGTCTGATTTCCAACTCACTTCTCCTACTTCCATGCCTACAATTCTTAGCACACAGTACGAATTTAAACATTTTTTGGATGAAAGAATAAGGCTCAAATGATAAGACTGGTAAAGTAAGACTAAAATTCTATGTGAAGGAAAGAGACTTGAAGGTCCGTTTCTCCAGGGTAAAGATGTTCGACACAAAAAGGAAAAGACGGGGCCCATTTCCTCTGTTAGCTCAACTCAATGTGTGATGAACAAAGGTGGGGGGTGCAGGGTAGGGGAGAGAAAGGGACAGAAAAGGGAGGAAGGGAGGGAAGAATCCAGATAAACTGCAGCTAAATTCTTGACATTTTTATGGCATTCTCAAGTAGCAAGTCTTATCTCAGCCTTGTTTTTCCTTAAACACCAAGTACATTTTACTTACGTTGTAATTCAACTCAAAAATCACAAATTAACACCCCAAAAGACCTAGGAGCAGGTTGGCAGGAGGGAAAGGGGAAGGGCTGAGTGAAATGGGATGGATTCAGAAGCTAAGGCACCTCCTCGCTCACTCACCCCACCCCCAGGGGCAGCTGGGTCCCTGTCGTGGCTCCCTCATCACACTGGCCTGGCAAGGCAAACCCATGGCTGCACCACTGCCCTAGAAGTCCATCCTGTCCAGGGCACCTCACTTGATTTACAGATGGGATTCCAGGGATCAGATGAGCCCCTAAATATGTTCGTCAAATATATAGAAAGTACTACTATTTGTATTCATAAATCTTTATCTGAAAAAGAGTTGTCAGATTATCAGAACAGTCCATGACTCCCAAAAGGCTAGAAGCCCAGCTTTTAATTGGCCGAGGTAGTTACTCCCAAAGGTCTAGGCTCCCCTTGTTATTGGGAGCTCGGGGGCCTGGGCTTGCTGCTCCCATTATACTGCTCCTGTGAGGTGGTGTCTCAGACTCACTGGACCCCTCTCTGAAGACAGAAGTCCTCAGGAAGCACAAAGGGTACACAAATACGGGTCACTACAGTGACCTAACAGTCCCGAAGGCCTTCCTGGAAGTACTTTGCTCATCTACAAACAGATTCATTACTGCCTGCAACATGCAGCAGCCAGCTGTGGGAAAAGGGCAGGAGACTGTGAGGCTGAGCATTCTGGGAGTAAAAACACAGCTAAGAGGCCAGGGTGGTCAGGTTTGCCGGGGAAAGTCACTGTAGCTTGCTCCACCCCTGTCCTAGGGTCTAGAAGAGAACCCCAGGATTGCCACCTACCTGGCTGGAATTCCAAGTACTTGAGGGAATGGCTGAAAAAGGAGCTGAGGCCCCCTGAGGTGTTACTCCTGCTGCCTACCAGAAATCAGCAGCATCTTATCAGGCAGAACTGTAAACTGAGAGGAATCTCATGGTCACGTGCTGTTCCACTGACCTATCACCTACAGGCATCCTGGGCTCCGCTCAGCCCTGAGCCTTCACCTCTGGGCCATAGGTGGCAGCTGCCAGGACACTCCCTCATAAATCCTCATAAGTCAGATGTAAACTTGTGTCCTTCAACAGACATGGTGCACAGTGGGCCCGCTGAGAAGGGGAGGCGGGGGAAGGGAGTGAAGAGTGCTGTGGAGGAAGTCCTGGCCACTGCAGCTCAAGCCTCCACAGAACACATGCATGGAGAATGCACCTCCAAAATAGATCAGTACAAAGGTCGGCAGACTTTTCCTGTAAAGCGCCAGATGGCAAATATTTGGGTTTGGTGGGCCATGTAGTCTATCTCATACTCAACTCTCCTATTTGCAGTGCAAAAGCAGCCACAGCCAATACCTAAACCAGTGTGTGGCTGTGTACTAGTAAAACTTTATTTATGGACACCAAAATGTGAATTTTATATTATTTTCCCATCTCAAAACATTCTTGTGATTTTTCTTCAGTCTTGAAAAATGTAAAAATCATTCTTAGCTGATGAGTGTAAGAAATATGCAGTGGGCTAACTGTGGGCCATGGTTTGCTAATCCCTGGGTTAGGACAGTGCTTCCCCATCCAGAATGAACTGCCTGGACCTGAGGGGGTTCTAGTAAAAATGCAGATTCTGGTTCAGTAGATTGGGTATGGGGCCTGCTGTTGTGCACTGCTGACAAGCTCCCAGGTGATGCTCGTACTACTGGTCCCAGGACAACACTTGGAGGAGTAAGAAGTTAGGAAACCGCTTTCAAAAGTTCCTCAAGGCCAGGTATGGTGGCTCATGCCTGTATTCCCAGCACTTTCGGAGGCTGAGGTGGGCAGATCACCTGAGGTCAGGAGTTCAAGATCAGCCTCGTCAACCTGGTGAAACACCGTCTCTACGAAAAATACAAAAATTAGCCGGGTGTGGTGGTGCACAACTGCAATCCCAGCTAATCGGGAGGCTGGGGCAGGAGAATTGCTTGAACCTGGGAGGTGGAGATTGCAGTGAGCCAATATCACACTATTGCACTCCAGCCTGGGCAATAAGAGTAAAACTCCGTCTCAAAAAACAAAACAAAACAAAACAAACAAAACATTCTTCGAAACATAGATTACTAAACAAACTTGCCTAGAAGCATAAATTCCCTGGAGCCTGCCTGCCCACTAGCAGGTATCTGAAAGGGCAGAAGGCTCTTGGTAGTGTATCTCTGGCAGGATTTTCTTTTGTAGGTGGAGGGTAAGTGGGTGTCTACGTGCTCAGACCTCAAGTTATGCTAACCTGGCAACACTGTCCACCACGGCCCCTGGGCCTGAAGCAGGAAATATAGTGGGGAAGGATTTATTTGCTCTTTCACCAGTGTTTGCACATTCTTGGTCATTTATAAACATTGGTTCTTAGAGGCTGAAATAGTCTCTTTAGGTCAGGTCTGAAAGGAGCCGGATTGCTAGAATTTAGTAGGGTAAATTTACTTTGGGGGGCAGGGATCAAGATCCAGGAAAATTGAAACTGCTAAATTTGCAGTGGCTGAAGGCCCCCAGTCTTGGCTGCTGTGTCAGGAAAAGGGCATTCAAAATCCCCCAGGGGACAGGAAGCTTCTCTAGGGCAGGGCGTGACATAAACTGTGGGCTAGGAAATGCCTGCAGGAATGGAAGGGGCCAACCTACTAGCACCCCAGCAGAAGGCACTGCAGTCAAGAAGTCTGGAGAGGTCTCCCCACATCCACAGGGGAAGGTCAGGTCTATGATCCCAGGACCAGCCCTGTCTCTTCTCCCCCACCCTAAACAGTGGAGCCCTCTCTTGACTGCCCTTTGTCCACTGTTTCTAAGGAAAATGGCAAAGAATTATCTTTGCCAGCTGACCCAGGTGCAGTTAAGCAGTTTCAATAATGAGAGGTGCTTATGTTATCTTTGTCTGAAAAAGAAAAATTAAAAGCTGTTTTCTCATATGAAGCCCATGCTGACCTCATTCTTTGGGATTTCACTTCCCAGCATTTGTCCCTGACTCCCACCTAGTGGCTTCTTCCAGCACTGCACAGGGACAAAGAACCACCACTGATGCCACCTGAGCCCGGCCCAGGAGCCCCTTGGGAGCTGAGCGCAGAAAGAAAGCACGGACACACCTACTCCTTTCTCATCTCTCACTCAAGTTCACACCTGTCACAGGGGAGGTAAGAAAACATGCTGGAAATCGGCTCACACAGGCTCTACTTTTTTTCTTGAAAAATAAGCACCAAATTTTCCCTCCTCTAAGATCCAGAGGAAAAGGTTTACCTACAAAACTCCTTCTGTAACTTTTCAAAATTGAAATGTTCAACACACACGTATCCTGACTATCTTTTGTTTTCCATTCTGGAGATACAGAAATGAATCCCATGGTAAAAAAATTCAAGCTCACATTTTATAATTCATAAAACAGCTTTTTCTCTCCACTTTTTTTTTTGCAACTCCTCTAGCTTTTCAATATGGTAAACAGATTTGCTTCTTGGACAGAATGAAAGATTGCAAGCTGAATCTGGCAGGAATGTATGGGCTTTGTTTGAGGAGCTGGGAGCTGAAGAAACCGCCATCTGTGACAAGGTGGTTTGGAGCTGAGAAGGGGGGGTGGCTGTGCTCCCCAGCCTGGGTCTGGGTTTCTTTGTTTCTTGGGAAACTAGTTAAAAAGGTAACTGAGGGCACCTGAACTGACTGCTGGGCTATCAGAGGTGAGCACTTATCCCAGCTGGGGCCAGCAGAGGCTGCTCATTCAGGAGAGCAACTCTTCAGGTTTTTCAATATGGTAAACAGATTTGCCTCTCCACTGTTGAGATGTGGGCCTCCATCAAGCTCTAACATAAGGGCAGCAGTAAACTGAGAGGTTCCTAACCTGTCTCCACACTTTGGAACCCAAGAGGTCAAGACTGAGGGAGGCAAAGGCTGGTGCTTACAAAGAGACCACTCCATATAGCCCCCAGAACAAACTGCAGAATTGGAATGCTTGGCCAGATCTTGCAGACACTTTCAAACTCAGCTGTCATTTCCAGTAGGGAAACTGAGTCCCACAGAAGTGAAGAAGAGGCTCATGAGTGGTAGAGCCAGGGTAGAACCCTGGCCTTTTAACTCCTTCCTACCTTCCATACTCCCTCACCCTGGTTCAATCTGCTTTCACCTGCTCAAGCACACTGACCAGGACTCTTGAGACCTTGCAAAGAAAAGCCTGGGTTCCTATTGGATGGCCAAGCCTACTCCATGTACCCCAGTTCCAAACAGGGCCTAGAGTACATACAGCCCTTCTGTGGGTTCTCTGCCAAGCACCACCCCTCACCCTGGAGCCTGAGCTCTTCCTTGACTTGCCTTCACTTTGCTGCTGGGTTTGCCTGCCCTTTCTCTGGCTTCATCTTGAAACTTCACCAAGAATCTCCTTGGCCCATACCCAATGTATTAAACAGCAGAACAGACTGGCTGGCTGGTAGGAGATGAAGGGTGTACATAACATACTGTTAGAGAAGCACCCATGGCTACTTCATATGGAGACTCTGCTGGCTCTGGTATCTTCTGGGCGTCACCCAAAGACCTGGGACACGAATCAACACTGTGTATCAGCCTAGGTCTACTCCTCCCAGCTAACTGGCTATCCCCAGCCCTGTAGAGCCCATCTGAATCTGACTGGCTATCCTGTCTAAGGTTTCCACCACCCAACCTAGCCAAAGATCTATGCCACTAACCACCAGCCAAGCCAAGCAGGTGTGGAGGGGTAGAGACACCCCTTTCAGACCATGGGAAAGCCCCACTCAAGGCACAGCCAAAATCCTGGAAGTGGTCACAGTTGTACCGGGTCCTTCTTGCCTGGGCCAGGTACCACATGCCAGGGCCACTGATGATTACATGCCAGCATATGCCAGGGCCACTGATGAGCACTGCTTCCCTTTCTGGGCTTCAGGACCACCTGTGGGGTTCTGGGGCTCCTGAACTGAAATAACCACACCCTCCCGAGGGCATCATCCTACATTTCACCATAGTAAACAGAGAAGGAGGAGGCTGCCCCTTTTCTAGAACTCAGCTCTGTTCCCATCACAAAAGAGCTGCCTCAGCCTTCCAGCCAGGGCCTCAGCTTCATCCTCCATGAGCACTGACCCTGAGCTTGGCTGTGTCTTCCAGTTGTAAAGGACTACCTTCCCATCTCCTGAGGGTAACACTGCTCTGCTGCACCACAGGCAGGACAGCCTCCCTGATGCTTCCTCTGCAGGCCAGGTCCCAGCCCATCTTAGACCCCAAGACACCCTCTATACAAGGTCCTCATTCACCAACTTTCCAGAGGAAATACTGCTCCTAGACCAAGGGAATCCAAGCCCTTTGTTCCTTGCCCCACTGAGGCCCCAGAGGGTATCCCCATTAAGAAAGCCTTGCACATGCCCTTCTAGGCCCAGAGCCCACTTCTCCTCATTATACTTACCAAGGAGCAGGATGCTAGTTTAGACTCCAGAGCATGGGAAACTCACTTAACCCAGTGCCACTGACTCCTGGGCAGGTCTGCTCCACTTGGGCTTTAGAACTAGTCGCCTCTGTTTTATACCCATCTCCAGGCAAAGTCCTGGCCAACAGCACTCCTACTTCTGCCAACTGTGCTGGCCCAGCTGTGCTTTAGCTCTGCCAGGACCCAGAAGAAGAGGAACCAGCCCTACCACAAAGAAACAGCTACCCAATAGGAGGCACTAGGACTAGGAGTGCCCTTTTCATGTAAGACATAGAGAGCCCAGGACTAGTCTGCTATTTGTCCTATTCTAACTATGGACCACTCCTCCACATCTACCCCTGCTTCTCAGCAGCCCATTCTTCTGATGGACCACAGATGCTCCAGTGCCAGAAGATCTGCAGTCCCAGATGAGCAGCAGCAGTACAAGATACATTTCCCACTATGTAATCCCTCCCCTCTGCTAACAGTTGATTCACTCTGGGGTAGACACTGGACCTAAGGTGTGCATCCATAGCTTGTGAATAAATTAAAAGTCTTTAATGTCTATTTCTTTTACACTTAACGCTTCTTCATTGATCTGGAGGACTTCGCTCAAAAATAATTAACTGGGTCAATCAGATCCTTTTCCTTAGAAACTTGAGTTTAAAAAGAAAACATATTGAGAAAACATGGAAAGAATTTGTCAGCCAACAAGAGTAAACTCAAACCTAACAGAAGTCTGTGGCAGTCACTCTGAGCTGTCTTCCTGAGGGCCACTTTCCCCCACTCTATCATCATTCTTTTCTGACAGAGGCCACCTCCCTCTATGGCAGGTGGAAGTGCCAATACTTGCTTTCCCAGCCTCCCTTGCAGCTAGGGTATGCACAGGTGAACAAATTCTGGCCACTGCAGCTAAATGGGAAGTCTGCTAGGGGGTTGCAGAGAGTTTCCCTCCTGATTAAAAACAACAAAAACATACTAAAGAAATGATTCTCTACCTCTGCACACAGTTGTATAGTTGTGTCTTGTAAGGACATGTTGCCTGCAGTTCTAGTGGCCATCTTGCAACTGTTATGGGATGTGCCTGAGCAAAAACCACCCCTTGAGGATGGCAAAGAAAAAAGATGGGAAGAACCAGTACCCATGAGGTCACTCAGAGCCACTTATTTAACCCTGGGACTGTCTGTCTTCTGGACATCTTGTTAGTGGTCTATCTTGTTATTGTTTACATCATTTTACTGGAAAAAGTATCCCAACTGATATAGGTGTCACGAGGCAGAGTTGGACCATGTCAGGCCAGTGTCATGGCCAAGCAGGAATTCTAGGTGTGAACAATGCCAATGTGTCTACAGAGGAGAAGGGAGCAAATATGCAAGGGATGCACAGACATCATGCATGAGAAGGCGCTGGGCAGTGCTGCCTAATCCTTCAAACCATCTTACTAGTTCCAACTCCAATCCTAACCCACATGGGACTTTAAAAAAATAATTCAACTGAGTCTCCAGGGTTGAACGCAGCGCTTCTTAAACTTTAATGTGCTTACGAGTCACCTGGAGATGGTTCAGCAAGTGTGAGATGGGAGCCCATAGTCTGCATTTTTCACAAGCTACGAGGGGATAAGAAAGCTGCTGAGCCACAGACCAAAATTTGAGCAGCAACAACTTCTAACTAAAAGTGTCAATCTAAAGCACTTGATGAGTTTGCTCACCAGTCTGAATTCTATTCCCATACAGATTAAGACCTTGTGTGGAATGTGGATGTGCTGATCATAAAATGACTTTAGGTCTGCAAGATCTAAAACACAGACAGGCTATCTCTGTCCAGAATAAAAACCTTAACATGCAGCCCTTACAACTTGGAATGTTTATATGAACTTCTGACCCCCTAAAAGTACTTGCTTCGCCATGCATAGGTTAGTGATGGCCATAATTACTCTAGAAGATTTATGAATGCAATCACTTTTAGGGAAATCTCTTCAAAGGAAGGCATTCCCTAAACCATTGTAAATAACCCCAAGACAAAACTGCAAATCTGAATGCAAGCTGTTTTCTACCAATGCATCTTGAAAAAACCAACAACAATGTCAACTGCCTTTGGATCAAAAATATTTTTAATAAATTTCCAAAAACTGTTTTAAAA
The DNA here is from genome assembly GCF_000001405.40 of Homo sapiens. Classification (NCBI taxonomy): domain Eukaryota; kingdom Metazoa; phylum Chordata; class Mammalia; order Primates; family Hominidae; genus Homo; species Homo sapiens. The sequence goes on along the minus strand of NC_000011.10, from coordinate 7,567,292 downwards.
GTTAGATTCATTGTTTATACCAAATGCTAAAAAATATTGTTGATGGATTGGAGTTAACCATAAAATAAAAATCAAACCATAAACTTACTAGAGGAAGATACAGGTGAACAGTTATCTGTTCTGAGGTTGGGAAAGGCGTTGCTAGGGCCAAAAGGAAAACAAGAAACCAAAATAGGAAAGACTGATAGAGTCAAGTACAGTTGTTTAAAATTCTGTGTCTCAGAAAGCACCTAAACGTTATTTAAAAACAGAGTGAGGAAAATATATGCTACAAATAAAGCAAACGGCTAATAAAAGGTCATTCAAATAGATAAGAAAAACACTAAAATCCTAATAGAAAACAACAGCATAGACTACGAATAGACTAGAGTGGGAGAGGTGCATCCAAGAGGCTCAAGGTGATTTCTGGGTGTACAGGGAAAAATATGGGAACTATTTTTTAACCTATCCTTTAAAACTCTATTTTGGTGAACAGTGGATACCCTAAATACCCTGACTGACTTGATCACTATGTGTTATATACATGTAAGGAAATTTCACATGTACCCCACAATTTGTACAAATAAAAAACTTTAAAATTCTGTTTTGTGGTATTTTTATAATTTAGGTATATTAGTGAAATACTGGCCAGGTGCAGTGGCTCACGCTTATAATCCTAGCACTTTTGGGAGGCCGAGGTGGGTGGATTGTTTGAGCCAAGATTTCAAGACCAACCTGGACAACATAGGGAAACCCCATCTCCACACACACAAAATTTTTTTTTTAATTAGCCAGGTGTGGCTCGCACTTCTGCAGAGGTGGTACACTTCTGGGAGCAAGAGTTGGGAGAATTCCCTTGAGCCTGGGAGGTCGAGGCTGCAGTGAGCCATGATCAAGCCACACTGCACTCCAGCCTGGGTGACAGAGCAAGACCCTGTCTCAAAAATAAAATGCTGCATGTGAATATGTATATGGGAAATGCATTCTTTGTCCAGATACAGGATATAGAATCAAAAGTTTAGAGACCATACAGAGGAATACGAATAAACTAATTTTCAAAAGTTTAGCCTTTTTACCAAAGAAATGCAAAAATAAGAAAACATTGCCTCCTAAGAAATTTGTCAAGCTTTTTTTTAAATCAATGAGGTAACCAGTCTTTTGTTTGTGGTAAGAAACAAGGGGTAGTGGGATCTAGCCGAGGGTAGAGACACCAGCCAGGGATTAGAACTCAATAAGCAGTACATGTAATTCGAGGGTGTGTGTGTGTGTGTGTGAAATCTTAAATGTTTGCCCTTCTCTGGCCCTGGATTTCCTCAGGAGAGGCCAACTGTGGACCATGGAAGGGCAGAGGGCATAGCTTAAGTCGCTTGACTGGGCTCTATACTCCTTGATAAGAAGGGCCACCCTGCAGCGTTGGCCAAAGTGGGATGGAAGAAAAGGCTGGAAGGTATACAGATGACTCAACAGCCCCAGTCAGCAGTGGCACTCCATGGGCTGCACCATTACATTCCCCAGTGGTTCCCAATCAGGCCACGGGACTACTCACCAAGCTCTCTTCAAACCATTCCTTTATGTAGGCAGCTGTTGGGCCAGGGATCTGGCTCAGGAGGGCTGCTCTCTCCTGAGGAAGCTCCAGCATCTCCAAGGCCAGCCTCAAGTCCTCGATGAGATGGAGCACCGGGAAGGGGTTCATGTAGGAGGCCGGGGAAGCCAGTCCAGGCTCACAAGTACCATCACTAAGATCTGCACCTGTTTTAGTGCCTGCAATGAGAGAGAGGTGAAAACTCAGTAAGAAGGGTGGACACCCTGAGCAAGGTACTAGTAAAGAGCAAAGGTGGTGAAGAAACGGTGAAAGGGACAGATAAGAAGCTGGGGGTGAGCTGGGCATGGCGGTGCACGCCTGTAGTCTCAGCTACTTGGGAGGCTGAAGCGGGAGGATCACTTGAGTCTAGGAGTTCCAGGCTGTAGTGCACAATATCTGGCTTGCGAATAGTCACTACTCTCCAGCCTGGGCAACAGAGTGAGACCCCATCTTTAAATAAAGAAACCTGGAAGGCCACCTGGACCCCAGCTGAATCACTCACAATGTAAACTTTCCAGAAATCATCTTTATCTAATCTCGGGCTGGACAGTGTAAAAATAGGCATACAGAGGTGGATGACTGTACCCTTTGGGACTGATGTATGAAGCTCACACACTTAGACAACTGGGAAAGCACAGCCAGTCCTCACTAGGGACCATAAACTACGTTTAGACAGTAAGATCTCATTCTTCAGCTTTTAGAATTTTTTTCTTTATATTAAAGTCATAGATTACACAGTTGGCCACCAGAGATTCTTCCATTCCTGTGTGTGCATTCCACTCCTCTGATAAAGGGATGGATCTTGACTCTGGGCTGGCCTGGTGACTTTCTCTGATCAACAGAAAGCAGTGGAAGTGACTCTGTACCAGCTCTGGGCCTGGGCCTTAAGAGGTCTAACAGGTTCCACTCTTTCTCTCTTTGACCCTAAACTGCCATGTAACAAAGCCCAGTTACCTGGCTAGAAAGACAGCCCCACCTTTCTTGGCCCTCCCAGCTGTGGTGACAGACATGTGAATGAAGCCATCTGGGATCTTCCAAGCCCCCATGAGCCACCCCGACTGACACCAAGTGGAACAGGGAGGAGACACACCTGCAGAGTGCTACTCAAATCATGAAATTACAAAGAAACGATGGTAGTTTTAAGCCACTATGTTTGGGTTGGCTTATCCCACAGCACTAGATGACAATTACTGTATTCATTTTGGTGAGGGTTTAGTGAACTGGAATCTTTCTGGATCTTCCCAGTTAGAAGATCTTTATATCCCCTATATATCTCTATATGCTCTTAAATTTGCATTATTATTATGTATATCCATACCTCATCTCCTTATTGTGGGCTGTGGAGTCTGAGAGAGAGTCCATATTACATTTAACTGAGTTCCCAGCATCATGCACTCTACCCAGTAGACACTGAAAAGGAATCTGACAAAATGCCCGCACATATACCTGAATGAGTATCTAGAGAGAGAGTGCTTCAATGTCCTCAGAGATCTGGTATATTGGGTCAGCTCTTTCTAATTTGATATGCCCCAAATTCAACTGTTCCACTATTCTTTTTTTTTTTTTGAGACGGAGTCTTGCTCTGTCACCCAGGCTGGAGTGCAGTGGTGCAATCTCGGCTCACTGCAAGCTCCGCCTCCCAGGTTCATGCCATTCTCCTGCCTCAGCCTCCCGAGTAGCTGGGACTGCAGGTGCCCGCCACCACGCCTGGCTAATTTTTTGTATTTTTTAGTAGAGATGGGGTTTCACTGTGTTAGCCAGGATGGTCTCAATCTCCTGACCTCATGATCCACCCAAATTGGCCTACCAAAGTGCTGGGATTACAGGCGTGAGCCACTGCGCCTGGCCTGTTCCACCATTCTTACACCTATTTAACAACAGCAGCAGCAGCAAAAGTCTCCTTTCCGTAAGTTCAGTGATACATTTTTCAAATCAAAACTGGGGCAACAGTCTAACAAAGGAAGTCTGTGCTCCTTTCAGCAGTAAGAAACACTTTAGAAAATATGGTTTAGGTGGTGGAATTTCTAGGGCATTTGCATTATTTATAAGGCCAACCAGATGAAAGATTTGAAATTAGGACTCTACTGGAAAATGTGAGCTTGGGGCCACCGCATCCATGGTATGCTGCAGGCCTGACATCCAATTCCAGGTCCCTTTACTCTTCTCAGAGCCAACCTCCTCCTTGCCAGGCAGAAATCCACACAGATGGAAACAATTACCATTTGATTGCCAGTTTGCTTTCTGAAAATGCATGATACAGGGAATCATGGATCACCATCCACAAACAAGTCAGAGGCTCTGGGGAGCCAGGAAACTGCCCAATTACCCACCACTGTGATGTGTGCTCAGCACTTTCTGGCTCCTACAAATCCAATTAAGAGTGGACTTAGAACAGCCACAGCCAAACTTCAGGGAAGAAAACGGACAGAAGCAGAGCAAGACCTCCAATCTCCAAACCATTGCTAAGTAATCCCTCTCCATTCTGTACACATGAATTTTAAACACGTAGCCATCCAGTTTAAGTATTTCATAAATGTGGGAAGAGTGAGTCAGGCTAAAAGGTGGATGGAAGATCTGGGTTTTCATTAACTTTATATCACTGTGTGGCCTTGGAAAAGTCTCTTCCTTTCTCTGTGACCCTCTCTGCCCTAAAGCTTTGGGATTCTTTCCTACTATTCAGAGTATGCGTGTGTACATGTATGTGAGTACATGTATATCTGTGCCAAGTTTTACAGGCATATGTGTGTGTGCGTGTATATATATATATATATATATATATATATATATATATATATATATATAAAACTTTAATTTCTATTTCTTTGAAACTTATATTTCTTTTATTACTTTAACAAAACCAATAGTCAATAAATACTAGATGAGGGAAGTGAAAAGATAAATATTTTGTCCCTGAGCTAGTTGTAATGACAGTGACAGAAAAGCCTCAGATGACAAACGCCACTTGACTTTAAATTTAAGAATCAGATAAGGTTACAGGGCAGAAAACTAAGGGAAGAAGAAACTTCCAGATGCCACCATGGGGCTTTGGGATGTAAATGACAAAATGATATTGAATAAACATCTATACAAAGGGAGATACAATTCTAAATTTCCTCTCAGAGGAAGAGTTTGATAACCAGCCTCCAAGAAGCCGTCAGTGACCCATTCCTCTTAATATTCGTAATTTGTGGATATTATATCACGGTTGCTCTGTGTCACCAGTAGAATATGACAGAAATGATAGGATATGACAGGAATGTCACTTCCAAGGCTAGGTTATAAAGAGCACTGTGACTCCTTCTGCTTTATTGTATCAGGCCACTCACTCTGGGGGAAGGCTGCTGCCATGTTATAAGGACACTCAATCATCCCTATGGAAAAGTCCATATAGTGAGGAAATATGGCTACCTGTCAGCAGACATCAAGGAACTAAGCCCTTCTACCAATGGCCATATGAGTGAGCCACTGTGGAAGGGATCCTCCAGCCCAGGTGTTCCCAGCCCTAGCCACAGACTGGTACCAGTCCATGGCCTGTTAGGAACTGGGCTGCACAGCAGGAGGTGAGCAGTGGGCCAATGAGCATTACGCCTGAGCTCCGCCTCCTGTCAGATCACTGGTGGCGTTAGATTCTCATAGGTGTGTGAACCCTATTGTGAACTGTGCATGCGAGGGATCTAGGTTGCTCACTCCTTATCAGAATCTAACAAATGCCTGGTGATCTGAGGTAGAACAGTTTCATCCTGAAACTTTCCCCCGACTCCCCAGGTCCATGGAAAAACTGTCTTCGACAAAACTGTTCCCTGGTGCCAAAAAGGTTAGGGACTGCTGCTCCAGCCCCAGAAAAGCCTTCAGATGACTGTAGCCCCAGCTAATATCTTAACTATAACTCTTTAAGAGACCTAAGCCAGAACCACCCAACTAAACCGCTCCTGAATTCCTGGCAGATAGAAACAGATGATAAATGTTTATTATTGTATGATGTTATGTTTGGGGTAATTTATGTTACACAGTAAAATAACTAACCAATAAAAATAGCTGAGAATATTCTGAGAAGTACAATCAAGAGGCACTTGCCATACACTGCTAAAATATGTGGCTAGAATTACCCTCACAGAAAAAAATAAGATCTTTATTATACACCATACACAAAAATAAAATTTAGACAGACAAAGATTACACACTTAAAAAACTGAACTAGAAATACAAAGAGAAGATAGGTCAAAACTGAGTGAGAGGAAGATTTTATAGGCACAAGAGCAATTGAGCAAGACATAAAAGAACAATAAACCTGACTACATAAAATTAACTTCTGGAATATTAAAAACAAAATTAAAAGACAAATTATAGCCTGAAAAACCTACTTGTAGGCCAGGCATGGTGGCTCACGCCTGTAATCCTAGTACTTTGGGAGGCCGAGGCAGGCAGACCACCCGAGGTCAGGAGTTCGAGACCGGCCTGGCCAACATGGCAAAACCCCTTCTCTACTAAAAATACAAAAATTAGCCAAGCATGGTGGCAGGCCCCTGTAACCCCAGCTACTTAAGGCTGAGGCAGAAAAATCGCTTGAACCTGGGAGGCAGAGGTTGCAGTGAGCTGAGATTGTGCCATTGCACTCCAGCCTGGGCAACAAGAACAAAACTCTGTCTCAAAACAAACAAACAAACCTACTCGTATCAATTACAACAAAAGCTCAGTATAGCCTTCATACAAAAAGAGACCTTATCTATCAATAAGAAAAAGTCCCCAAGCCACTTCTCACACACAAAATAGGCACAAGGTTCTTATATGGGCAGTTCTGGAATTAAAAAACAGAAGTAAAATTTAAAAATATGGAAAGAAAATGTTTTTGCATTGGTAAATAGAACATTTAAAAATGATATTCAATTTTCACCTACGTAAATTGTTGAAAATGCAAATGCAATGATAATTAATGTTGGCAAGCTCATATGCTGTTCATAAGGGTACCCTCATACACTGTTAATAGACACAAAGACTGGCCTAATCTTTCTGAAAAGCAATTTGGCAAGATACAGGAAAAATATTCATGCCTTTTGACCTAGCAAGTCCAATTCTAGAAAGTTAAGCTAAGGAAATATAACCAGACACGTAGTCAAAGATTAATATATAAGAATAATCTCAGCAGCATCTTAATTTTCAAAAAGTAGGGGAAAAATCCCCCCAAATTGGTGAATGTTTAAATAACTTCTGAAAGAAAGAATATGATTCATATAGCTGTATAAAAAACAATTATCTAAAGACTCAGTAACATGGGGAAATACTTGCCTTATTCAGTAAAACAATTATATGTATATGGTATATATATATACAGAGAAATACCCAAATGTTGACAATATTAATTTTCATTACTTTTATAACAATTTGTTTTAAACTTTAAATTTGTTGACTCTAAGTGAGAGATTCAAGTTTGACATTTAGTTTGCACAGGGACTCTAGGTTCTCTTGTTCTTTCAAAGTCCCCACAGGATGCTAGACAATATGGAAGAATTCAGGCCTTTATTTGGGCAGGAAATTAAGTGAGTAAACCCAGACAGGTTTCTTCCTTGTGCTGTTGATTAGCTTTCCCTCGCTCTATAATTGCATTAGTGAAAGGGGGAAAAACCTGGTAGTATTTTCACAGAACAATCATTTCAGAAAATCTCAGAGCAGGCCTCTTGGTAAGCTAGCCATGTGCTGCTTAAGGGGGAACCTTCTGGAAACAGGACATACTCAACTGCCAGGAGTCCCCCTTACCCACAATGAACAAACAGAAAAGCTGAAAAAGATAACACTCTTATTTTATTTTATTTTTTAACATGGAGCCAAGCTTGAAAGACAGTAAAAACCTTGGGTACCAGAAACAAAGAGTGAACTCAACAGTGAAATTAATTCAAGCTGACTCTAGAGTAGCCCAGGGGCAAAATACCCAGATATAGGGAGGAACCGAGATTGGGGCTTGAGGTTTTAATGCCTCCAGTGAAAGCAGTAAGTTGAAAGTGAGACCCCTATAGAAAGAAAGTACCCCAAAGTATTGCCTATTTCATAAATGGATCTGAGAAAATTCACCCAACGGCAGGGAAGCTTGCAGTATGCTAAGTAACCCCCTAGGTGTTTATAATACCACACATATACACCCTCCCTCACCCCCCAGTGAGACATCAAGCCTACAGGCCTCTGCATACCACTGGTATAGTGCCAAATTTCTACTATGCACTGACTACCGAAATCCCAAACCAGAAATCAACACACATGCACACAAAATGGTCCAGAATAGTGCAACACCTAAAGCCCAGCATTAGCAATTGCAAAATCTCCCAGGAGGCTCATTTCCACACTCCACACACATTTCCCACAATTACCTCCTGTAAAAAAATTACAACCACAGTGGGAAACAAATCAAAATAGAAAACAAATAAAAAAAATGTGTGCCCTAAAACCTGGAATTAACAGGAAAATTTAGAAGACACCATAAACCACTAATGCTGGATATGCCTAAATATAAGGCAAGATTTGCCCCCCAGATTTCTCAGAAAAGGGTAATTCAACTTACAGTCAAGCCTAAAGTTTCTCTTTGGGGAATTCTATTTATTTCATTTTGAGCAACAAAGCAGTATTTAGAGTAGCACAAATATTTTCAACTTTCAATGCACATTGAAGTCACCTGAGCGGTTTTACAAACTCCAGATGCCTGGGCCCTCCTCCAGGGATTCTAATTTAATTGGTCTGAGGTGTGACCTGGGGTAATAAAAAGTTTCCCAGGTGATACTAAAATGATGCTTAAGCTGAAACCATGGCACTAGCAGATCACCTCAATGAAGTCTAGCTTTGATGGTTATAGAGGTCACCTGAGAATTTTTATTTTAAGGAGCAAAACCAAAATTTAATGAAGATTTAATAATTATTTTTGAGGATAAGACCACATACAATGCAAGTGTTATAGGATTTCATTGAAAGCCTTTTTTTCTTTCTTTTTTTTTTTTTGAGACAGAGTTGCTCTGTTACCCAGGCTGGAGTGCAGTGGCGTGATCTCAGCTCACTGCAACCTCCGCCTCCCAGGTTCCAGCAATTCTCCTGCCTCAGCCTCCCGAGTAGGTGGGAGTACAGGCACGCGCCACCACGCCTGGCTAATTTTTGTATTTTTTTAGTAGAGACGGGGTTTTGCCATATTGCCCAGGCTGGTCTCGAACTCCTGACCTCGTGATCTGCCTGCCTCAGCCTCCCAAAGTGCTGGGATATAGGCGTGAGCCACCGCAGCCAGCTGAAAGCCTTTTAATGATCGCTTTCGAAAGCACATAGGGATGTCTGTGGTAGTGACTGGGGTTGTTCAGATATTTTGTTCTCCTCTACTTGCATTCATAGTAGGCTCACAGTTCTGTCCCTTGAAGTCACTCATGGTCACATAACTTCCTTTGGCCAATAAACAGAAACCATGTGTATCACTGTGGGAGAAAGTCTAAGAGCCAGTACACAATTCCTCATATCTCTTCCACCTGCCCTGACTTCTGGCAATAGTGGAGACTCAATCAGTCTGTGTTCAAGTGAAGATGACAAGGACCAGAGCTCTTGGCAGATCTCAGGGAACTTGCAATGTGTACAAGAAATAAACCTTTGTGTTTCAAACTACTGACATTTGAGTAGTTTCTCACTGCAATATAACTTAGCCTATCTTCATTCATGCAAAATATATATTTTGTACAATTAAGACATATAGACAAGATAAACTTTTAAAGTCTAACCTTTTACCACGTAAATGGAGTTCTTTGGCATGAGATGAAATAGCTGATGACAGCATCATATGTGAATTTTTAAAGTGTTGTATTTAAAACAAATTCCAAGTAAGGATGGCATGTTCTAAAACCTTGCCACTTAAAAGAGGGGTCCACAGGAGTAGCAATAGCAAAACCTGAGAGTTCATTAGAAATACAGTCTCGGATCCCATCCCAGACCTACAAATATGAATCTGCATCCCCAAATGCTCTACAACTGCTCTAGAATGCTAGGATTATTCAAAAAGAGCGCTCAAAATGATAGAAACAAAGATAAATATAAAAAGCTTGAATAAAATTATTTCATCAGATGTGCCAGTGATGGGAATGGTGGTGGGCACCTGTAATCCCAATTACTCAGGAGGCTGAGAATTGCTTGAACCCAGGAGATGGAGGTTTCAGTGAGCCAAGATTATGCCACTGTACTCCAGCCTGGGCAACAGAGCAAGACTCTGTCTCAAAAAAAAAAAAAAAAAAAAGTGCCAATGAGACAAGAAGTTCATAAATTAACATATTATTTTGAATTATTGAAAGCCTTTTACTTAGTGCTTAAACACGTAACTAAATCAATACACTAATATGAGTAAATATTTTGTCTATTTGGGAATATTTGGGCATATGTCATATGTTTTACATAATTAAAGGAGAAAAGGAAGAAATAAAAACCTTAAAGAAAAGGAAAGCATGATTTTAAAAAATAGGAAAATCTGAAAAAAAAAATACAAACCAAAATAAAGAATGCAGCCAAGCAAATTAATTAAGTGAACAGGTTAAATAGCAGATGAGAGAATTATTGGAGAGGAAGATAGATTTGAAGAATGCTGCAAACAGAGACACAAGTGAAAAATATAAAAGAGGAGTTAGGAAGCATGGAATTAAAAAAGGAGGACAAGGTCCAACACAATTCTTCAGGAATTCCAGAAGAATACAGAGGATGAAGCAGAGACAACAAAGAAAATGGCTATGAATTTTTCAGAATGGAAAACTTGAGTCCTCTCAGCTTAAAGACACTCACTGAGTCCCAAGAATGATACATCAAAACAAATCCACCCAAGAAACAACACAGTGAAACTGAAGAACACCAAAGATAAATAAGAAGTTTAAAAACAACCAGAGACAGAAGACAGATACAGATTGCCAGACTTCTCATTAGCAATAAATCCCTGTGACCACAAAATAATACCTATGGATAGTGACCAACCTACAAGCCTGTACAAGATAAACTATCATTCAAGATTATGAACATTTAAGGACATTTTTCAAATGACGACTAATACAATCTATTACTGACAGACTATCAAATTTTAAGGAAGAAAACTATCATGCAAAAAAAGCAGGATGAAAGAATCAACTATGACTGGAGAGGTTGTTAAAACTGTTAAACAAAATGCTATCAACTGAAAAAACAATAATTTGGAGAATACAAAGATACTAGAATACTGAACGAAAATAATGTGGAAGATGGGGCAGTGATGAGAATTAAAGCATTCTAAGAGTCAAGTATTATTTATTTTATTTTTTGAGACAGAGTCTGGCTCTGTCACCCAGGCTGGAGTGCAGTGGCACGATCATTGCAAGCTCCACCTCCTGGGTTCATGCCATTCTCCTGCCTCAGCCTCCCGAGTAGCTGGGACTACAAGTGCCCGCCACCACACCCGGCTAATTTTTTGTACTTTTAGTAGAGACGGGGTTTCACTGTGTTAGCCAGGATGGTCTCAATCTCCTGACCTCGTGATTCGCCCGCCTCGGCCTCCCAAAGTGCTGGGATTACAAGCGTTAGCCACTGCACCTGGCCGTCTTATAAAGAAATTTAATCGTAGTTTAAATTTTTTTCCACACAGAACACACCAGGCCAAATGCTTTTATATGTTAATTCTATCAAACATTAAAGAATAATTCTAATCTAACAAAGTACTTTAGATAAAATATAATGGCCAACTTGATGATAACAAAATGGAAAGCCTCAGTAAAATGGACACATTTCTAGAAAAACTTAACTTGCCAAGACTCAATTAAAAAATTAAAACCTGTCCACACCATTAAAAGAAAAAAATCTTCAAACAAGAATACACGAGGCCCACACAGTTTTGCAGCTCAGTTCCTATACCTACAACTATAGTAAATATTTAAGGAACACATAGTTCCAGCCTTATCCAAACTCTTTCAGAGAATGGAAAACGAGGCACAGTTCCATAAAGGACTGGGAGATGGGGTCTACCAGTGAGGGAAAAATGGAATGAGGGCTGTCAAACAGCGGGTGCCCCAGTAGCTGTTTTGACCTCTTCATACAAAGGGCAGTCTTTGATAGCTCTGCCCCTTAGACACTCCTAAGACCCCCACTCCAACTCTTCTGAACAAAGTCCTAGCAGGGCTCTCACAACCTGCAATGGGAAACAGCGAGTCCGATACTGATGAATGCTATATGCTGCTGCACCTCAGAGAAGCCGGGGACAAGATCAGTCAAGGACTGTTCAGAGTATGGACTCAACAGTCCTCAGCACCACAGCTGACTTCATTCACAAGCCAACGTGAACAATCTCGGTCTTGATCAGAACTTTCTCTGCCCCTGCACAATCTTTTGTTGTTTTCTTTTTACAAACCCAGACGCTAATCAGAGTTGGCAGAAAGGCCCCAGCTGACAGGGCAACTTCTTTAACTGTCATAAAACAGACTCCTCTTAACTATTCCTCCTCAGTGAGTACTGCTTGTACATAACTGCATGAGTAACCTCATGCAGAGCCAAGAGGAGTAAGTGGCCTTCTGTGTCCTGACCACGTGGCTCTCTGGTCCCCTGCCAGAAGTGGCCTGACAAAGTAGCCACTGAACCTGTCAGTTCACAAATTAAGCTCCATGCAAAATTAGTGTCTGTGGCAGTTGCTCTAGGCCATCCAGAGGGAGGTAATTAAGCAATATAGAGTTCAATTTCAATTGTCAACAGTGTAATTCAATTACAGTGAATTTGCAAGCAGAATCACAGGGACTAATCAGGAGGAAGACTAGATCAAAGGTTAACATCCTACTGGAAACTATAATAATGGTCTTTCATATTAGAACCAAGTCATTATTGACAAAGATCCTAGAGTCTTTAACAGCCACCCTTTCCCAACTTTCTGATATAAAATACTGAGGTCCCAATCTAGTATAGACCCAATCTAGTCTAGTCTAGTCTAGTCTAGTCTAGTCACCTGGGATTCAGCCATTCAGATTTCAAGAATTCAACTTTACAAGGAGTTTCATTTAATAGTCCTGCTTACAAGGCATTTCTTTTTGCATTTACAAGAACCAATTTCTCTCTCTCACACCTCCCAACATTGACCACCTGAGACAAAGGCCATCGCACCGTGGCTCTGGAGGGGCATATTTACCACTTGCGCATTAGGATGTCCTCTCAGAGTACTCCTGGTCTGATTGTTTACAGGAGTGATAATCATCCCGCACTGTTTGCACTGTTTTAGTTGATGCAGGAGGAGACAGACTTTTTTTTGCACTAAAAGCTTAATTACATAAACATTGATATCACATGCCCAAAGTGCACTCTTTTTAGAAGGAGTTTTGGAAAGTAAACAGTAACCCAGCCTACTGTAATTAGTAAGAGGCAATTCCTTGTTACATAGTATATGATTACTAGTGATCACTGAATACAGTACATCCATTTTAGTAGGAATCTGTGTTGTTTCTGTGTAAGTGGTTACTATTTGGGAGGTCCAGGAAGCCCATAAAGGTTTTTTCCGTTGAAATACGTGGTAACTGTGAGAAAATACATTCTTTGGGTACTTGAGTACTTTGATGGAAAAGCAGTTGTGTTTTGGCAGTGGTGGTGGCACTACTTGACATCATGCAATCTAAAATTAATAAGAGAACATAAATAAAGAGAGGAAGATTTAAATGTTCACACAAAAATGTCATTTCTGCAAGATCTGTGGTGTGGTGCCAGTTTTCAAACTTCTTTAGCTGTGCCACCCTTAAGCAAAGGAACCCTTGCTTAGAAGAAATAACGTAAGAGAGACAAGAACAAAACCACTCTGGCTTAGGGATTGTGAGCAAGAGCAGAAAAGTATCCTTCCCTCAGTTAATTCTTTTCTCCTACAGACAGCCCCATGCATCAACATAAAAACCAGCCCAGGAATAAAAGGAGCCTGGAAGAGACTCAGATGGCCCTGGAATCAAATCTCAGCACTATGATCTTGGGGGGTAAAAATAATTTAATACTAATATCAATAAAACAAATAACTTACATCAATTAAGCACTTTCTAGGTGCCTTATCTGCATTAATTCAACCCTCACAATAATATGAGACAGGTACTATTATTACTGCTATTTTATCGATAAGTAAATTGAGGCTCAGAAGAATTAAGCAATTTGTCCAAAGATCCCACAGCCAGCACTAAATGGCTGAGCTGGGATTCAAACCCCTACAGTCCAACTCTGTAGTCCATGTTAATAACCACAAAAATTCTTAACCTCTTTGGCCCAATTTGGTTCAGCCATCCTAATGCCATCATAAAAATGAGGAAAAGTGTCCTCAGCAATCTTGAGAAAAAGTAACCTGAACAAGGCATTCAAAAGAATGATCATTCTTTTTATCAAGAATAGCATAGAAAACATGCCCTCCAGATACTCACTAGTAACCTCAGTGTTGAATAATCTGTCAAATAGCTCCTGTCAAATATCTGTGTGAGCCAGTTACTACTTCAGGGATGGTTCATGGGACATACAAACTACTAGTCTTCAAAAAAAATAATAATAATTTGTTATTCCAAAAGAATCAGTGAAACAAGGGTGAAAATAGAGAAAATAAATGAAGTTCAGTATGCAGCCAGATAGAAGATGTATACAGAAACCTATATGTATACCTCCTAACCAATGAAAAGGAGATCCTAGTCACAAAAGCAAATGAAAAAAAAACATCTAGCATGTATTAAATGCTTATTAACTAAAATGCCTAAAACCACCAATTATGGCACTGGAGATACAGTGGCAGAGCCTCTGTCCTTAAGAAACTTACATGCTGGTGCAGGAGGCAGACAATAAACAAAGAGGCAAATATGAATGTGATAGGTCAGGTGATAAGTGCTATAAAGAAGTATAAACAAGATACAAGAACAGAGTTATGTGGGAATGCATGATAGACACAGTCAGGGAAGGCCTTCCGGTACGGTAACATTTCAGCATAAGCCTAGATCTGGAGGAGGGCATTCCAGGAGAGGGGGGGGCAAGCTCATGGTTAAAGTGAGATACACCCTGGGAACGTAAAAGGGATGCATAAAGGGCCACGAAAGCCAAGCCATGCTAAGACCTTGCTGGCCGTGGTAAGGGCTTTAAACTTTATCCTGAGATGGGAAGCCATTGAGGAGTTTTGGAGAGAGGAGTGATATGACTTAATTTACATTTTCAGGTTTACTCTACAGCTCTGTGGGAAACAGTCTATAAGGGAGCAAGAACAGATGCAGAGAGCAATCAGAAGACCACGTATTAAATCTGCAGACCCTGGGCAAATCCAGCAATGGATGCACAAGCCTTATACAATGAAAACCACAAAACTCAGATGGGAGAAATAAGAGCTTTAATAAATAGAATACTACCCCGTCCCCAGAAAAGATTCAACATGATGAAGATTATTTTTAGTCCCTCATTAATCTATCAAGAGCTAACATTTTATAGTGCTTACTATGTGCCAGGCACTGTTCTAAGCACCTTACGCATGTCAACACAGGCAACTCTCTAAGATGGGTATTACTATTCTCATTTCTAATATGAGGAAACTGAGGCACAGACCATGTAAGTAACTTGTTGTAGAGCTAGGTTTTCAAACAAGTAGTCTGGCTACAGGTATTCCTCCCTACCAATCTGCAAAGAACCAATTTGCAAAGAATGCCTTCTCTCTACAAAACTCTCATACCTGTTCCAGACAGAAAAGCCCAGGAGCCCTTCTAGATAGAACCTTCCAAGATGGAGGACTAAGGAAATGGAAGGATAGAGCAGTTTGTACTGGAAGATCAGAAGATTAGGTCTCCTGGGTTTCACACAACCCACACTTAGGGCCCCTCTCTCCACACACATCCCAGATTCTCAACTGCAGATCCTGGGTCAAGGCAAGGCCTTAAGGATCCAGCCACATAATGTCTCTCAGAGACAAAATGAATTTTGCCAGAGGCTCTGTCATTTCAGGAATGCCTGTATGGAGAAATCAGGAGTCAGAAAGAGGTACTGACCCCACACAAGGCTACTTTTCTTTAGAAGTCTGATTCATCTCTCAAAAATTCAATATTGTGAAAGTGTCAGTTCTTCCCAACATGATCTAAGTTAAATGCAATTGCAATCAAAATCCCAGAAAGTTACTTTGTGATCAAAAAACTGACTCTAAATTTTATACGAAGAGGCAAAAGGTAGCCAACACAACACTGAAGAACAAAGTTGGAGGACTGACAGTACCCAACTTCAAGACTTACTAAAGCTACAGTAATCAACACAGTGTGGTATTGGTGAAAGAAAAAATAAATCCATGAAACAGAATACAGAGTTCAGAAATAGACCTGAATATATATCACAAAAATATAATCAAATGACCTTTGACAAAGCAGCAGAGATAATACGTAGAGAAAAGATAGTATTTTCATCCCTCCCTGACAACCATCAAAGAGGTCTGCCAGGGACTCGCTCAGTCTCCCCTTTGCTCTTTGGCTGAAGGCTCTGAAGTGATGACTGCCTCAGGCATTCTCAGGGAATGATCCTGTAGCTATTATCCCAATGCACGTGAGACCCCGAGGAGCTCACAGGTCAGTATCTCTAAAAGGATTGCTAGGAAATCCACTTTCTTGACTCTTTCTCCTCAATAAGGCATCAGAGACCCTAACCTAGAACAGGACATCTGTATTCCAGAGGGACAGAACTAATAGGAGATAGATATCTATAGATATCTATATCTATAGATATAGATATAAAGGGGAGTTTATTAAGTACTATTAACTCACACGACCACAAGGTCCCACAATAGGCCGTCTGCAAACTGAGGAGCAGGGAAGCCAGTCTGAGTCCTAAAGCTGAAGAACTTGAAGTCTGATGTTTGGGGGCAGGAAGCATCCAGCACGGGAGAAGGATGTAGGCTGGGAGGCTAAGCTAGTCTAGACTTTTCATGTTTTTCTGCCTGTTTTATATTAGTTGGCAGCTTATTAGATGGTGCCTACCCAGATTAAGGGTGAGTCTGCCTTCCCCAGTCCACTGACTCAAATGTTAATCTCCTTTGGCAACACTCTCACAGACACACCCGGGATCAATACTTTGCTGCATCCTTCAATTCAATCAAGTTGACACTCAGTATTAAACATCACGACATCCCAGTCTATGGATTCTCTGAAAAGCAGGACATTAGTCATGGCTTCTCAAGGGCCCTCTATCAACTGAGAAATTGAGAAGCAGACAGATGATAGCTAGAATACATCACATTACCAACAATAACCTGAAGAAGCTGCAAGACACAGGCATACTCTCCCACTTCAGGCTCAAACACCAAGAGCCCTCTGTAAGTCAGATGAAACCCTCCAATGGGAAGGAAAAGCAAATGCCTGAGAAAGGGCAGTGTCAGGTACTCTGTGTACTTCCTGGGGTCTAGCCACACTTGGCCCAATACCTTCCTCCACGCTCTCTTCCAGCCACAGCTCAAACAATGAAGAGCAAAGTTCCAAAGAAGCACATCCAATCTACCAATGAGGCCACTGAAGTGTATCAGGTAAAGTCAGAAGACTTAGGACCTTCTGGAAAGATTTCCAACAAAACGTTTGGTCTAATCAATATAGGCTTCTGGTTGCTCCCATGAAGAAAGGAATCAGCTGGAACAGCTAATTGATAGTCCTTTCAAATTAACCACAGCTTTGCTAGATCTTTTCTAAGAAAAAGTCCCCTACTGGCTAATGCAAATATTAAAACCAAACAGTTGAGAGGGATAAAAAACAATATGGCATAAAGAAAATTTGAATCATTAATTGAATCAATACAAAACTGCCTTTCATCTCTGAAACACACTGGAGACCATCTGAGGACGCTGACACCTGCATTAGGTGGCAAAGTCTGCTAGATTTCAAGTTTCAGATCAGCTATAATAAGCCATGAAAAGCTCTGAAAATTTTACATTAGAATCAGTCTCACTGAACCCAAACTGCCTCACAGCCAGAATCCAAACTGAGACGGTAGATGGTAGGTACATCCACACTGTCTCAGCAGAGACCAGAACGATCACACCAGACATCAGAGAGTTGTATAAGTTCGTATCAAAGAAAAAAAAGAGATTACATACACAATAACACCACTGAAAAATAAATATAACAAAAGGGGATTTTCTCTATGCCAAAAAAAAAAAAAAAAGTAAAAGGAGAGAAGCAGTTCCTGGAATGTGGAGGATGAGACCTTGGTTGCTGGGGTTCCCTGGGCGTACCTGCAATGATCCCGTCCATTTGCTCCAGGGCAGCTTCCAGCGCATGACTAGCATCAGAAGCCATGACTCCTTTTGCCTGCCTGGCCTCCTCCTCTTCTTACTGAAAATTCAAATACAGAACAAAGGAAAAATTACAGAGAGTTCCATGTTACGCACACAAGATCGCAAAAATCTTTCATTCCATCATCACACAACGTGTTTTCATAAGAATCATAGTAGCCGACATGTAGTTTCTGCATCTCCATGGCCTTTTCCCTCTTGGCATGAGTGCTTTTTCCATGAATCTTTAGCACACAATCCCATTCACTTCTGTAATGAAAAACCACCAGGGCTCTCCAGAGTCACCTGTGGCAGCAAGACGGCAATTGTTAACACCTCACCAGGTGTAACAATTGGAGTCCCAGGTTCCAGAAGCTCCGACCCCACTGTGAAAGGCGCCACTAAGTGGCGTAGGAGAGCAGCACACCTAACAGGGACACTGTCAGGGCGTACAAGGCAATGCAGCACAAGGGCAGGGCCTGGGACAATCCCTGCAGGCATTTAACTGTCTTACATCTGCATTTGCCCTAGGCCTGCAGTGCTTTCCTTGGGTGGGTGTGAGCCAGGCTGAGAGGGCTCAAATGCCACTTCCACTCCTCCAATTGGGAAAGGGTGCACTGCCTAGGAAGTCTACAGGCCACAAGGATGTAGAGACAGCACCCAGGAGCACCATAACTGACCATCTTAGATCCACTCTACCCAGCACGATTTGAGGTTCAGAATCCCATCTTTTCAGGGCAGATGAACACCTCCAAGGATACACAGTCCGGCCACTACCTTAATGCTGTATCCCCTAGCTATAGCAAAGGGGAACTGCCCAATGCCCCTCCCCTGTCCCTCAGGCAATTGCTTCCATCTCTGGACAACTCTACCTCAAGGAAGGTCTTTAGTTTAAACCCTCTTCCTGCAGCCTCCTCTCATTTTTCTTGTTCCCCACCCTCTCCCTGGGTAGCAAGGAGGGATTTACAATAGCACTTGTAATCCCAAGAGAATTAGCTCACGTCTGTAAACTGGAGGAGTTGCTGTTTGCTCATTCAGCAAATCTACACATGTGCCGAATGGCCATACACGCTGTGGAGAACAGGGGCACGGCTTCCACACTCAAGCATGGTGCAGCAGAGGAAACAGGTGGTTCTGAGGCTCTCCGCCAGTTTTTCCTGTGAAGTGGGACATTTAGAGTGAAGACAGGAAAATGGGCACCACCCAGGAATGGCTTCAGAGATGGTGTGGATAAGGATCTCAAGACCAAGGAACCACACCGGACTGCACTAGGAAATAATAGTTAAATCCACAGGCTCCAAAGTCAGATAGCTTGAGTTCAGACCCAGCTCTGCTATGTACTGTGTGATCTCTGAGCCTCAGTTTCCTCATCTGTAAAATGGGGATAACAGCATCTAACTCATAGATGTCATGATTAAAATTATGTAGAGAGCACTAAGCACATTCCTTTGCACAAAGTGTTCAATATGTTAGCTTTTTTTTTAAGTGAGGATATAACATCAGGACATATTTTTGCCAGCTCAGAGGAAACTTTAAACAAAAATAGGTAGGTGCAGGGAGGGAGAACCAGATAAACTCAGGAGGCTGGTTCGTTTGGAGGCGGCAGGCATGGGGAAGGAAGATAAGCAACCATGCTTGTGGAGGGGGAGAGGGCAGGGATTTACAGGTGCTAAGGCCAAGGAAGGTTCAGAAGCAGGCATTCAGCCTCGGGGGTCAAGAACCACTGCACAGTTAGCTTAGAGGGAATGAGAATGGGAGCTCACAGGGTGTCGGGGAACTTCAGTGGCACCTCAGGGCCCTGGCAGGAGCCAGAAAAGGCTGCAACAAGGAACAGAGCTGCTCCGAGGTGAGAGGAGCAGCCAGGCCGCTACAGAGCGAATACGGTGTGGAAATCCTGGGGCCTGAATGGAGGCCAGCTTTGGCCAGGATAAAAGAAGAGGTAGCAGGGAAAAGGGGGGAAGCAGGAGGAAGGAAACAATCTGCAGACTCTCACCTGTTCAGCATAAGGGATATTAAAAGTTTGAAATAATCCCTCCAAATCCTTCCCACTGCTCTTTCTCTAAGGGGAAAATTCCAAACTCCTTACTGTGGCCTATGAAGCAGGTTTCAGGATCAGGCCAGGCCATGCTCACATCTCTCCCCACATGGCTCATGCTTCAGCAGCACTGGTCTCCTGTCTGCTCCCGAGCCCTCCAAGACCTTCCCTCCTCTGCAATACGCCTGCCATCCCCCTACCCTGAGCTCACTTCCTAGTTGTCTGCACAGCTGATTTATTCTCATCCTTCAGGTCTCAGATCCAAAGTATCAGAGAGGGCTTCCCCACACCGCCCCCCGGCACCACGTAAAGCAGCCCCTTCAAAGCACAACAAATCCACAGTATCTTGTTCTATGTATTTGTTTCCTTGCTAACTGGCCACCTTCCCACAGAGGCAGAGGGACCCTGTCTGCCTTGTTTACTCCCAGGTTCCCACTGTGTAACAGATAGATACTTATGAATAAATGGACAGATCCATGCAGCCAGCATTGTGCTAGGCCCTAGAAGGATACTGATAAATCAGACCTAGTATCTGCCCCCATGAACCACACAATCTAGTGGAAGAGACGGAAGTATGAACAAATAATTATGACACAGTGCAAGGTATGTTGATAGAGGCAGGTGTGCAAGTTCCCTGGGTCTTGAAGGATGATAGAAGCTTTCTCAGAAGATGAGGAGGAGAATGCTGTTCCAGGCAGAGAGTGTGGTGCACAGGAAAGCCAGGGAAGCATGTAAGGGCAGGATGTAGTTGGCAAAGGCCAAAATGGTTGATGAGATTACGCAGGAGCACCCAGCTGCTCAAGATGAGTCAAAGCCTTCCATGGAATTCACATATGCAGTACAAGGGCAATGCATGAGAGGAGCCTGGGAATCACACCCACAGCATCAGGGGCCTGGATGCCAATGCCTAACAAATCAGGTGGCCTCAGATGTAAACATGACAGGGTGTCAAACCCAGAGGGCCCAGGCTATGTGCCCCCGCAACAGAAGGGCCATAAAACAAGACCCATGGGCCCTCTGCCCAGCGATGAGTTTGTACTTGGCAAACAGCAAGCTGGGTGGACCTGTGGGAGCTGGCCTGAAGTGAAACATGATTCAAGGTGTATCCTATTCACAGTGCATGACTAGCATCAGAAGCCATGACTCTTTTTGCCAGCCTATTTTCCTCTTCCTGAAAATTCAAATACAAAACAAGGAAACATTACAGAGGGTTCCACATATGCATACAAGACCACAAAACCACTTAAATCCATTATCATACAATGTGCTTTCATAAGAATCCTAGGAGCTGATGTGTAGTTTCTGACAACACAGAAGCAGCCAAATGGAAGAGATACATAGGGCAAGGGACTGAGGAGTGGGGAGGGATGCATGGAGCTTCCATAGCCTCTCCAGGGCTGCTACCCAGCAGCACTTCCACGCGTTCACCAACCTGGAAGTTCTCCAAACCCCTTCCTTCATTTAGGGTTTCTTATAGAAGTTCCATTCCATAGATATGATTAATCCAATCATGGGTCGCTCAGTCCTTGGTGATTGAACTCAAGCTTCAGCCCCACTCTCCTCCCCAAGGTAGGAGTCGGGAGGATTGGGAGTGGGGCTGAAAGTTCTAACCCTCTAATCACCAGGTTGGTTTCTCTGGTAACCAGCCCATCCTGCAGGAGTGGCCTCATTAGCATAAAGCTGAGTAAGGTTGAAAGGCGCTTATTATGAATAACAAAAGTTGCCCCTTTTCTGTGCTAGCAAACTGGAAGGAGACCAAATATATACTTTTTTTATTATAGTAGTCCCCCCTTATCCTTGGAGGACACGCTCCAAGAGCCCCAGTGAATGCCTGAAACAGTGGATGGTACCAAGCCCTATATATAGAATACGATGTTTCCTGTATCTACAGACCTCTGATGAAGTTTAATTTATAAATTAGGCACGGCACAGTAAGAGATTAACAATAATTAGTAATAACATAGAACAATTATAATACACTGTAAAAACATTATGTGAATGTGATTTTTTGTTTTGTTTTGTTTTTGTTTTTGTTTGAGACAGGGTCTCACTCTGTCACCTAGGCTAGAGTACAGTGGCATGATCTCGGCTCACTGCAACCTGCACCTTCCAGGCTCAAGCGATTCTTGTGCCTCATCCTCCTAAGCAGCTGGGATTATGGGTGTGTACCACCACGCCCAGCTAATTTTTGTATTTTGGGTAGAAGACAGGATTTCACCATGTTGGCCAGGCTGGTCTTGAACTCCTGGCCTCAAGTGATCTACCCACCTCGGCCTCCCAAAGTGCTGGGATTACAGGCGTGAGCCACCATGCCTGGCCCTGTCTCTTTCAAAATACCTTACTGGACGGTACCTTGGGTAACTGAATCCCAGGAAAGCAAAACCATGGGTAAGAGGGGGCTACTGTATATCATAGTATCACAGGTCTCAGAGGTAAACATGCTGTCTGATGACATGCAGTGCGTTCAGTGTCTTCCACATCGGTTCCTCCCACAGGGACACAGCATCTCCTAGGGAGCCAGGGCTCCTCAGGGATATGGGGCTTAAGTGCACCAAGCTCCAGAAGCAACACACCAGGGAGAAGACAGAGAGAGCCAGAACCCAAGCCAAAATCCCAAGCGACATGTGAAAAATCAGGGTGACAGCTAAGCAGATGGTGGGAAGTAGATTTTTTTTTTTTTTTTTTTTTTTTTTAGATGGAGTCTCACCCTGTTGCCCAGGCTGGAGTGCAGTGGTGCAATCTCAGCTCACTGCAACCTCCGCCTCCCGGGTTCATGCCATTCTCCTCACTCAGCCTCCCGAGTAGCTAGGACTACAGGTGCCCGCCACCACGCCTGGCTAATTTTCTGTATTTTTAGTAGAGATGGGGTTTCACCGTGTTAGCCAGGATGGTCTCGATCTCCTGACCTCGTGATCCACCCACCTTGGCCTCCCAAAGTGCTGGGAATACAGGCGTGAACCGGGATGTAGAATTTAAATCATGCTCCCCAGCAATGAGAGGAGAGCTACAGCAGCTACCCAAGGGCCTTACACAGCATGGACAACAGAGGAATCAACAATGTGCCATGGGGACTGTACGAGGGGCACCCAACCGCCCAGGAAAGAAAGAAGTGGACACAGAGAAGGATATTGCTCTTAGCACACACAATACAGAGACAGTTGTTACATGGGACCAAAGCACTTTTCATTCTCTCTGGACACTTAACATAGCTGGCATTTTGACCCTAATGAGCAGGCTGGCTTCTGATACTGAGACACTGTCTCATCCCTGGCCATAAAGATAAGGCAGGGTATGTTGTTTAAGAAAAAATGCAGTCCATCCACAATTCATCCTTCCTTCACTCACAGGCCTATGTGTGTGCTGTCATCTTCCTATCTGGGACAGCATCTGAGGCTGGGGGTCCTGCTCATTACAGGACTTAACCCTTCTCTTCGCTACCAGTGAGGGAGAAAACGATCCCACACCCCTTAGCTGTAAATGCAGCCAGTGAGGAAAAGCCATGTTTTAGAATGGCAAGGTATGATGACATGCCACAGCCACATGAACTGCACCACACAAAGGCCAGTTTGGCACCTGGAAGTTGATTAGGGAGCAAGATCTGTATGTGTTCTAAAATTTAGAAAGTGAGTCACAATTGAACCCCATCATCTGGTATGTTCTGAGGCAAACAGTGATTTATATACTGTGTTAACTCCTTTCATGTTTGGCAAAAGAAAATTTGAAGTAGGCAGCAACCACTGATGAAGGTAAGTCGGAAGCAAGTAAACCTTTGTTTACTCCACCCACGCTGAATTCCATTTCTAAGCTTCTTTTCTCTCAATAAAAATGGTTAGGTTGTAATTGATGTTTGGAGCAGGCTCACATAGCCCTGGATGCTGAAATGAACTAGGAACAGATCTGGAAGTCACTGCTATTCCCTGTGCCTCCAGGATATTCTGAGCCTTGGACACAGTTGAGCCAGAGCCAAGACCTGACTCCTTAGCAGCTGCCACTAGACAGGGGCCAGTGTCTCTGCCTGGAAATCAAGGCCTGGGGAAGGAGGCCTCAGCCAAGAACCCCACCACAACCACAGAACCTAACTCCTTTCCTACCTCTCCCTTCCCCAAGTGGCAAACAGATGATAAAGAAGTGTCACTATATTACAAGAAATTGGAGTCTTTTCCCAATAATTTACAGGCCTCCCATAAGCCATAGCTGCTCTTAAATGGTTATTTTAAGAAATACCTTTTGCTATCCCTAAGCTTAAGAGAAAGCCTCTTTAAAGGATCTAAGAAACCTCTTTGGTAGAGTGGAGCAAGAAGCCATTTGGAGCATCCAAAAATAAAAAGGACAAAGACAGATATGAAGGAATTTGATGGCAGCGCTAAATTCTCAATCACATCCCATATTAACCAACAACTACTTTCTTCCTAAAGGGCAAAGGAGAGAGAGTACAGCTTTTATATACAGACAGACTTGAGTGAAAACATGGGCTCTGCTGCATAATGGCTGTGAGTCTTTTAACCTCTTTTAGCCTCAATTGTCTCATCTGTAAAATCAGTATAAAATCAATTTCATTGTTTTGGGCAAATGTAAACAAGACAGAACTCAGGTAAACATTGCAGGCTGAACCTAAACATTTAATTTAACTGCTCATTTAACAAGAGAGACATAAACTCAAAAGGACACAAGGTCATGGCCATAAGGGAGATGCTAGGGTACAGTTCTGTAGCAAGCCTGCAAGGTCAGCCAGTTCAAAAGCTCTGGGAGAGACTTCCTCAGTCATATGAAATTGACAGAACACCTGGTGCATCTGAACATCTTAACAGACTTACATAATTGGTGAAGACTTTGTTTAATTCAATAAGAACAGATAATGACAAATGGGGGGAAAATAATAAAGCAGCAGAACAAGCATTTTTCTAGAGATACGGATAAAAATACATGACTAAAAAAATTAAGCAGCTGCATCTGAGGAAGAACAATGGGGTGGGGAGGTGAAGAGGTGGCTGTTTTAACAAATTACATACAATTATTTGAGTCTTTAAATTGTGTGGATATATAGTGGTGATTAAGATTAAAAGAAATAAAAAAGATTAAAAGAAATAATACATGTGGCATGGCAGGCACAGTGCCAAGATTAAATTAATGCGGCATCTGTCTCCTCTTTAGTTACCATATATTGGGCAGATAACTGTTAGCTATTTGCTAAGGGTTTATCCAACATTATCTCACTTAATCCCCATACCAGTTAGGAATTATTCTCCCCCTGTTACAGATGAGAAAACAGATTAGGCAATTTGCCTGAGGATGCACACCATTTTTCCTCCTGTTCTTCCACTTTCCTGAGACAGAAACCCATTTGGAGGGTTCTGAGGATAGAGTTGACATGATCTGACTTAACCTTTTAAAAGGATTACTCTGGCTGCTTCTTGGAAAATAGACTGCAGGGGACGCAGCAGTGAACACAGGAAACCCGGCAAGAGATGAAGTGACTCAGACCGTAATGAATTAGATGTTCTAATTCCTGATATACCTTGGGGACAAAGCCCATAAGATTTACTGATAAACTGGACATGGGCATGAGAGAGCAGAGTCAAGTGTGCCTACACGGTTTTTGCCCTGAGTACCTAGAGAATGTGGAGGCCTGCAGGAGCAACAATGTGGGGTGTCTGGGGGTGAAATCAGGAGATTGGTTTTAGAAATGTTCAGCTTAAGAGGCCTATAGACACCTAGGAAGTTACGCTGAGTAGCCATTTGGAAATAGGAGTCTGATGTTTACAGAGAAGTCTGGGATGGAGATGTCAATTTGGGAGGCATCTTCATAAAGATGTATTTAAGCAATTGCATGAAGTGACTTAAGAAGTGGTATAAAAACAGAGGAAGCCCCAGGACTCCCTGAAACACTCCACCATGCAGCCACCGGGGAGAAGAGGAATGGACAAAGGAGACAGGAGGAGCAGCCAGAAGTGAGAGTGGCACCCATAAGCGAACCAAAGGGTTTCTGGATAGAGGGCGCAGTCAGGTGCACCAAATGCTGCTGAATAAGACCAGAGCACTTCTCTCCAAACTCACGCTACTGGTGATCTCATCTGCTCACACAGCCTCACCTGTCCCTGTATTACCTCACCCTAGATGACTACAATAGCCTCCTAACCGGTTACCCTCCTCCGAACAGCCCTCCCCATTCACTCTGCACTGAAGATTCACCTATCTCGTGGTCCTCAAACTTTGCTGTTAATCAGAACCACCCTGAGAACTAATCAAGCAAGAGGCCCAGCCTCCTGTAAGTAGAGAGCCTGACCTTTATGGCTGATCTAGCCATTCGGGTGATTCTGATTCTGACCAAAGTTGAGGAACTGATGGAATGCAAACACAGCCCTGCACCAGGCACCCTTTTGCTTAGACAGCCTCAGGGGCTGGCCACCAGCCACACAGTAGAAATCATGGTCTATCATCATATGGACTCAACCTACTTGGTCACGGCTTTAACTTTTACCATACATACCTTTTGGCAGACCTCTGCCCCATCCTCACCAGATGCCTTATCACTAAGGCATCTGATCCTAATTGTTAGTTAATTGGCTGTCTGCACTGCTTTCCAGCTTTTATGCCCATGCCTACAGCTGTCCCTGCTAAATTCCCATCAAGCCAGCTCTTCCAGGTAATCATACTTAATTCTGACTACCTAAATGGGATCTCCCTGATCATCTTTTTTCATCCTGAAGGAAAGGAATGACAGCAGCTGTGCACAGCCATCTCCCTGAAAACTGTGCCACGTGTCTGGGTCCCTGTGGGGTCCCCCATTCTGTAAGCACTGGATAAGTGTTTACAGATTTATTGATAAAATAACCAATTCATTGTCCATGGGAAGCTAAAGCCTGGGAGATAGTGGGGACTGGAGTGAGGTTGCAGCATGTTCCCCTACAACAGCCCCAAACTCTTCCCATCCTGAGCACCCACCTCCCTCTCTATATTCTCACAATGGGTGGGACCCAAATGCTTCCCATCCCACCTTGGTGATGCCCCCATGGTCACCAAGATAAAAACCTGGGAGTCAGCCTTGGACCTTCCCTTTTGTTACCCACATCCAACTGGGCACCAGATCCGGTAAAATCTCCTCCCTCTCTTTCAGATCTGTCCCCTCATCTTCACCTGCCCTGCCGTCATCTCCCATCAGAGTGGCTGCACTGGCTTCCTAACCAGTTTCTCTGCCTCCAGCCTCACCGCCCCCCCACACCCCTCATCCTCCACACTGCTGCCAGGAGGGTGGGTCTATTTCACAAATCTTACCAAGGCTTCCCAGCATTCACAACGCTTCACCAGCTTTCTATCACTCAGGCAACAAAGGGGTGCTTGGGGACCTGGAGACGAAGTTAAGGACCCACAGAGCAGTTAGGAGAGTGGGTTCTGTAGTCAGACCTGCATGTAGATCCAAGTTCTTTCCTTCATGAGCTGTGCCCCGACAAGCTCTTTAACATTAATGAACCTCATTTTACCTATTTATAAAATTCAGGTGAAAAGAGACACATTGTGGGACTGTAGAGATTCAAAACTGGGTGGGAGTTCACAACCCCAGCAGTTTTAATTCTCCTGGCCATATCTGGCTCCTGCCCTGAGCAACAGCCAAGCTATTGTCCCCAGCTTGCTTCTGCTTTTGGGGCTTCTTCAGTGTTTTAGCTGAAGTCCTTCGTTCTACCTGCTCAACTCCCACTCCTGTTTTGAGGCCAAATTCCATCATCATTATCTCCAAGGATCCTCTCCCATCCATCCCCCAGATGGAAGTGACTACTTCTGACTGGGTCCCCCTCGCCACTCCCAGGACAGACTTCTCCAGGGCACTTTTGTCTAAGTGGTAAGGCCCTCACAGGCAGGGCCATATCTCTGACCCCGGAGCTCAGCTCCCATTCTAAAAGGGAGAAAATGAAAGGAAATAAAGAGGTCACCGGTCTACACTGGCAAGGCTCTCAGCGTAGCAGTTCAAGTTGTCCCCACCTTCTGCCCAGGGCCACAAGCTGTACCTGTCCTCCACAGGTCCTATAACATCCAGAGGTCACGACCCCCACAGGATCAGATCTGACAGTGGAGAGGAGAAGCCGCACACCTGGCCTGCGAAGACAGCTCCTCAGAGCAATGGCAGAGCCCACAGACACTGGCTTTATATCACAATGAGGGACAAGGCCATTGTGCTAAATTTCCCTCAGGACAGAGGAGCCCAACACAGCGAGATATCCTGTCAGGACAAAGAGGAGCCATAGCAGGACAGAGGGGCCAGGCTGCTGAGAACGTTGCTATCAGAGTTGCTGAATGCCTTCAGTGAATATCGGAGTCTAATAAAAGTGAAGAGGCAGAGCTTTGTTTTGTTTTGTCAATGAATAGAAGCTTAAGTAGCCTAAAAGAAGCTGAAGAGGAGAAAATAGAAGAATGCCACTGAAGGTGAACAAGCATGCTTAACTGGTCCCCATCTAATCATAGTATCAGTAACTCCTAAGAGCAAACATTTGTTCAAAGCTTTACAGCAACAAAAATATTTGGCGCATACAAGGTTCCTTGTTTCAACCTAAACATCCTAGATCAGGCTGTTCTGATTAGTCAGTTAAGCTCAGGCCAGTGGGGGCTGAGATCTATCAGAACTGCAGAAAGGGCCCTGAATCTAGACACAGGCTGGCAGTGCTGGGTGGTGGCAGGGGATGAATGCAATATTTCTTGCTTAGCGTCTTTTTCCCGCTATACCAGGTTAGTGAGTTTTATGCACCGGGTATTCCCAGCCACTCCCTGTCAGGCGAGGTCCAGGATATCCTTAAGAACATTTGTGCTGGAGCCTAGTTCTGCTGAACCCACTGGAAGGATTCCTTTTGCTTTCTGGTCCTTCCACTGAAGACACAGCCCAAGTCCTGTCACATGTCCCTGCTCCACCACCAGCCTCCTTTGGCAGAGCCAAGCCCAGATGCTTCCACTTAAGCATTCCCAAAAAGCTCGAGCCCTTCTCACCAAACCACAGCCCTTTAAGCAAGGCTCCATGACCCCAAACAGCATTTCCAGCAACATATCACAACAGCAGGGCATTCAGTCAGAAAGCTGCACACTGTCCTCTAAAGAAGGCAAAGAGCAGCAACAGGCACTGAGACCTCACCTCCGGGTGCCCCGAAGTCAGACTCCCTCTGAGCCTAGCTGTCCCACAGTCTCAGCAGCGACATCCTCCTCCTACTGGAAATGGCAAGCTTTTTAAGAGAAACACCACCCCAAAGACATGAGAATGAGACACCACGAGCCCAGCCCACAAGGAGGAGCGCAGGGTCTGGCCAGGAAACGGGTGTGAGTCTGAGGTTCTGATGGCTCACACCCAAAAGCACATCTGACCTTCTGGGCTTCAGGAACACTAAGAAGCTGATGTCAAGTTTCCTTCACCGTATTTGCTTGATGTTGTTGAATGCTCGCTTCACCCTCCTCTGACTCTTCTCACCTATTTCTGCTCTCGATATTCTGCCTTTGTTCCCCTCTCTCTCCAAGCTGATCCTTTTCCCAACTCAAGCACTGATTAGGGTAAACCAGCCACAACCAAGGCCATGCCTTAATGCCAGGTCTGTCAGAGAATGGTTTGGGGAGATGCCAAAGGTCAAACAGTGCAGGTACTCCAACAAGGAGAGGGATTGGGGAGTGGGGAGCGGGGAGGGCAGGGAAGCGAGGCAGGGATCTGTGCCTTTGGGAAGAATTGAGATGGGGAGCCAGACAGCATCCAGGGAGCAGAGCATCACCAAACCCCATCAGTGTGCCCTTCAATACTGTAAGACAAGTATATCAGTGCCCTCATGGGGATAGGGCCCACCGTAGCCACTTAGAGAACTTTCGGAGAGGAGGCTCTTTCCCTTCCTTCTGAACCGCTCAGAAAGAGTGGGTCTAAGAAGTAAACGTAAATGAGAGTCTATCTTTCAAGGCTAAGATGTGAAGAGCCAGGACTAGGCAACAGATAACTCACACGTTCTAAGATTTGGCTGCCTGCCCTGGCCACACAGCCATTCACAATAGATCAAGATGATGGTGAATTATTTCGAGCCTGTGCAATATCCACCTGTGTGTAAAAACCACCTGCTCTGGGAGTTCACAGGTTTCCTGTCTCCTTTGAGAAGCTGCTGCCTCTGTGGGGGGGAAAAAAAGTGTCCTCATTTTTGTTTTCTCATTTAATCTTCAAGGGGGTCCTGTGAGGGATATAGTACAATTATCAGCCCTGTTTTACAAAGATGTAGCTCAGTGGCCAGAGAGCAGGGGAATAGTGACAGCGAATGAAGCTGCCCCAGCTTGAGAAGGGTCTCTCACCTGTCACCCCTAGAACATGGCCTGTAGCCATTAGGCAATGACAACCACTGAGGGAGCCACCTAGAAGCCACCCACTCTTCCCAGCAATAACGTAGGAGGAGGAGGCGGGGACCTGAAGGAAGGATCCTTCTCAAGGAGCTCAAGGATCTCTCTGGATTCCCCTCCCCAAGTATAACCATGGTCTGCCAGCCTGTCCCTTCTACCTGCCCACTTCAGGTCCCCACCTATTCCCTCCCTTCCCACACTTCCTTGACTCCATTTCCTCTTTCACCATAGCCCTATTCTGGACAACGTGGAGGCTCTCTCCCTGGCTCTGTTCATCAGAGTGTAGAGTCCTCACCTCTCTCCAGCTTGAACGTGCTCCTCAGCTCATTCTACCTCTCTGGTCACAACTTACGCTCACTCTCCCTCTGCCTGGGGAACCAGGTTCACATGTCTCTTCTTCCTTCTGCTCCCGGGATGCTACACAACACATACGGCTCCATCAGACATTCATGCGCCTGGGATCTCTAATCTCATGTTTCTTCGTGTCAGACTCCCTCTGCAAACTACCATGCATCTTTCTTTAATGAGAAACAAAACCACTTGATTCCCCTTCTCTCATCTCTTACCCTCTCTTCACATGCTGTCTAAGAGTTGCCCCTCCTCCCTGTGACCCCTAATCTTCGATCATCACTGAGATCCAACCTCTCAATTATTCCCCCTCCAAACTGAATCTGCACTCTCTCCCTCTTCTGCTCCTTCCTCTGCTATTCTAGAACATGTCCTTTGACCCTGCACCCTACTGTTATTATTCCATGTTTCCCCTTTGCCTCAGAGCCCCACTGCCTACCTCCCGTGCTCTCTGACACCCCCAGTGGTGGGACGTCACTCATCCGTGTGCACCCGTGCCATGCTCTCATCCAGCCAGCCGCTTGTGTTCCCATTTCCTTAAGAGGCGGTCTAGGGTGGGGTTAAAAGCCCAGGCTGGGGTTGGACTGCCTCGGTGACAGCCCTGATTCAGAAACTATATGTCCCAGGGCAAGACACTTAACCTCTGTGCCTCGGGTTTCTCATCTTTAAGATGAGGATAATAATAAAACTGCCTACCTGAAAGGGTGGTTGTGAAGGTTAAATGTTAACAGAGTAAAGCGCTTAGACTCGCCATCAGTCAGCGTTTGCTCTAGTGCCTTCTTTGGCATCTCATCAGTGGTGACACTCTCCTCCTCTGGCATTTGGGAGAAGCGCTCTCCGGGTCCCTCATTGAACTATGCAGCCTGCATTCACCTGTCATGCTTCCCCACCCTACTCCCCTCCCGTGTGAGCCACCAGGTCTCTGTGGTCTCCCCTTGCAGGGATGCTCTTCTCCATCTCATCCTTTCCACTCCTACTGCCCAGACTGTGTTCAGGTATTCAGAACCAGGGCACTGGAGAACCTCCTCTCACCTGAGTAACACCTGGCCTCTCCCACAGCAGTCTGAACGCATGAGCTGGCATCCAAATTGGAGCCGGCCCGAAAATGTCCTGTTCTCATGATGGTAGTTATAATGGCTGCCATTTATTAAACACTCACTTCTACACTGAGCTAAGTTCTTATGTTTATCTCATATCTCAATATTTATAACTATTATTATCCCGATTCTACAGATAAGGAAACTGAAGCTTGGAGAGGTTAAGTGACTTGGTCAAATCACACATCCAGGAAGCAGTAAAGATAAGATTTGAATTCAGGCAGTCCAACTCCAAGGTTATGTTCCTAACCACTACGCTGGACGCACTTCCTCACTGAGCCTGACCTGCTCCTGGGTTCCTGATACCCCAGCCGCAAGAGAGCATCCTTATGCCACTGTGCCTTTGTCATGCTGTTTCCTCAACTAAAGGCCCCTTCCCCAATCTCTGTCCATCAAAACTAATTTTTCAATGCTCAGGCAAGTTTTCTCTATGACAGCATCCCCACCCCTGCCTGTTGAAATGAATCTTGGCTGAGACATGGGCTCCCACCTCCATTTAGTTTCTGCTTCATGTTGTCATGGGCAAGACCCAATGGGAGGATACTAACTTCCTCTCTTTCCAGGATTTCCTCCCCTGGGAAACAGCTCAGTATCTGATGGTGGAAATGAAAGAAGGAACTGAGCATGTGCAGCTCAGCCCATCCTCCCCTCTCCCTAGAGCCACCTTGGCAAAGGAAGTGGCCTGCACCAGAAAGAGCCTATGAGGTCCCATCAGGGCCTGTAGTGATGCACCTGCAATGCACATGGTGCCTTCTATTTGAGAGCATGGCTCCCCAGCAACCTGCGGATGATGCTGTAATTCATTTTGCCAGGTGGGGTAAGGCCAGGAAGGCGGTCTGGGAAAGCAGGCATTTGCGTTGTGGCCACTGCACAATGCCTGCCAGAGTAAATTAAATTGGTGTCTGGCTTATGGACCAGCCTTGTCAGGTTGGTCAGTGTGAATTAAGCTCTGGGCAACAAGCCCCTCCCAGTGAATGGATAAGGGTGTCTGACCTGTGGTAGTCCTTACCTCCATTCTCTCCCCTGTCCACACCACACCTGCCCCCACAGCAGACAGAGAGCCTCATGCCCCTGACAGGACCCGGTTGGCAATGTGCCTCCTCAGCCCCAGAACTTACCCTTCAAGGGAAGCTACCCTCATTTTCCTTCTTACAGCAAAGAACACACATGCATACACACAATTTACCTCCAGGGAGGAACAAATGGACGTGAAATTATTTCATTGCCTCAACCAGATCATAAACAGATTCAGAGAAATGCTTCAAATGCAACCTCAAAGTGAATATTTCCAAAAAGCTTCATCTCAAAAATTGCCCCCCTAAAAAATAATACAAGCAAGAGGTTAAGCTAAATGATGGGTAAGAGGATGCATTTTACTATTTCTATTTCTGTGTACATTTGAATTCTTTTTATAGTAACAGGCTAACACAAAAAACCAAACCACCACCTGGGGATGTGGACTTTTCAGGGCAGGGGGCAGAGAATTCTACTTTCCCTTCCAGCAGAACTGAGATTTGAACCTAAGTTCCTGATGACTCATTTGGTGCTCTTTCTACAGTGCCATTCAAACTCCCTGAATAGGTCCTAACATTCCACCAAACTCTCCTTACCTCTCACCTCACCACAGTTTAGAACCTCATCATCTCTCAGCCAGATTGCAAAAGCTGCTTCCTCTGGGCTTTCTACCTCTAGCCAACTTCCCTGCAATCTGTCTTTCTTTC
Organism: Homo sapiens; assembly: GCF_000001405.40. NCBI lineage: Eukaryota > Metazoa > Chordata > Mammalia > Primates > Hominidae > Homo > Homo sapiens. Next base: position 7,533,961 of record NC_000011.10, on the reverse strand, counting down.
CCTGTGCAGGCAAGACATGTTCCATGGAGCTCATGACATGCTCCTCTGCTCTCAAACATTCCTCGGCTTCACAGTGCTTTCAGGAGAGAAGCTGCATTTTGCAGCTCTGCCAAAGTCCTCTAATACAGTTAACCTTCCCCGCTATAGTCCTCACCACTCTGAGTTCCAGCTTCACTGGACCACGTCCTACCCTCGCATACAGAAATACCCCATTTTCTGTACTTCCTCTACGTGGGTGCTTTTCTCCATCTCTACTTTCAAATCCCACCCATGCTAAGGCCTTATCCAAATGACCACTGCCAGAAAACCTTTCCTAACACCATTACCCCTCATCCCTGAAGGTGCTGGATGCCTCAGCTCTGCTCCTGTCATATCTGGTACACACCTTTATCGTCAGAGCTGTCTATATTATTTATGAAGATGATAATAATTTGTATTATTTCTCAATGTGTCTGCCTCCCTGTCTAGATTAACTGCTAGAGAGCAAGGAGTATGCTCCATTCACCTTTCTATCCTCAGAGCCCAGCAAAGAACCTGGCACAGGACCTTCAGTAAATGTTTGTTGACACAAAATGTTAAGTGTTTGTGTACCTGAGTGGAAAGTGAAGGGAGGCTGGGCATGTAACCTTGGCCAGCACTCTGAAAGAAGGATTGGGGGCTATCCATGACAGCCTCTCTCATCGAACTTTCTCCACACCTGGGGTCCCTTCTCTCTTACAGCCAGATATTCAGAGGTGAAAGCGTCTCTACCATAAGGGGAACTTACGCTTGGGCCTGGCATGAGTGAGAGACATAACTGATGGATGCAATTGTATTCCTGAAGGACCAATGAGAAAAAAGGATGTCACTTCCCCTAATAGATAATAAAACCAGGCACTTCTCCCTATTCCATTATTTTAGAATGCTAAGCAACAACAACAAAAAAAAACAGATATGAATTGGTAAGTTTTCTCTATTAGCTGGAGCGTGCGTAACTTTTGCCTATAGCCAACTCCCTCCTACGAGCCTCCCTGGCTGCCTGCTGAGGAATAGGCCCCAGAATTTGGCAGGCTGGAGGTAAACACTAATTGAATTAATCAAAATGTATTCTGTAATTTGAGCCTTCATTTCAACATTTGTTGAACAGTTTAATTTTGATTCAATGCAATGCTTTTCCCCTTGCAATAAAAAAAGTTAAGTCAGTAGAAGACCAAAGAATTTCTTTAAAGACAGGCCTGTGTGCACTGTCAACAACAGCCTGGCCTCTGCCTCCATCAGAGGAGAAGGAGGCTTCCCCCGAAGGCCTGGGCTGGAGGGTATTAGCAGCTCTGTGTTCACTGGAGTTCCGAGGGCCACACGGGAGCCAGATGAAGACACTGCACAGAAACTACTGCTGCCAGAGAGCCTGACTACAAGTAAACAGCTCGGCCTGGAGCTGAGCCTTTGGACGAGGCCAGTCAGGCTTCCTCCACTAGCTAGCTGGGTCCACCATCCTCTCCTGGTCCCAAGGTTGGCAGGATCAGTAGTAAGTGCCTCTCCATGCTTCACCATGACACTGAGCCTTGTTCAATGAGGATTTTGGAAACACCCTGTTATGAGCTGAATTGTACCCACACCCTCAAAATTCTTATGTTGAAGTCCTAACCCCCAGTACCTCAGAATGTGACTATATTTGGAAATAAGGTCTTGAAAGAGGTAATTACATTCCAATGAGATAATTAGGGTGGGCCCTAATCCAATAGGTGGTGTACTTAAAAGCAGAGCAGATTAGGACACATGGGTACAGAGGAAAGACCATGTGAAGACAAAGGGAGAAGACAGCCATCTAAAAGTCAAGGAGAGGCTGGGCATGGTGGCTAATGCCTATAATCCCAGCACTTTGGGAGGCCGAGGTGAGTGGATCACTTGAGGCCAAGAGTTCAAGACCAGCCTGGACAACATGGTGAAACCCCATCTCTACTAAAAACACACACACAAAAACTAGCCAAGTGTGGTAGTACATGCCTATAATCCCAGCTCCTCAGGAGGTTGAAGCAGGAGATTCACTTGAACCCAGGAGGTGGAGGATGCTGTGAGCCAAGATCGTGCCACTGCGCTCCAGCATGGGCAACACAGTGAGACTCCATCTCCAAAAAGAAAAAAAAAATTAATAAAAAATAAATAAAAGTCAAGGAGAGGCCCCAAAAGAAACCAACCCTGCCAACACCCTGATCTTAGAGTTCTGGCCTCCATAATTGTGAGAAAATAAATTTCTGTTGTGTAAGCCCCCCAGTACTTTGTTATGGCAGCCCAAGCAAACTAACACACACCCCCATTTGATCCTACACACGCAGCTGGGAAAGTTATGGGAAGAAGGCAGCCTCCTCTCCAGGGCTGTCGGCCTCTATCCTGACCCACTGGTGTTCCCCTTCCCTCTTAATCCAGGAGAGACTTTCTTCACATCCTCAGACCTTAAACCACATCAAGGTAAGCACAGTTCCCAATATTCCTTTATCTGTATTCTTTGTAAGTCAGCTCTAAGTCGAATCCCACCTCTGGACCGAGACCATTTAGTGAGGCCAGATTTTAGGATGCTACAAAGAGGAAACCCTAAGATCCTGCAGCCTGACCAGATGTCAAGCTGCATTCAAGGGCCAAGAGCCCTGGGCCCAGCTATCTTCAACTCAGTTCAAAAGCTCCAGCATGTGGGGAGGCAGGGGAAGGGTTGGTCCCTAACCTTGGCTTGCCAGTCACAAGATATTTGCCACTTGGATCACTTCCCTCCCCTAAGAGTTCAGAGGCCAGAAAGTGGTTTAGGGACTTTCCCAAGAAAAGTGATCTAGGAATCCCCCACTTGCACAAGTGTTCCTGCAGGCCAAAGACAGGCCTGCTGGAGAATGACACTGTACTAGGTAGCCCCTTCCCTGCAGGCCCAAGTGGTTTTGCTCCTGGAAGTTTGTTAGCTGGACTCCAGGGGAGTGGGAAGGTCTAATGATCTCCTGGGACCTCTCTCCCATCTTTCTCAGCTCTTCCTTTCCATAAAGCAGAGTCTTTATTCCCCTATAGAAGATACCCAAACAGTTCCTCAGAATCAAAGGAAAAAGTGAAAATTACAGAGGTCTATGTGACTCCAAATGGCCACAGAAGGGGTAGTATAGACGCTGGGTCCCCATACCCCCAGCCTCAAGCCTTCTGAGGCTCCTTTCTTCCCAAGTGAGGTGCTTCTTCCCCTGAAGAAAGAGAGGAGCAGCATGCAGCAGAAAGAGCCCAAGCTTTGTCTTAGTCTGTCCAGGCTGTTTTAACAAAATTACCATAAATTGGGAAGGTAGCTCACAAACAATGGAAATGTATTTCTCACAGCTATGGAGGCTGGGAAGCCCAGGATCAAGGCACCAGCAGAGTCAGTGTCTGGAGCAGGATTGCTTCTTGGTTCACAGATGGTGCCTTCCAGCTATGTCCTCACATGGTGGAAGAAACCAGCTAGTTCTCTGGGGCCTCTTTATAAAGGAACCAATCTCAAGCATGAGGGCTCCACTCTCATGACCTAATCACCTCCCAAGGCCCCACCTCCTAATACCATCACTTTGGGGATTATATTGCAACATATGAATTTTTAGGAGACATAAACATTCAGACCATAGCAAAGTCAGACAGATTTGGGCTTAAATCCTTGCTCCACTACTTATGAGCTGGATTCGTTTTTTGCCTTGGGTAATATGGACATTAACCTCTCAGGTTACTATGTAATGGATATAATATCTGCCTTACACAGGGTTAGTCAGAGGGTTAAGAAAGAGGACAGAATAAACTACCCACCTCAGTGCCTGGCCCAGTAAGTATGTAACACTCTGCCTCTCCACATCAGAGAACATGTTCCCAACTGTACTATTCCAGAAGATGGATTTGGCCAAGACCCTTCATCAGGGCCTAAATGTTGGGATCAGGGTTAAAAAAACAACAACCATGATGTTGAGTTCCTTTGAGAAGTTGCCAAATCTCTTGCAGGTAGCCCCCAAAGTGGCAGACCCTGGGATACAGCAGCTCAAACAGCACACATGCTCCAGGTTTTCTGCGTCTCTCTAGCAGTACCTGACAAAACAGGGCAAGGTTAGGGCCACAGGGCCTTCCAGAGCTGAAGGTTTCCTAGGGATCACACGGCCACTCTTACAGCCCCTCGGTTCCTTCCTCAGCCATTCCACGAGGGTCACAAGGTGACCTGCTTAGGAACAGTGAACAGGCCGAGTTATGAGGCTCAGGGGCCATCCCAGGGGCAGGTACCTGACAGAGAAGACACCGCTGGGGAAATGGATTTTGGGAGGCCTCAAACATGGAGGCTAAAGCTGAACTGGGCTCTGTAGGGTTAGGGAGGGGAAGGGCCAAGTCTTGACCACGTTCATGGCTGGCTGGCTTTGTCCTCGGTGCAGCAGTCCCTGGCTCCATGCACTGGCATCAAGAGAGCCCATAATAACTCTAGAGATGGCCTTGAGAGAAGATGGCTGAGCCGTACTGGTATCTGAGAAAGGCCTCCCGGTTATTCTCAGTGGACACCACACTCTTTGGGGACACCGATAGCCAGACAGGCAATCACTCCAGGAATTACTGAGGGAAGGTTTCCATATACGATGTGTAACAGTGATGTAATGAGATGCATTTTTCATGGAGCCGATAAGATCTGTCTCATTAACTCCATTTCCCATTCAGCTGTCACTTGGCTTATCTAAAATTCTCTTTTAAATATAAATCATAACATTTGAGGACTGGATTTGTGACCCTGGAAGAGCCTTTAACGGGTTCTCACAGTGTACCTTATTAAGTGGTAGGACAAGGAGGTAGAGCTTCCTCCCACATTGTCTCCTGTTAACATGAAATCCTGCGTCACTGCAGCCCAGATGCTCCCCCAACTTCTTCCTCTGAATATTTCCTCTGTCTTCTCAGTGGTTACTATTGCCTCGCAGGTGGTCTCAACTTTTCTCTCCAGGCTGAGGAAAAGCCTCCCATTAGGAAGTCTGAAGGACCCTGGGTCCACCCTGAGGACAGAAGCAAGGCGTGGCCACCAGGGCTAGATCTGAGTTCTGAGCTCCAGGAGGAAGGCCAAACTGGATGGAGAACTGGGCCCTGGGCAGACCTGCTCAGCAACAAAGACTGGCTGACTGTACTAGATATACGCATAAGAACCCCAACTTGAGCAGGCAGTCCTCACCAACACCCACCTGCTCAGAGCTTGAACATGTGATCTGTGAAAACAATGTTGTCCTTTCATGCAGGTATCCCAGCACCCACTCTACACCCCTGCATGGGCAGGCTCTCAGCAAATGCTTACTGAACTGTATCGGTCCCTCCTCTCAACCCCTACAGCCCCACCTGGGTTACTGCCCACATTTCTCTGACTCTTACCCTCATCCCACGCTTCCAAACCTCTTGGAGTACCACTCTTGCTAAACATCTCTTAGGGCTGACACCTTGGTATCCTAAACAGGTAAGGTTGGTTGTAGGTAACTTGTTACTAATGATAGAAGCTTTTTGTATAAATTAGAGAAGATTCAGGCTTATCTTGCCCCATTCTAATATACTTTATTGAAGGGATGAGAAAATACTGGAATTCAGCCAGCAATTCAGAAATTGCCTATAGTGGTCTGGGAGTAACAGTTTCTATTGTAATGTGAAAACTGCATTTAGGAAGTTAGAGATTAACTTCCTAAATATATATGTGTATGCATGCATATATATGTATTAGAACTCAGATATGCTTTGTGACTATCTGGCCATGTCCACTAAGTGCCTCTCAAAGGTTAATGTGGTTTGCCATGTGCCATCTGACCATCTTCCTGCCTAAATACGGTAAGAACAGGTCTTCACTGTAAATTTAAGACTGCATAATCTGGACTCTAAACATAGTGGCAAGATTAAGTGGAAAGAACAGAGTTTGGGGTCAGGCAGCCTGGACATCAATTTTATTTTGGCCACTCACCACCTAGGGAAACTTGAGATGATCAGGTATCTTCTTGAAGCCCATTTCCTCCTCAGTTAAAGCCCTGAAAGGCTGCTTTGAAATTTAAGTGAGCACAGACTCTGTGCTCAATGCCTGATGCATGATGGGTACTTCATAGACGGTAATTTCCAATCCCTGGTGCCCTATTTAACTTCGTTTACTCTTCAGTTCCAGCCAAATCATGCCGCCAGTTGTTTTCCACAGGTGCCCCTTAATTGGCATTACTCATGCCTTCCTTTGTGCACTGCTGTTCCCTCTGCCAGCAATTCCCTTCAGCCCCATAGAAACGGGCAACTCTGGTCCCTGTCTTTCCTTCAGGACACACCTCAAATGCCACCTCCTCAGCAAGCCAGGCCCCCCCAACATCTTTCTCTGAATATTAACTGTATTTTCTCAGCAGTTACTACTATCTGTTTGAGTAAGGGGGTACATTTCTTAAGTTCCATTCAGTCAGGGGACATGTCTGTTCATCTTGTGGTCCCATCATCACCATTCTCAGCATAGACAATGGTTCAAAAATTATTTAGAGGCTGAAATAATAAATACTGTCACAATCCTACTGATTCCACAGTACCTGAGAAGTATGCTCTACCTCTGCTGCTAAAGGGTAGGTTTCCCCAGATCCAATGGGCCAGTTCTGACCTTGGGGTTCCATGGCCACTCTTCCTACCATTCTTGCCAGACTCCTTCCCTGCCACCCAGACCAAGATATCACACTGCTCAGACATCCACGTTGCCTAACCACAGCAACTCTCTCCTCCCATACACCACACCCCACCCAAAACCTCAGCCTACTTGAATGAGGCCCTGGTACCCACATCCCTTCCTTGCCTCCCCTCCCAGGGATGGAACCTTGCTCACTCTATGGCCCAAGGTGCAGACAGTCAGACTTCCTAGGGTATGGTAGGTATAGAAGGGAGTGATCCAGGAGGACATTCTTGTGACCAGTGTCCTCCTGGATCACTCCCTTCTATACCTGCTATGCCCTCTAGGATGCTGTGAACCCAGCTGTCTCACACCACATACCCTGGTTCTCCAGGTCTCAGGATGGTGTGTTCTCAAAATCTTCAAGGGGTGGCAAGTGAGTCTAAAACAGCTTTCAGATGGTTGGGCCAAGGTAGGCATCAGCAAAGAATATACACAGTCCAGTCACTTCTTGGGATCATAGTCTCATTTTCAGCCCACAAAGACATTTGCTCAGAGCCTTTCCCCTCTCCCAGCCCTTGTCACTAAGTGGGATGTTCAGCCTGCGACTTGGGATAGAGAAGCTTCCGCATAGTCACGCCGGGCTAATTTTTTGTATTTTAGTAGAGATGGGGTTTCACCGTGTTAGCCAGGATGGTCTCAATCTCCTGACCTCGTGATCTGCCCACCCTCGGCCTCCCAAAGTGCTGGGATTACAGGCGTGAGCCACCGCACCCGGCCGCTTCTGCACAGCTTTAAGGCTGCTCTTTCCCCAGCCTCCCACCCTCACTCCAGCCTACATCTGCTGCAAGTCATTTCTGCTCAGAAGCCACCAATTATTCCCCACTACCGACAGGGTAAAGTCCAGCTTCTTAGTTTGGCATTCAAGTTCCTTTTCCCTTAGAGTCCCAACTTCTTTCTTTGACTTTTAATAATGGGAAGAGTCTAGCTAAGCTGGTTTCCTTATTATTTCTCGATCCCACTTCACTCACTTGGGCTTCTATGCCTTTTACTCACTTGACTGACCAGGGATCCCCAGAGAGCCTTTTCTTCCCAGCTCCCCAGGATCCCACCCCAGTTGGTTGATCCACAAAGCCTTCCCTTTGCCAAAATCTTACAGCACTTTAGTTAGATCTATAACCTTTCAGTATACCTTCCTCCCTGTTATTTCATAAACTCCTCTCTAGTCAATACTGCTTGAACAATACCCTTTGCAGGTAGACTCCAATATCTGCTCTAAAACAGCGGTTTGGCCCTAGAGACAAGCCTGAGTTCTTTAAAATTTCTTACATTATGTCAAAGTAGAATCTGCTCCGTCTTTAGTTTTCTTTGACATCACTACCATAGGCCTTCATCTCTGCCCTCTGAGCAACAAAGAACATGCTGCCCACCTTGCCCACCTGAAAATAGCAGTCATTCCCCTATATCTTCCTGACTGTCCTTGGGCCCCTCCAAAGCTTGTAAGACAGGGATACCGGCTTTGCACACTCCAGGTGTGGCCAGTCTCAGCCAATGCAGGGAAAAGATCCTCTACCAAGGTCTAAACCCAGGACTTCAATTAATGTAGCCAGGCTAAGCCAATGTATTGGGCTTTTCCACATAGATGGGTAGGACACTCACACAATTGATTTTCAGGGCCTAAGGGCAGGACTTTGCACTTAACCCTGCCACATCTCATCCAGCTGGTTTGGACTCTGCGCTGTTTGCTGCTTTTGTCCTGTACGTGGGTGACCAGCCACCTGATTCCGGGCTGTTCTCTACCTTGTCATGGACTTCTGCCTCCTGGAATTTCTGCTCACCGCCACCATGGTTGCCCTTTCTGTGTCATACCTGGAAGCCCAGAGCATGCAACTTCCCACCTGAAATTTCAGGATAAGCCCTCTGGATGATCTAAATATCTCTTGATAAATGATTTCTCTCAAGCTTCCTGAGACGGGAATAAAAGGATTTACTGACTACCTATGATGTGCCAAGCACTGGAGTCAACATTTCATCTCATTTAATTTTCACAACCACCAAATGAATTGGCCTATTATTGTTCCCATTAAACAGATGAGGAATGTAAAGCTCAAAGAGGTACGGAGCAATAGCGAATTGGTGTAGAGCTATTTTAATCGAGGACTGTCTGATTCAAACCCTCCACTCTAGAGCTACCAGGGCCCACAGGAGTTAGGGAGGCCAAGTCCTCATGCTGGAGAAAACCTCCTGCCTGCCATGATAGAATGAGGGGGCAGGACAGGCAAGAGGAGTCAGCTTCCTCATTTCCACAAGCAGAACAATAATCCCTGCCCGGGGCATTGTGCCGCACCAGTGAGCAGGCACAGTGAAAACCCAGACAGACACACAAGGCTGTTGTTGTTACCAGGTGAGCACATGCATCCAAGAACCAGATGTCTTGGCTGGTTGGTCGCAGGAAGAGCTTATGTAATGAAACTTTTTCATGACATCCAGTCAAGGTCAGGTGTCAGAGTCAAGAACTATTCCTCTGCCTTGGTGAAATGTTGAATTAGAAGAATCTGCTATTCCTATCCCAAATCGATCTCCACCCCCTCAGGCCAATCCACTCTCCCACCCCACCCCTTCCCTTTTCTGCCCCCATTGCTCATAGAATTTGGAGTTTTGAACACTGAATTTGAAACCACACATCCCAATGTGCCTGATCCTGATCTTCCCCAGTCCCCACCCAGTTTAGCATTTATGTGCCTACTTTCACTTTCAAAAGTGTTCAGTTCGGACAATAAATTACATTAAATCTAATACTCTGGAACCTTCAAAAGTGTCTTTACTTCTCTGGCACCTGTTTCCCATAAAATGGGAATAACACTACCCTGACCTCATGAAACAAGCCATTTGTCAAATCCACCAAAGTTGGAAGTTCTGCTCTATCCTTTCCTGTGGAAGAAACTTTCTGTGGGGCCAGTCTACACCTCCACTGCCTCCATGAAGCAGTCCAGCATTGAGCTAGTTATTTGTGTAAAAACCTCTTTGATTTGGAGGGAACATGGACTTGTGTGTTGGGAGAAGGAAACTGTTGCCCCTGAAGATAGAGGCTTTCTTGCCTAAGCAGGCAAGAAAGAGGTAACCCATTTTTGATCTTCCTAAGCTTGAGCTGTGGCTCTACCCCCTCTCTGTCCCCCTTGTCCCTATTACAAACCTCTTGATTCCTACACAACTCTCTCTCTCTCTCTCACACACACACACGCACAGACACACACAGACACACACACAGAGTTGTCAACCAAGTAGTTCCTTTTGGCAGAGTTCTCTGAACCTTTCGCCAGAAGCAACTTGGAGAAGTTTGCTAAGAAGGCCTCTTGGGATAATCAGTGCAGTCACAGGAGTGGCCCTCCAGGTCAGAGTGAGAGGCCCAGCTGCATGTGATGGCTGCATTTCAACCATGCACACAAGTTACTGTGGAAGTGTAACTTTACCCTGGAGGGCAGGGACAAGAGTATCCCCACTAAACACACCTCACTGGCATCCCTAAGCAGGCAGAGAAATCCTGAGATCTGGATCACCTCCTTCCCTATTCCCAGGAGGAAAGAGACATACCTGAAGCAGAGCCACCTGGGAACACCACAGCGACCATAAGCCTGGGAAGAGGCAATGTAGGATCTAGTCCCCATAGCCTCCCTTGAGCTAACAAATCCCTTCCTGGAGATGCATTAGTGGTTCCTCCACCCACCTACTTCCTAAGAAATGGGAAGTGCAAATCTACGTCTGTAATCTGTGCAATTTGTGGCTGTCCCTGACACTTTACCATGGGTGAGCAGGCTCGTGCACATATTTTGGCCTTAATATGAAAAACAGAAACAAAAAACCTTCAGAACAAGATGAGGTATAAACTGGCAAGACCCCACTACAAAGCTCAAAAGAGAAAGGGAAGTTTGACAAGTTTTCCTTCAACGTTGGCTCCCAGTATTCTTTGTGTATATGTTTTTATTTGGCAACTACCACAACTCAGACAATAATTCAAATGTTTCACATTCATAAACCTGGCTCTTCCTCAAGAAACAGAAGTGACCACTGTGTCAGCGTCCATGACAAAGACAAGACTCCATCCTGGGAGGCTGGAGGCTGAGGAGCCTGGCTGGGCAAAGGTGTGTGGAAGGGAGGGGTGAGGAGGATTGAAGAACTCCAGCCTCAGGGCCACTGAGTCTCCCGACAGCAGTGCAGATTCCAGATAAGATCCTCACTCCTCATCGGACAGCTGTAGCCCTCATCCAGCCATCTGAGTCCCCGATCCTGACTCTACACCGGACCCTGCTTGGATGAGGTCCTCATGGCTGGTTGCCTTCCCTAGCTAGCTGTTCCCTGTACCCCCATCCCCACTCCAACACTATAAGAGGCAACTTCTCATGAACTGGCTGGATGTGCCCTGAAGTCTGGGTAGAGGAGGTGTTTGGGCCTTGGAATACAACTTCCCATGGAATTGATAAATTGATTGGTGGTTACATTCCCAGAAGAAAATTAATACACGTGCCCACATTGAGCATAATAAGTATAAGAGCGCTGATACCCTAAAAGTACTTCATATCTCCCATCAGCCCCACATACAGCTAGGCCACAGGGCAAAAAGGAGGCCTCATGAGCCTTCGGGCCCCCATGGCATTGGCAACTAGCAGACATTTCCCATCTGGGTGCTTGACCTATAAGACTCCAGCCTTAGCTGTTCTGCAGGCTGAATTCACCCCAAACCTGGTCTCATTCCCATTTTTCATTGCCTAATGGAATCTCCATCTCGACCTTCTGGCAGCTCTCCTCTGGCTAAACTCATGTGCTACAGAAGATAGAAGCCCAGGCCATAATGCCAGTAGACCTGGGTTCTACAATCAAGAGCTAAGTGATCTTGGGTAGGTTTCTCTGGGCTTCACCATCCTCTTATGGGTAAACATATAAAGGGCAAGCAAGAAACTACCCGAGGCTCCCTTCTGATTCCAAAAGAATCAACCACTTTCATTTCCCTTCCCCCTTCCACTAAGTTCCTCCATGCTTTCATGCTACTAACAGTTGCCTCATTCTTCTCCCAGCAAACTAACACACGTCAGTATCCAGTTTGACGCTTTTCTCTTTCCCTCAAATACAATCAGTCACCAAATCCTGCCGGATTTCTTGGCATGGTCACTTGCCTCTGCTCCCTTCTCTCTATTCCTACTGCCATTGCCTTGATTTAGGTCCTGAGCTACCTCAGTGGGTTATTCTAACAGCCTGTGCTCATAAGAAGTTCCTCCCTGTCCCTCCAACCTGCCCTTCCCAGCCACAATCATCCTGAACAGTTTTACCACGTCTTTTCCATACTTGAGTATGGAAACTTTAATGTCATCAGAATAAAATTTAAATTATATAGCTCCAACTTTCAAGGCCTTCCATGATCTCTTCCCAGCCTGGGACTCCATCTTCACCTCTCCCAGTGTCCACCCAACCCCCTGACTCTAGCCATATGGGCCCACTCTTCACTGGGCCTGTCCTTCCTCCCAGTCTTTCAGCTTCTGCTCCTCTTCCTTCTCTCGTCTACCATACGAAATAACCAGCCCCTTTCCCTCTTTACTGAGGTAAACATTGCAAAGCCAGCCAGCTTAAGGCCCATATCTACCACAGACTCCTCCTGGACATCTGCTAAGTGTGGGGCCACGCACAAGAGCTGATACAGCCCTAAAGCAGCTCAGAGTTTGGAGGAATATGGACAGAGACATAGACATAAAGTGATGAAATAGCATAGCAGATCTTTGTTTGATGTGATATGTATGTAACAGAAGAGTAAAAACGACTTAGGGGCAAGGGAGCTTTAAGAATTTGATCTATATCCTGAAGGATTAATAATCTTGCAGAATAGAGACAAAAGGGCTTTCCAGGAAGATAAAATAGTGTATGCAAATGCAGATAGGCACAAAAGAATAGAAATTACTCAGCTTCTCAGTTTGGGGAACAGTGGAGAGGCAGCTGGAGAGCTAAAGTAGGGCCCACCACTGTAGAGATTTGAATGCCATACAAGGATGGTGTATTTTATCCTATCAGAGAGACAGTCCTATTCCTTCTGTGTCTAGGCCTCCCATCTACAGGTATGTTAGGGATCATGATTACTATGCAACATAGAACAGGGTGATTAAAAGCATCAAGCACAATGAATGCTCAGCTTTCAGTGTGCATAAATGTGTACATATGAACATGACAGAGAGAGGAAGTGAAAGTAAGAATAACCAGGGAGAACCAAGCCAACGACCTTAAGGCAAACAGAAATCATACATTTGCTGAAGACAAAGCTCGGAGTCAGCAGTCCCCTGGAACTTGAGGCACTAAGGAGATCTGGGCCTAAAGCTAAACAGATTATTCTAGGACAGCCTCTTTTAGAGGCTTATTTACCAGATGAGTGAGAGATAAGAATGAAGCTTGTGAAGATCCACAGTCAAACAAGACTTGGCTTTAAGGGTGTATAAAGGATAAAGCCCACCTTTCCTAGAACTACATAGATTCCATGAAGACAGAGACACATAGGTGCCATCAAGCATTGGAACCAAAAAATGATACTAAGAAACATAAAGTCCAAGGGAGGTGGAGCTCCTCTGAAGAAGAAGGACGCAGGGAAAATAGTGACTCAGGAATAAACAAAGCTGCCAAAAGTTTCAGCCTAGTTGTGCCCACACCAAATGGGGACTGAATGTCACATCTTGAATGGGGATGAACAGGCTGTAGAATGGAACAAGTGTTATCAGTTGTGTTTATATTAGTGCTTCCTTCTTATATTTTGCATTAGGATATCCACCAGAGGATTTCAAACACGACAGCATCATGAACAGATTTGCATTTCAGGAAAAAAAAAAAAAAAATCTTATGGCCAAGTAAAAAACCACTTCTAAACTGAAAAATTCTCCCTGGGGTCTGAAAGGTTGAAGAGATGAGTAACTCCTCTCTTCTCAGGCCCAGTCCCAAGGTGCAAGGCCAGTTGTGCTAGCAGCGTGCGTCGGCAAAACAGCAAAAGCAGGAAAAGAGCCAGCCGGAAAATACCCACCCCAACCGGAAGACACGTACCCCCTGAAAACCAAAAGGGAGGCCGTCTGGGTACCACGTAGCAGCTACCTCAAACTGAGACACTTCTTGTTTACAGGAGACTGTAAAACCCCTGCCCTGTCCTCATTTGGTGCTGATGCCATTTTAGGCCTCAGCCTGCCTGCACCCAGGCGCTCATTAAAACAGCATGTTGCGCCATACCGCCTCGTGTTGTCTGTTGGAGCGCTCTCAGGGTTTGAACCAATACAAGAACTTTTCATCTGGTGCCGAAACCTGGGAGAGGCTCGGGTCTGTGTCCCCCGTGGACCTACCCCTCTATGCTGGAAAGCAGGCCACAGCAGCTGGACAAAGGAAGCTCCTTAGCCTCCAGTCGCCTCTCTGTGCATGCAGATCAGTCACTGATCTCACCTACTGGTAAGCTTCCCCGGGAACCTGGTTAACAGGGAAAAACGTGCTCGGCCTCTTTTGGTTTCTCTGGTCCGAAAATCCAACGTTGGTCCAAAAAGGCTCCAGCGTGTGCCAGGCACTCGCTGATCATCTGGTCTTAGGGGGACACCTCTAAGCCATTTGATCCCGTTCCAGGAATGAAAAAGGCAGTGGTGACGATCGCTCCTTTTATCGTCTCCGTCCGGCTGTCCAGGACTGTCTCCTTTTTCCCTGTTCTCCTGTGCCTACCCTTCATTATGGGAAACTCCCGGCCCTCCATTCTAAAAAACAGCCCTCTAGGCTGCCTCATAAAAAACCTGCAAACCTTAGGCCTCAGGCAAGATATCCGCCCTAAGCGCCTTTTCTTTTTTTGCAATTCAGTCTGGCCACAGTACAAATTAGATAACGGTCCAAATGGCCGGCAAATGAAACATTCGACTTTACAGTTTTAACTGATTTAAGCAAGTATTGCCAACGACCGAAGAAATAGGAAGAAATTCCTTATTTCCAGGCCTTTTGGCACTCAGATCACAACCCGACCTCTGCAATTCTTGCTCACCTGTTCAAATCCTTCTCCTCCATTCTCGCAGCCCTGATCGCCTTTCTCCTCCCGACCATACCTCTTTTTCCCCGTTAGATCCAGCAGACTGCTGTCCATTCCTCCCAGACTCTACCTCTCCCTCTCAACCATCTTCTTTAACCCCGCAAGCCTCCTCTTTATCTTCTCAGCCGCAATCTTCTCAGCTGCCATCTTCCCAGTCGCCATCTTCTCAGCTGCCATCTTCCCAGCCACCATCTTCCCAGTCAGCAGTACCCACTTCTTTTCCTACACTGTCCTCTCCTGAGGACAACTCTAGCACTGCCTGTACTCATTCTCCTTCCTCACTGCCCTCTCCTGAAGCCTGTAAACCCATCCCGCCACCTTACGCCCCTATCTGTCCTCCACTGCTTATCAACTCAAACCCCCTTTCCCCTTCAAACCCTCAGCAGGAACGACTTCTGACTTCTTCCTTCTCTCCCGCCCATACTCGCTCGAGCGCCATCTTTGGCTCATGCCCCACCCTCACTTCAGCGCCAGTGCTAGAGTGTCCCCTTTGGGAAGTAGCAAGAGCTGAAGGTATTGTTAAGAGTTCATGTTCCCTTCTCCCTCACTGATCTCTCTCAAATTAACAAAAGACTCGGTTCATTTCCAGACGACCCTACCTCTTATATCAGGGAGTTTCAGTACCTTACCCAGTCTTATGAACTAACTTGGCATGACCTCTACGTTATCCCCTCTTCCACCCTCACCCCAGAAGACCAGGACTGTGTCTGGACCCTAGCTCAGGTGCATGCTGACACAATTCATCAACAAGCTCCTGCCAAGCCTACTGGTGCAGAGGCAGTCCCCAACCAGGACTCCCACTGAGATTATCAAGACAGGGCCTCTAGATGCTGCCATCGAGACCACACGATTATGTGTTTCCTTGCAGAACTCAAAAAGGGTGCCCATAAAGTGGTAAACTATGAAAAACTTCCAGAAATCACCCAAAGTCCTGACAAAAACCCAGCCCTTTTTCTCTCTCATGTAACTGAAGCCATGAGAAAATATACCAACCTAGACCCAGCCAACCCAGAAGGAACCACTATCTTAAACCTTCGGTTCATCTCCCAATCCATTCCCGATATTCGGTGCAAGCTTCAGAAGCTTGACGACGGCCCTCAAACCCCACAACAAGACCTTCTTAATTTAGCCTTCAAAGTCTTTAACAATCATGATGAGGAAAGTAAAAGGCAAAAACAGGCAGAGTTTCAAATGCCTGCCTCCGCCATCAGGGGCCCTGCAGGCCCACGGGGCCACAGCTCCACACAGAAGCCTCCTAGCAATCCACCTCCACCTGGCGCCTGTTTCAAGTACGGCAATGAAAGCCACTGGTCCAGACAATGCCCATACCCAGGTAAGCCCACCAGGCCGTGCCCCCTCTGCGGAGGACCCCACTGGAAGTCGGACTATGAGCGGCCCCTGCAGGGACCGCCCCCCATCCCTTCCTGAGCAGGCCAAAACCTCCTACTCGGATCTCATTTGCCTTGCCGCTGAAGACTGATGGTGCCCTGGAATGGATGCCCCGGCAACTACCATCACTTCATCCGAGCCAAGGGTAACCCTGATGGTTTTAATCAACATGGGTGACCTACTCTGCTTTACCTAATTTTTCAGGACCCACCCAGTCCTCCTAAGTCTCTGTTGTGGGAATTGATGGACAAGTCTCCTAACCCCGAGCCACCCCTCCACTTTTCTGCTTCCTGCACACCTTTTCCTTCACTCACTTTTTCACCCCAAACCTGGTCTCATTCCCAACTCTGCTCCTAGGCAGGGACATCCTTTCAAAACTCCACACTACTCTCCACTTCCACATTCCCCGTAGTACCCAACGCATCAACCCAGACCCCTCCGAGGCTTCTAGCTTTCTTCTGCTCCTCCAACCTCCCACCCTAAAACATGCAACCTTTCCTTACCCCTATCTGTAGTTAACCCCGCTGTTAGGGATATTTCCACACCCTCAGTTGCAAAACACCACACCCCTGTCCACATTACCCTTAAAGACCCCACACTATTGAAGCCAATCTGCTCCTCCCAGGCACCACCTCCCAAAAAGCTGAACTCATCACCCTCACTCGAGCTCTCACTCTAGCAGCCGGACAACAGTTCTCTAATTTAGGAGGATTTAAAACCCTGGTAGGGACAGTAATCTTCATCACTTTTTCTCCCCTGTGTTATCCCACTAATAATAAAAGCCACTAAAACTCTTATTGAAACTACAGTTAGCCACCAGACAATTCAGACTATGCTCCTGCTACAACGACACGATGGATACCAACACATCTCTCAAGAATACCCTAAAAATTAAGTTTTTCTTTTTCCAAGGAGCCCACACCACCCCTAAGTCACGCCTGAAGTAGTTATTGAGAAAGTCACCCCTTTTCCCTTTTTACTATAACCAAATAGACAGGAATGAAAGATTCTCCCCGGGGTCTGAAAGCTTGAAGAGATGAGTAACTCCTCCCTTCTCAGGCCCAGTCCCAAGGTGCAAGGCCAGTTGCGCCAGCAGTGTGCATCAGCAAGACAGCAGAAGCAGGAAGACAGCCGGCCAGAAGACACCTACCCTGGCTGGAAGACACGTACCCCTTGAAGACAGAGAGAGGGGCCGTCTGGGTACTGTGCAGAAGTTACATCAGACTGAGACACTTCTTGTTTACAGGAAACTATAAAACCCCTGCCTCGTCCTCACTTGGTGCTGACGCCATTTTAGGCCTCAGCCCACCTGCACCCAGGCGCTCGTTAAAACAGCACGTTGCCCCACACCGCCTCATGTTGTCTGTTGGCAGGCTCTCGGGGTTCGAACCAATACAAGAACCTTTCATAAACTTTACCTTAAACATTACAGTCTAAAGGCCATACCATTCCTCAGGCCCAAAGCTGAATCTTCCCAGCATTGTTTCTCCCTCCTCACTTCTCATTGCATCTAATCAGTCTAGAGACTGTCCCATTCCCTAGTCCTCTGTCCTACAGATTCTATCTCTCCGAAGTCTCCCTACCTGTCCCCACCTCATCACTCTCTCAGGCCCAAAATAAGGCCTCATCCCTTTGACCCTGGATCAGCCTCCCGGTTTCCTATCCGGCCTCGCCGCCCCCACTGTCTTTTTCCCTTGGAGTTTGCTTCCCACCACACTCCCAGAACTTTGCCATTGCAGCAGTTGCCTTCGGGTTTGTCAACAGAATCACCTGGGGGAACTTGGTAAAAACATCCCAGACTACTTAATCTGAACGTTTTACAAAACTCCCCAGGCGATTATGAGGCATAGCCAGGTTTGCAAACTGCTACTCTAAATCCTTGCTACACATAGGGAAATGATCAGCAAGCTCCTGGGAATCTGTTAGAAACACAGAATGTCAAGTCCCACCCCTGACCTATGGAATCATAATTTGCATTTGAACAAGATCCCCACAGGATTCTCAACTTTGAGAAGCTCTGCTCTACAGTGTTGTCAGACCATGCACTCCACAAATATTTACTGGATTTTCTCTGTATCAGGCTAGGAATTGGGAGGGTCAAGGACCAAGGTCTTTGACTTTGAGAAGTTCACAGAACCATCAGTCAGTCCCCTGCTGTGCCTTCAGACCAAGTCCAGACTTCTGTACTGGACAGCTGGGACTATTTTCCAGCCTTGTCACCAGCTTTCCTGACTAGCACTTGACATAAGAGCCAAGCTGGACCACTGGCCACTTCTCATGGTGAGTCCATGCCTGCCTGCCCACACAGTTGTCACAGCCCAGGCCACACTCTACCCTTCTCTGCCTCAAAAACCCCAGGAGGGATCCTTTGAGGTCCATCACATCACCCTTTCTTAAAATTATCCCAGATTTCCCTGCTCAGATGAAAGACAGGAATTCCCATAACTTTGTTCCTACCGCCTTCATGTCATTGATCTCATTCCACTTACTCTTTTAAAGTCAAAGCGCATCTCCCTTAGCTACCCAGTAAAGAAGGCATCATGGTAAGCAGCTTATCTCTCCAGTAGCAATAAGCTAACAACTGTCACATCACCAAATCTTAAAATAGTATTACTAATAATTGAAATATGTTAAATAAAACATGGATAAATGCAATCAGTGAAAACCTCATCAATCATCCCCATCTCCCACTTCAAATTTATTTAGCTATGAATTTAAGCAAAGTACAAATGGGTTGCCTCTCTTAAGCCAAAGAGAAATAATTTCTAAATTAGATAACACTTACAGCTTTCCATACACCTATAATAATGAAAGACTGAATATGCTGAAGATGAATTATGTCGAAAACCAACTACTTTTCTGTAGTTGACCATTTAACTTCACATAATACACTACAAATTTGAAAACACTTCAGATTTGTATTACAATCAATTAAGGAGGGGTTGAGAAAGGAGAGAGACGAAGAGAAAGACAGGAAGTAGACCAAAATATAGAAAAGGGACACGGATCTATACCAAATATCTGGCTGCTCTAAAAGTAAAAATATAATTAGATTCGTTTTTTAAGAAGATTAAACACTGGCAAGAATGCCTGTCTTAATCCTATCCAAACGCTGGAAGTTCTGTTCTCTTGTTACATAATCTTATTTTCATCCGAGGAAAAACTGCGGGTCTGGAATCTGATGTGATGAGGTGAGGAGGGAGCCCACTTTTAAATAGGACCGTCCCCATCCTGCAGTCTACTGGGACGCGGCGGCTTTAGATTTTAAAAAGTGTGCTGTATTTTTGCACTTACACTACAGAACTGGCTTTAGCCGAGGCCCTGCATCTAGACACACGCTGTGTCCACCAGAGAATTGCCTGGGCTGACAGACCTAAAGCTTCCGCAACCTCCTTAGGCTCCCTAGTCCACGCCGCTGCTCCCCGGGCTGAGCAGGGCTGGGACGCGCCGCACAGAACTCAGGGACCCCACCTCCCTGCGCATCTCCAGGGCCACGCTGGCACCTGCAGGAGTGCGGACTGTCCGCGGATCCCAGGCAGGGTTGGGTGGAGATTCGCAGCCAACCCACAGGAGTTCTGCCCTCCTCCCAGGCTTCTGGCCAGTGGAGTTGGAGAAGGGTCCCCGTCCTCGAGCCTGGGACACGCTCCGGGGCTCACAGAGACACTGACCCACACGTCCCCGTGGTTCGTAGCTCTGGGGGCGCTCCACTCCCTAGGTAATGCTCCCGACGGGGATCCCAACCCCGACCGCGCGGCAAGCCCGGGGTGTGGGGAGAGCCCACTGACCTGGGTACGGGGCCGAGGCTCCTCTCCGGGCGGCTCAGGTGTGCGGGCCGCTCCCGTGTCCCTCCCACCTTCAAACATGAGAGCCCAGAAGCGAGCGACGGGCCACTGGCCCACCGACCAACTGCCGGACCAAGCGCCCGACCAACCAGCGGACCGACCGCAGCGGCCGGGGCCGGCGCCCACGTGACGGGGCGGGGACCTGCGGAAGGCTCTTCCCGGAGCGCCGCGCCCCCACCCCGGGACCTGCCACAGGGACCACCCCCTTGGGCACCCGCTCCCTCTCGGGCACCGAAGAAGCCTGCTGGGACCCGTCCACCAGGGTTCCTGTTCCCGGGGGACCGGCCTGGTCAGCCCCGCCCCTTCGAACCTGCCTCGTCCCCACCCCCTGGGCCGCGCGTCCGGGCCCCAGCCCCGCCTCTCTCGGCGGACCGCGCCCCCTTCCGGGAGCCCCGCCCCGTTCGCCGCGCCTCCTCCTCCGCACAGCTCCGGTTGCGGGGAGGCCCGGGTGGGTACCCGGCGCTCCGGCTCCCAGTCTCCTGGGCTTCTCCAGTCCTTCAGCGCCGTTCTCCGGTCACAGGGAATGAAAGCGAGGAAGAAGGAAACGGTGTCGAGAATTGCGAAGAGAGAAAGCATAGAAAACCCACATTAGAGGCACTCCCAGAGCAGAAACCCTTCGGAGCATCCCGACTTCCTCGGCCCGCGTGCAATCCAGGCAAAATTGAGGTTGTCTCTGAGCCGCCCTCCCTAAGCAGGTCGGAAAGCCCCCGAATCATCCCAGGTCCCGCCGCGCTGCACTCGCAACCTGGGGTGGAGGTCCCTCTAGTGGTTGGCACCAAACAAAAGTTCTGTCTTATGAAGAGCCGAGGTCAGGAAGCATTTCCCTGTGCCCAGCGCCAAGGTCTGGGACCTTAGGTCCAAGAAAAGCGTTGGCAATGTCTGACCACAGGAATGGGTTCTCGAACTGGGGAGGACTGAAGCTGGAGATCTGGTCCAGCCCCTACCTCCAGCGTGTGGCCTGAACCCGTTTTGGTTGTACTGCTATGTTGTGGCCCTGCCCAGGCCTCCAAGGACTGGCTGCTGTTAAGCTGTTTAAAATCCCTGTAGGCCTCAGATGGCAGCGACACCAGGGACTCGGCATAGTCCCCAGCTCTGGCAGGAGTCACCACAGCCCTAGCCTTTAGTTCTCTACAGGCTGGAGTGTCGACAAACTCCACAGGACACAACTTTTTCAAACCAAATTTACCCTCGCGGTCTGAAATGACCAGTAGGCCCAGGAGAATTTTACATGTGAACAGAACCTAACCCACCCTGGCAAATATGAGACGTGTGGTCACTGCGGGAACCTGGCCAGCAGCAGACCAAAGCACAGCCAGCAGGGGAAGGCTGGGGCCCGCAAGAGTTGTGTTACAACAGGACACCCTTCAGTTCTCTTTCACTTCCTTAAAATAGCAGCAGAGCGACTTTTGTAGACGCAGGCTGCCACAGTTCACACAAGGTCATGGCTGTTTCCGAATCCCACCCTTTATTGCCCTAGCGGAGCCACTCCCCTTACCTCCGCCCCCAGAAACTGCTAGCCTGTTCTTAAATTGATACAGTTACCTTTTTAAATGTTCTAAGTCACCGGCTCTGGAGCTTCTTTGCACTTTGGAACCAACTTGCGGGAAGGAACTTTAAAAATACTGATATCTCGATCCATCCCCAGAGGTTCTGATTTAATGGTCTTGGGGATATGGCCACGGCATGAGGACTGTTAAAACTCCGCAGGTGATTCTTATGTGCAACAAAGTTTAAGAACCACTGATGTAGGCCATGTCGATGTCAGTCTTCACTTAAATCCAACAAGACCCCAGAGCTAAAACGTTCACCTGAAAGAAACCCCATTCCCAGGCCTGCATACTGACCTGCGCTGGCTCACAAGAAGCAAAGTGGTCCCTTAACAGGGGCTTCCTGGAGAAAATGTCTTGACCTAAAAGAGTGATTCGAGCTGCAGGGATTTAAGGTAGGTACCAAGGTGAGTTGTTTGGGGCAGATGTGCCCTGCAGAGCTGTCAATCAAATCATATCCCAGGTGGAATCTAGACAGCACATTTCAGGCAACCTCCCCTCTGTGCCTCCAAAGGAACTATGGTTGCAGGACTCACTCCTATTGATAAATCTACCCCACTATCCTCTGTGAGGCAGCCCACATTCCTTCTATCTGTGAAATAGGTAGGTAATAGGGCAGGTAATATCACATTTATTTATTCATACCTGTCTCATTCCACAAAGGATTTGGCCTCTCTGTACCATTCTGTTAGAACTGTGGGTAATTACACTGTATCCATGGGTTGAGTAATTCCCTTCTGCCAAATATCTACTCAAATGCTATGGAAAAAAACATTTTCTCTTCACTGCCTATGGTCCCAGCCTGGGCTTGGCAAAGACAGGAAAACAGCTGCAAGCACACAAAGCAAACCTTCTCATGTGACCAACCTGGAAAGACAGAGGCTTCAGCACGTGACACAGACTGGCACCACAGCCTGCACTTGTGACTCGAACTTAGCTGAATTGGACAAACACGTGGGAAACACTGAGGAAGCCCCTGTCAAGAGGCATGCTGCCCTCGGTGCCACAGGGCATGCCTGCTGTGGCAGAGTCGCTTGCCTGCTGTATGGCTTCTGTCCAGATTCCAGAATATTTACCAGGGCCTCAGTGTGTTGGGAATCATTCACAGTAAACCTAACACAAGCAGCACTCCCAGAAAGCTTTTGTGCTTAGGGTATGTGGGCAAATATAACCTGATGAGGTTATTTGCTCAGTGTCACTTTTATTGAATTTAAAGCAGAAAGAGAGAAACAGAGGACAGCAAGACAAGAGGAGGCTAGAGTTGGGGTCCTCACCCTTAGACTGGTTTTCTGGAGGAATTATCATTTGAAAGGCCTATTGAAAGGTCTTGTGCAGACATGAAAACTGGCTAAAGGGACAGACTATTATTTTTAGGCTGAAACGATGAACGCATTGACTATAAGAGTAGGTGAACAAACATACGTATTTGATGCTTCCTTGGGCAATGGAAAAACTATGGGATTTGTAGTATTTTCTAGCTGTATCTTTCACTTTGTAATTGTGTTACTCACCTAAACTCTAGAATGACAGCTGTAAAGACTTGTGCATGTTTCACAAAGGTGAAACGAGAATTAAATGATGTGCAAACACTCCACACCTGGAAAGCGATATTCAAATGTTAATATTTTCACTTTATTATTACATCTACCAAGCTTAGTGGAAGGACAGGGCTAGGGGAAATAGAGGTTAAACCTCAATAAGAAATAGTATTTTAAGCCAGGTGTGGTGGCACATGCCTGTAATCCCAGGTACTTAGGAGGCTGAGGCAGGAGGATCTCTTGAGCTCTGGAGTTTGAGACCAGCCTGGGCAACATAGTGAGACCTTGTCTCAAAAAAAAGAAAAGAAAAGAAAGAAATATTAATAGTATTTTAGTTGGGCAGTGAAAATGGGAGAATATCAATAGACATTTGAAAAAGAGGGAAGAGCTTCAGCAAAGGCCAGGGGAGAGAAAAGCCAGTGGTGAATATTAGGGGCTGGCATACAACTCTAATTGTGGGAGGGAAGATGGCAGAGTTACAGTAAATGCTGGGGAGCAGTAAAACAAAAGGCTTGAAGTAGGCTGTATCAGAATGTGGTCATCCTTGAGAGCCAGGAGGTTTGGGGGAGTAATGGACATTGTTGAAACTTTCCTGATGATATGCTCTCATCTAAGCTCTTGGAAGATACCTAAGGCAGTGACATTTGGGAAAGGAGGCATACGTATTTCCACTTCTACACACTCTTCCTGTGTGTGATTAGAGGGATACTATATTGTGAAGGGGCTATAGCCTCACTGTCCTGTAGAACAGCTGCCAAAGCCACAGTGCTCTTTCTCACAGCTGTAATGCATTACTTCAGAGGCAGCTTTCTCTTTGTCTGGAGTTTGTAAATGATCTGGTTTCCTTCATTCCAGGCATAGAGCTGCTTATCTCTGGGGTTGTAATGGATCATGGAGTGACTTCTTGGTCTCTTGGGGAAGAACAAGTTGGGCAAGTCCTCCTCACTGATAGTGCCCAGTGGATCATAGATGCAGGTGATGCGATGAGGGCCCTGGCCCCCAGTACTGTAGACCACATAGAGAACCCCACACAAGAGGAATGAGGCTTCAGCATCCTGGCTTCTGCATGGGGTATCCCATGAATGCTCCACTCCCAGTGTGCCCGGCTCAATCTTTGTGAGAACCAAATGGCTATGGGTGCCTGGCCCAGAGTGGATGGCCCAGAGCCCATGCTCATCCACAGCCAGGTCAATGTAAGTTGAGGGGGAGTGCTGGTAAACCAATGCTCGGCCTACCCCTCCTGGGAGCAGCATTCGATCTTCCACAGTCCTCTTCTGCAGGTTATATTTGATTATCTCATTAGAAGTTGCTTGGTTATGAAAAAATAGAAAACCTTTGTAGATCACTTGGCCTGTTCCCTGCCAGGAAAGTGTTAGGATTTGCTTCCGGGGAGCTGGCTTGGTGTTATCCTCCATGAATGCCCGTATGTTTGCAAATTCCCAAACAGTGTTGTTTCTGGATCCAATTAATAAGTACACCTTTGGAGAGTTATAGACAGCATCTTTCATCCAAGAGCCATGTGTGTCCATCATCTTCTTCACTATTTTCAAAGACTTTATGCCCATCAGCATGTTGTCACAGCCTGGCCAAACAGGAGAAAAAGGAGAGATTACTTTATAAACATGAGCTGTCTGCTTTCTGGAAGGCTCCCCATGCTTGGTAAATCTTGTTTCCTTTCAGGTCTAATACTGATGGGGAATATTTTCAGTTCTACTGTGACATGACCGTCCTTAGAAGAAGGGTTTCCCTTGGAAAATCCTAGAGCGAAAATGCAACATAGGCATGCATTTTGTTTCCTTAAGAAAAAGGGCATTTAAATCCCAGCAAGAAGCCAAGCCCATTCTTTCACCTCCTTATTTTCACAGATTGTTTTCTCCTTAGTGTCTATAATAGTTATTGGATATAGATCAATTGCAATTCATGGTATGACTCAACGAATGAAAGAATAAATAAATAGTCTCTGTTAAGAGACTTGCTATCCAGTTCTAAGAGGCAGCATTTTACTCACTTCAGGATATTAACAGCTATTTGCTGTTTCAGAGACCGTGTTCACTCTCTAGAGCACTTGGGATTGACACAGTGAGAATGACTTAGGTGTGAAGACACTAATTCAATTCCATTTACCAAGATTTTATTGTACTGTGTACTTAGGTTACAATGTTTCCAGAATGGTGCTAAGTATTGAGGATAAAAAATATAATATCAACCCTAAACCTCGAGATTATCTTCTAGTGAAGGATTCTGACCCTTAACACGACTGCAACGTTATAAGAGCTCTATTTATTTATTCATGAATGTATGAATGCATTTAGTTAGCAGACACTGGATACCTACAAGGAGCAAGATAATGAGCGAAGTATTATGAGCTGGGGTTATGAGCATAAATTGGGCATGGTTCTTTCTTATTAGGTACAGGACTAACTAGAATATAGGGAGTAAAGTGGAATTTTAAGAAGAATAGGGAAAGGAAATGTCCTTTGATGCAGGGAAGAATCTGTATTTGATTTGGTCCTTGAAGGATAAATGGAGTTGAATATTCAGAGGAGTGGAGAAGCATTCCAGACAGCAAACAAAACCACTTTCAGGAAAGTACTCTAAGATTAGGTAAAGAAGTGTAGAGTTTAGACCAATACAAGCTAATGTTTGATATTGCTTCAAACTAGATATATAAAGCAAAGTACAGTTGACCTTTGAACATGAGCTTTAACTGTGCCGGTCTTATTAAAATGTGGATTCTCTTCTGCCTCTGCCACCCCTGAGATAGCAAGGCCAACCCCTTCTTTTCCTCCTTCTCAGCCTACTCATTGTGAAGAGGATGATGCGGATGAAGACCTTTATGATGATCCACTTCCACTTAATGAACCGTATATCTATTTTCTTTTCCTTATGATTTTCTTAATGACATTTTCTTTTCCTAGCTTACTTTATTTTAAGAACAAAGCCACAGGGCTCTTTCTTCCAGCTGTAATGCATTACTTCAGAGGCAGCTTTCTCTTTGTCTGGATTTGTAAATAAGAAAGGACCAGATAACATTCACAATATGTGTTAATTGATGTTTAAGTTATCAGTCAGTCTTCTGGTCAACAGCAGACTATCAGTAATTAAGTTTTGGAGGAGTTAAAAGTTACACATAGGCTGGGCGTGGTGGCTCACACCTGTAATCCCAGCACTTTGGGTGGCCAAGGCAGGTGTATCACAAGGTCAGGAGATCGAGACCATCCTAGCCAACATGGTGAAACCCTGTCTCTGCTAAAAATACAAAAATTAGCTGGGTGTGGTAGCACATGCCGGTAGTCCCAGCTACCCGGCAAGCTGAGGCAGGAGAATCACTTGAACCCAGGAGGCGGACATTGCAGTGAGCCAAGATCATGCCACTGCACTCCAGCCTGGCAACAGAACGAGACTCCATCTCAAAAAAAAAAAAAAAGTTACACATAAATTTTCAACGCACAAGGGTCAGCAACCTTAGCAACTGTATTATCCAAGGGTCAATTGTAGTAGATTGAAGCCATCTCTATGCCTGGAACCTTAAGGGCCAGGCTAAGAAATTTGGATTTTATTCCACAGAGAGATACTGAAGTTTGCGAGCAGGAGTGAAGTAAAGGCTGTCAAGACTGTTCTACAAGGTCAAGCTAGAAGTCCTGTGTATGATGGACACTTAGAGTGAGACCAAAATCAGGGAAATCAATTAGTAGAATATTTCTTTAATCCAAATGGGATGATAAAGGATCTAAACTGGAAGAAAGGAGAAAAATGAAGTAAAACGAAGGAGTTACAGTTTTCTAGCTCCTTAGTGCCACTTCAGGCTACTATTCTTCCCACCTACAGCAAAAACTCTTCCTTTTTAGTATTCATGCTTTGTGTCTCGTGCTGTCAACTCCTCCCAGTCTAAATCATTGGCAATTCTCCAGGACACTACCCTATATGCATGGAGCATGCCCACCTCTTCAATTCCATGGAAACTTACTTTTAAACCATATTAGTATCCTCCTCCAGGGGTTATACTCTGAATCTCCCATTCCCCACAACTATTCCGTATCTGAAATCGAAAACTCCAATATCCCACTCACCACAGTTATTCTTCCATTGCTCACTCCTTTGCTCATGCCTTCCAGTCCCTTGGCCTCTACTTTCTCCCAGGTCATCAGCCCTCTCTTCATCTTGCTTTCTTTCCTATGCAGCCTAAACCACTGTAATAGCTCTCTCACCAGCATTCTCACCCATCAACCCCTAGTTATGCCACCATATCCACCCAACACAAGTCCCTGGCCTAGGATGAGTTCAAACATCTGCCTTGTCCCGGAGTTGAGTGTTGATGGAGGAGAAAATCTCACAGTGGTGTATGTTGGTGCCACTACACATAAGGGGTCTCCGATGTCAGCTGAGCCCTAAATACCATACTGGTCTTCATGGTTAGCCCACCATCTTCACACAATAGCTATCTTATATCTTCCCCACACTGCCCCACACACCCCGCCCTGGCCAGTCCCTTCACCAACAGCAGATTAACTCCTTTGAAAAAACAAATACCATTAGACATGAACTCTTTTCACTTCCTCTCCTCACTTATAAACTTTTCTTTAGTTGTTCCCCTGTCGCTACCCTCACACACATCTTAGAAGAAACTGTGTCATTTCTCCTGTCCAAGACTAATATATTCACTTGTACTGTGATCTCATCCTTTCCTGGCTTCTTCTAGACTTCCTTGATGAATTATCCCTTTTCTGTTATCTTTAATTTCTCCTTTGTTACTAGATTCTTAGCTTATAAGCATCTAGCCTATATTAAAACAACAACAACAATTCACCTTCAACTAGGCACCTTTTTCTAGTTGCTTCATTTCTCTTTCCATCATTTTATAGCCAGCTTCTCCTACAGAGTAGGCTATACTCTGTATCTACATCTTCACCTCCCATTCTTTTACTTCACCATAACTCCATAGAAATTATTCTTTATAATGTTACCAGGAACCTTATAACTGAAAACTCAAATAGACCTTTTGTGTCCATATTTTACTTGATCTTTCTGGAGCATGGTCAGTTCTTCCTCCTTGAAGATTGATATGAATCAGGATAAGATCAGCTCTACTGGTCATTTCAAGATAAGTCGGTCATCAGTTCTAATTTTGGACATTTTTTTTAAGACAGGTGAGACAGGTTTTTACTCTATTAGACAGGCTAGAGTGCAGTGGCATGATCGTGGCTCACTGTAGCCTCAACTTCCCGAGCTCAAGCAATCCCCCCACCTTCTCCTCCTGAGTAGCTGGTACTAAAGATGCATACCACCAGGTCCAGCTAATTTTGTTTATTTTTTGCAATGATGAGGTCTACTATGTTGCCCAGGCTAGTCTCAAACTCTAGGACTCAAGTGGTCCTACTGCCTTGGCCTCCCAAAGTGCTAGGATTATAGGCATGAGACACCACTCCAATCCAGTTGTGGACTTCTTGTTGGGACTGCCTTGTCAGGCCATCCGTTGTGAGATGAGTAGTGTCATGGAAGCAGGGAGTGGTGGTCTTGCTAGGAGCATGAGGAAACTTGCAGGTCTACCTCAAATCCTGCTGAGGTTTCTATTATGGGTAGGAAAGAGTAGTCTTAATAAGAGCATAGGAATGCTGGGCCTCCCTCATTGACTTCTGGGTGTGAGGTAGTGGAATGATAGTTAGATAGAGTCTTTAAAGGACAACTGAGCACTCTGAGGAGCTCCTTCAAATCCTTTGAAAGGGTTTGGTATAAGAAGCTGGATGTGGACCAGGCACCGTGGCTCACACCTGTAAGCCCAGCACTGTGGAAGGCCAAGGCAGACAAATCACTTGATCTCAGGAGTTCAAGACCAGCCTGGGCAACAGAGTGAGACCCCATCTCTAAAAAAAAAAAAAATACAATAATTAGCTAGGTGTGGGGGCGTGTACCTGTAGTCCCAGCTACTCAGGAGGCTGAGGTAGGAGGGTCACATGCACTCAGGAGGTGGAGATTGCAGTGAGCTCAGATTGTGCCACTGCTTTCCAGCCTGAGTGAGAGAGCCAGACCCTGTCTAAAAAAAAAAAAAAAATGCTGGATGTGTCAGCAGCAGGTTGTCATTTTCCTAATCAGTGCTTGGGTTCTTAAAGCCCACTGAAGGTCAACTGGAGTCAGAGGACAAGAAACAGGATGAAGGAAAGAAGACTGGACAGGAGGAAGAGAGATGCATAGTGAGATGGGTTCCAGAGGTTCGGAGGTAAGCAAGCATGTTAGCAAACTGTTTGCTATATGCCAGCTGTGTGGGCAGCAGTCCTATCATGCTTTCCATATGACTATCACACTTTCTCATCTCCCTGCAAGCCTCTGTCATACCCTCGCATGGAGATCTTCCCACTTACTCCGTGAGAAAGTAGAAGCAATCCTAGGAGAACTACATCATCTCCTGCCTGGACTACTGTAGCAGTCTCCTACATGGTGTTCATGCCTCCATACTTGCCTCCCATAGTCCAATTCCCACAGCAGCCAAAGGCGTGCTTTTAAAATGTAAGTCACATCATGTCCTGTGTCTGCTTGAAACCCTCCATTGGCTTCTCATTTCACTCAGAGTGAAATGGATAAAGCTCAGGCCTTTACCTCCAAAGCCACATATAAGCTGTTCTCCTACTGCTTCTCTCTTTGTTCTCCCTCTCCTTGTCCCCTACAACTTCTCCACCTTGTTCGTTTTGTTCTATCACACTGACTTCTGCTATTTCTCAGATTGTACCAAACACACTCCTGCCTTGGGGACTTGGCACTTTTCGTTCCCTCTGCTTGGAAACAAATATCTACATGACTTCCTCCCTTGCTGCCTTTATGCCTGTTCTCAAATGGTCCTTGGTCATTTAGACCTTTTCCCGTCACCCTATAAAAAAGGCAACCCTCTTCTCCAGCTCTCCAGGGACTCCTTTACCCTAGATCATTTTTCTCCATAGTGCTTATTATCTTTTGTCTGACATACATTTGTTATTAGCATATTATTGCTTAATTCCCCTCAATAAAATATAAACTCCATGAGGGTATAAGCTTTGTCTTATCTGTTTCATTCACTACTGTATGCCTTGTTCCTAGAATAGCATCTGGCACATAGTAGTTCCATATTTTCTGAATGAATAATGAATTTTCAACAACCAAATCCATCAACAAACTGCTCCCAACCCTACATTCTCTGCCATCCTTCCCGTGTCCTTTACTTTTGCAGTGGACCTCTTCCCCTTTCACCTACTCAAGAACTTATCACCTGAAATTATCTTCCCTTTCCTACCTCAGTAGTCTCTTCCTCCCTATTGGATCATTCAGTAAATCATCCATCCTGGAAAAACCTACTAGCAGGGCCCCATTTCTCTCTTCCACTTTATATTAAAACTCCTTGAAAGAGGCATTTCCTCACTTCCAGTGATCCTCTAAGCCATTCTAATCAGACTTCAGTTCTCCACTGGTCTAAACTCCACTGCCCATTTTTCTGAATCAGTTTCTGTCAAGGTCACCGGCAGCCTCCATGTTGGCAAATCCAAGGGTCAATTCTCAGGATTCATCCTTATCAACTTTACAGCCAAATTTGATTATTTGATCAGTACTTTCCCTCAAAACTCTTTCTCTTCTTGATTCTGGGATATCCCCCTCACGTTTGTCCTCCCATCTTTCTGGATTGTTTTTTCTTGGTGTCCATTGCCAGTTTCTCCTCATCTCCCTCTTTTAAATACTCTTATCCTCAGGCCTCCTCTTTTCTTTGTCTACAATCACTTTCTGAATCATCCCATTCTATCTCTGAGACCATGGAAGTTCTAAATAATGATGACTACCAACTTTGTATCTTCAGCCCCTATCTGGATATCTACTTAGTCCCAAACCCATTTATCTACCTGCTTACTCAATGTCCCTACTTGGATGTCTTCAAACTTAACCTGTCCAAAGCAGAACTCTTACTTTTACCCTCCAAACTCTCTTTCTGCCTACTTTTCCCATTTCAGGCAAGATCCATAAACCAAGTTTCTTACTTAGAAATCCTTCTTTCTTTCTATTCTCCAACACCAGCAAATCCTGATAGTATAACTTCTCTTTAAATTATAATGTTACATAAGGCCAGGAGCAGTGGCTCACGCCTATAATCCTAGCACTTTGGGAGGCCAAGGTGGGCAGATCACCTAAGGTCAGGGGTTCAAGACCAGCCTGGCCAACATGGTGAAACCCCATCTCTACTTAAAATACAAAAATTAGCCAGGCATGGTGGTGCATTCCTGTAATCGCAGCTACTTGGGAGGCTAAGGCAGGAGAATTGCTTGAATCTGGGAGGCAGAGGTTGCAGTAAGCCGAGATCGCGCCACTGCACTCCATCCTGGATACAGAGCGAGACTCTGTCCCAGAAAAAAAAAAAGCAAAAAAAAGAAAAAGAAAAATTATAATGTTACATGAAAATGCTCAAATATACATCTCACTTTCAACCTACTACCTCTTTTTTCCCTGGAATCCATTCATCATCACTTTTTGCCCAGACCACTGCAATAGTCTCTACTTTGTCTCCCTGATTTTTTCTTACTTACCTATAGTTAGTATGTTCTCCATAAAGCGGTATGAGTGATCTGTTTGAAAACATAAATTATGTGACTAGCCTGGCTAAACCCTTTCTATCATATTTAAAATAAAATCCTAAACCCTTGGCCTAAGGAATCTACATAATGTGGCCCCTGCCTTTCTCTGTGACTTTCCCTGCTACCTTTCTCCCCTTCCTCACTGTGTTGTGATTACATTGGTTGTCTTCAGATCCTGCCAGGATGTCAAGTGTGTTTCTGCCTCGGGGCTCTTGCACTTGTAATTTTCTGCCTGGAGTGCTCTTTTTCTTGATCTTCCCACAGTTAGCTCCTATTTAGCCTTCAAGTCTCACTTTCAATATTATGTCTTGAAGAGGCTTCCTGTGACCACACTATGTAAATATGTCCACCCGAAAATTATCTACTCTAGCCCTTTTCTTATTTCCTTGAGATCACTTATCATATTCTTAATTATTTCATCTGTTTTATTTACTAGCTCATCGTCCTTCTCTCCCGCTCCTAGGCTTCTAGTCTCTACTCCTTCAACTTCATGGATAGTGTTGTGTCCCAATGCCTAACTCAGTGAGTTGGGGGTTCATAAATATCTGTTGAATGAATTAAAAAAATAGTCTCATTTAAGCAGATATTTTTCTAAAGTCTAAATATTACTGCACTTCCAGAGTTCTGACTGCAGGCCTATCTTAAGTAAATAATAACTTGTAAAGTACTTTAAAGCTTTTAAGATACTTTCAAACCCATTATTCCATTAAAAAATCTGACCCAAGGTTTTCATGAAGGGAACACATGGCAGAAGTGGGGGTGGGAGCAACCCTAGCTGGGAAGAGCTGAGTCTCAGCAAGTCAGTCCTTTCAGTGGTCATGACATCACTGGCTGCTCCCAGGGACACAGTGGCCTTACCTGTCTCACACTGTGGCCAGAGCCAGACTTGGAGGCAAGCTGTAGAAGTCTCTCAGCCATCAGCTGCCCCCATGCTCCCCTGCTGACATGCTTCATCAGCCTGAGGGGTTGCTTTCCTGTGGCCTCTGGGTCAACATTGTTCTGGGTCAGCCTCGGTTATAGGAAGCGAAAGCCCTGGGGAATGTGGAGAAGTCTGGGACAACAGGGAACCTTATGCATTGCAGGAGCCGCTAACAGAAGGACCCCCTGCCATACTGAGCTACTGGGGGCCATAGGCTGCAGTGTAGGATGGGGAATGATCTGCCCTGTTTGCCAGGGCCACCCCTCCACCTGAGCCCGAGAGACCTTTCTTCAGTTTCCCAAGCCTAACCTGTCTCTTGTGAAGCCTCTGCTCTTCCCTGGTTCTATGCTGATCATAGAGGACGAGTAAGGGTTTAAGCCTGTGAGTGACCATAGAGGACTTTTATGGGGTAAGAGGGAAGGTCCATTGGCTGTGAGAAAAGGCCAGAAGCTATTTCTATTAAGGAACAAGCACAAGGGCTAGAGAAGTTAATAAATATCTGACAGATACATCTGACATATAGTATGCTTCATACTGGGCTAGGCACTTTACATTAACTCATATAATTCTTTTTTTAAGTTTTTTTAAAATTTTTTATTTTATTATTTTAGAGACAGAGTCTTGCTCCATTCACCAGGCTGGTCTCAAACTCCTGGCCTCAACCAATCCTCCTGGCCTTGGCCTCCCAAAGTGCTGTTATTACAGGCGTGAGCTACCATGCCCAGCCCCGTATAATTCTTTTTAAAAAAAAAAAAACCTTCTTAAACATTTTATTTTTAATTGATAAATAATTATATATATTGGTGGGGGATACTATGATATTTTAATATATTTCTAAAATGTAGAACTCATAATAAGTTTAAGTGGTAGATATTTTAATCCCCATTTTCCAAATGAGGAAACATTAAGGCTTGTATAAGTTACTTGGAAAGGTCACACAGCCATAAAGCGTGGGGATGGGGTCCTCTGAGCTCAGTCTGAGCTGGGAGGCAGCCAGTCAGGACCCCTCCAGCCAGCCCCAAGGGCATGGTGACGTGTATGTATGTGTGTGGCGGGAAAGAATGAAGAGGATCTGGGTGTGCAGAAGGGTGGATGAGGGCAATGGGCTCTCTGGGACCTAGTCACAGACTATGGGACTTGACTAGGAAGCCCCCAGCCTGCCCATCCTTCTTGCCTGAAGAAAAGCCAGCAGGCTTGCAGCCCAGCTACAGAGGGACTATGTCTAAGAGCAAGGCATATTAATGTCTCATCCGTAAGAAAATGTTCATTTAAAATACAGCAGAAATGGCTGGGCACAGCGGCTCATGCCTGTAATCCCAGCACTTTGGAAGGCTGAGGTGGGAGGATCCCTTGAGCCCAGGAGTTCAAGACCAATGTGCGCAACATAGTGAGACCTCGTCTCCACAAAAAATACAAAAATTAGTTGGGCTTGGTGGCACATCCCCTGCAGTCCCAGCTACGTGGGAGGCTGAGGTTGGGAGGATCACTTGAGCCTGGGAGGTTGAGGCTATAGTAAGCTGAGAGTGCATCGCTATACTCTAGCCTGGGCAACAGAGGGAGACCCTGTCTCAAAACAAACAACAACAACAAAGCAAAACAAAACAAAACAATAAATCAGTCAATAAAATAAAATACAGCAGAAACCAACACAGACATGCTTCTTTCTCCCTCTACTCTTCTTTTCTAATGCAGAACCCTTGGAGAAATAACACAAGAGTGGATATATGGTTTTGGTCAGGGAAACATAGTTCTGGAAAAAAAGAAACAGAATTCCCCCCATGTTCCTTCTGCTTCTCCTATTCCTTCCTTTGTAGATGAAACCCAGCACTTGGAGTCAGAGATGTGAGTGGTCTAAACTCAGCCTTTGGCTCTATGTGTCTCCCCAAAAGTCCCTTTGTCAACCCAACCTTGTTTTTCCCAGCTGTAAAACAAGAGGTTTAGGTTGGATGCTCTCTACATAGTTTTCAGGGCTGATACTCTGTAAGTTTTATAAATTCCTTTTCTTTTGGAGTTTGAGGATAATATATTTACAGTGTTCAAGTAAAAGGGTAAGTTAAAACTCCCTGCTGTGCTTCTCTTGAGAAGAGATAATTAGCAGGAAGAAAAGGTTGAGGAAGGATGGGAAATAAATTTAAAACCTTTGGGTCCAGCCAAGATGCAAATTTTTTTAACAGAGGCAATGACATGCAAGGTTTCCCTGGCAAACCAGAGAATGAGAATCTGGGTTTCCCCCTCAGGCAGAATTGCAGACAAGCAATTAGGATAGAATTTGGCGCAAGGCCTCACAGTAAATTCATACACAAGTATCACTTATTTGAATCTTTTCATATAACTTGTAAATTCATACATAAGTATCACTTAATTGAATCTTTTAAATACTTTTCCCCTGATTTAATAGCAACACTCTCCAAATCTGGTGAGACTTATTCCTTTGTATGGGAGTCACTCAATCTGAGTTAAGGATCCGAAACATTGGTCTGGCTGCTGGTGGAGAATGGCTTGGGGATGGGGAAGGACAGAGGGAAACCAGGTAATGAGTTTGTAAGTATGATCCAGATGAGAGCTATCCAAATAGTGATGGATATAAGCAGCTAGAAAAGGAGAAGTCACGTCTTAATAACTGATTCAATTGAGGGAACCAGCTGATACCAAATCAGACTCAAAAATGGGGTGATAGGGTACATGAGATAGCAGCAGAGAAGGAAAAGCAGGTTGGCTTGGGAAGAGTGATGAATTCATTAAAGAGAAGAGAATTATCTTAAAACCCTGAGTATTTTGACTGCTTCCTGAAATGGTGTTATAAAACTTGACTTTTTCAACCATCTGGATTGTATTCATGTTCATAAACATTTATCAATACTAATCAGATGATAGGTAGGACGGTAGGCACTGAGATGACAAAGATGATGGCTCTCAGACTTGTAGTCAGTTATAAAATATCATGCTATTATTATAAAATTGTCAGCATGGACTTATTCTAAAAATTAGGGGTATTTCATGATACTGCCCATGGAATAAGTTTCCGATATCTCAGCATAGCATGCAGAGTGCTTGATCAACTTCCTCTCTTGTCGCTTCCTCATCACACTAGTCACTAGTCACCAAACCTGCCATGGCTTCCCGCAAGTTTTAGACTTTGCTCAGACTTCCTTAGCTCTCCTTTGCTAACTCGGGATACACCTGCTCATTATTCAAAACAAAATCCTCTGCTCCTGCAGAGCAGTTAGATGGTCATTCTCATCTGCCTAAAGCATTCTGTGCAACCCCTTCTAGGGCAGTTATTATGCTGAACTAGAATTGATTATTCACTTTGTTTCCTTGCAAGCACTTTAGACTCTATTTATCCTAAGTGCCTGGGACACAGTATATATCGCCCTCACTAGTCAACTTACTGCTTACTCTCCAAACTCAGAAACCAATTAGATTCAGATTGTGCAGAATTTGTCAGTTTCCAAACTTGCTATCCCAATTCATACTGTGTCAACCTAGAAATCAAATAGATTAGCAGGTGATATTTTGCTGAGTGCTTCAGTGGATGGGTAGCAGGAAAACAGGAACTGTATAAAATTCAGTGAGCCATGGGGCAATTTGGCATTGCAGAAGGGCTATGAACCCAGGGTTAGGGCTTAAACAGGGCCCGGCATACAATAAGTGCTTTATATGTTGGTTTTAGTGAATTACACATAATCCTTTATTAAATCCGTATCATAGGTTTTTCTAGCTTTCCAGCACTAAATTCAGAGTATTCCATGGCACCCTGTCCTGAACCCTAACAACTTTATTGATAATAGCAATAAATTATGAAAAAGAAACAGACTTGACACATGGCTTTTCACGTGCATAGATGTATGTTGCCCAAAGACATCAAGTTGAGAACTTCAGTGGAGGGTGTGGAAGCTGGGAAGATGTGTGAGGTATGAGTGTGAGTCCAGCCTGGCTCCACGATGGGGTCCCTACAGCTGGAGTCCAACACAGGCAACATAGACAACTTCCTTCCAGTGCCTCCTTCTGGAAGAGGCCAGGTCTCCATAATCCCTTCCCTTAGTTCATTTCCCTCTATAGTACTTATTATATTCTGTCTGCATATTATACATTTATCTGCTAACATATTTATTGTTTGGCCTCCCTCAAAAGAACGTCAGCTCTAAAAAATGAAAGAAAAATAAAAGCAGGGGCTTTGTCTTATCTGTTTTTTTTCACAGATGCATGTCTTATCCTGGAATATCATCTGGTACATATTATTACAATTTCTCCATTTTAATTATGTACATGGTAAATATCAATAGTTATAACCAACCTCAACAAAACCTATTTGGAGGCCTGAATAATTTTTATGACTGTAAAGGGTTTCTGAACCTGAAAGTTTGAGAACTGTCCTAGAGCATCCAGGCTCGTCAACACTCACGTAAAGCATGAAAATGGGCCATCCTCTGGGGAATTTATTTTTTTGAGACAGGGTCTTTCTCTATCACCCAGGCTGGAGTACAATGGCATGATCAAGGCTCACTGCAGCCTAGACCTTCCAGCTACAGTGTAGCTGGGACTACAGGCACATGCCACCATGCCCAGATAATTTTTTTTTATGTTTTATAGAGATGGTGTCTTGCTTTGTTGCCCAGGCTGCTCTGGGGAATTTCTGATCGGTTTCCACTTTCCACCAATTATCTGACTGCAACAACATTGTAACCATTCCAAGGTTATAATTACGAACTTCTCATTTTTATTTATTTCTCATTTAAAGACTGAGCTGGTTTTTTGCATAGTGTTTTTTTTTTCCTGTAATATTCCAAACTGAAAAGGATGGAAATGCTCTCAATTTCTAGCTGTGGTACTGCCATTTGCCTGTGTATAGTTAGAAAACACAAAGTCATTTTGATGTTTCCCCATGGATTCTTCCTGTGAAGTACATCTCATTTCATCCTGTTCTTTTTATCCTTTCTCAACATGTGATGGTCTAGGGCCTGCTTCCTGGACCTGAACTTTGCAGCAGACTTCTCACTGGTTCTTTGGTGATACTTCCTCAAAACTGTTAATCACACCAATGCCTGACTCACTGCTTTCATGTAGACATTTGCATATTTTAAAATCAGTCTTGATTGCTGCCTGTTTCCATGAGCATTGAGATGAAAAGCCTTATATGGGTATAACTAGAGGTCATAGTAGAGGGGTGAGCTTCAGAGCCAGACTTGGAACACCAAAGTGTTAAAGTGACCAGGCTAAGTTCCTAGGGACCTTGTGTACTTCTGCTTTCTCTCTTAGACATCTGCCTCCGTCATGAGGCCAGGCCAGGTTAGCCTCCTGCAGGAGCAGAGGCCATGCAGAGGACAACCCAGTCACCCCAGCTGAAGTCATCCTCACCCAGCTGTTCCTAGGCAACGTGCCACTGACTGCAGGTGCACAAGTGAGCCTACCCAGCCACCCTATGGACCCCTGAGAAATGATAAACGATTGTTGTTTGAACCCACTAAGTTTAGGCGTGGTTTGCTATGTAGCATTATTGTGGCAACAGATAACTGATACAGGGCAGGGTGGAGACTGTGAGTAGACACAGAGGCAGAGATGAATCTAGCATGTCTGGGGTGGTGCATACTTCTGTATGTGACAGGAATGTGAGGAGAAGAGATGGGCTGTGTGGAACTCTCTAAGCCACAGGTTCTTCATCTGAAAAGGAGCTGTAATAGTGTCGACCTAGCTTGTTGGTTGTTGTGGTCATCAGACAAGACATCAGATTTAAGGGCTGAATGCTATCTCTGGCAAATAGTTCCCTCCATTTTCAAATAAACGATTCCTTCAGGTCAGAAAAGATTGATTCTCTACTCTGTTCCAGGCACAGCATAAATGACTCAGGCATGCATGAGGTATATTTTATGTTTTCAGAATAGCAGGTGAGATGGACAGAGCACCAGACAGATAGGGATAGGCAGCAGCGGCACGAGATGCTGAGGGATACTCAAAGTTGCTGTGTTCAATTGTTGGCTTCTTATCCACTTTTATGATAAAAGTAAGCACAACACATATAGCGGATACCATATTCATAGTTTTTATTTAATTCGTGAGTATTACTTTCATACTTAAACCAAAGAGAGCTAGGCTGGCGGGGGTCAGGTTGTAAAGGACTTTCTTTATATGTTATTTTTGGGGGGGTTGCTTTACCCTACAGGTTTCAGTTGCCATGGAAGGGGATAAAGCAGTGATGTGGTAACTCTGGCAAGATTACTCTGTGGCAATATAGGATAAAGCCCTGAAACAGGGAGAAATGGGAGGCAGGAAGGTCAGCGAGGAGGCTTTCATAGGAATCAAGACTAGAGATGGTGAGAGAGCAGTGCAGGTGGAAAGAGTACACTTGAGAGAGATTCACAAGAAAAAATCTACTGGATATAGTGACCTGTCAGACGAGGGCCAAAGGGAAGATTTCTAGCCCAGGAAAGTGTGTGTGTGACTATTCTGTTAACTGAGCAAAAAGTGGGGAAAACACAGGAGTTTTATTGTTTGAAAGTCAATGAAGAAATGGCAGGGAACTAAAAAACAGGAGGGTAGGGAAAGAAAATTGGACCTTCTTGGCCAGAGTTTAAGAATCTAAAACCAGCCTGTTTGTAAGTAGGAATCATCATCAAATAGAAAACTAACATGGTCTTCATACTGTGACCCATGATAAGATCAGGAACAGCTAGAACTTCTGGGCCCAGGCACCTACTCTCAACAGAAGGCTCCTACCTCATGTGCCTCCCTGGCAGTCCTGGAGATGGCTTCACTGAGTTCAGCCTGTCTCTTCTGTGCCCCCTCAGCCTCCCCTACTGCCATTCTGCTCTGCACCCTGTGGCCAGAATGCACCTCCTCTGAGCCCCGACACTCCCATGCTTATCACTGCTCCGCAGACAGCACAATGGGAGAGGTGAGGGTGTGCAGGACCCAGCCTGTCTGGGTCAAAGTGCAGCTCTGCCATCTATTAGTTGTGTGACCTTGGACAAATAACCTATCCTTTCAGTGTCTTTGTTTTCTCATCTATAAAACGGGAGATAATATACAGTACCTATCTCACAGGGTTATCGTGAGTATTGCATGACATAGTCCAGTGAGATAGGTAAAATGCTTAAGGATTATGTGTGGTACATAATACGCATTCAGTAATATTAATTGCCATTGTTCACATTATTCTGATTCCCTACAGCTTGCAAGTGTGAACTAGTTTAACACAAAGGAGCTTAGCTCATGTCTGGTTCTTTCATCACCTCTCTACAACTTCCTCCTTCACCTGAGCTCCATTGAACAACTTGCTCCACAAACACACTGAGCCCAATTATGCCTTTGTGCTGCCACATGCTGTTTCATTTTCTTGAAATGCCTATTACTTTATTCTCCACTTAATTAGCTCTTTTCCATGATTAAAACTCAGCTTGAGGGCTACTTTCCAGATTCCATAATCCCCCCATCTACATGGCAACCCTGACCATATCTACTTAATGCCTGCCCCCTGTGCTTTTGTGACACCCTATGCATCCCTCCATCAGAGCCATCATCATTCCAGATTTGTCTGGACAGCTTCTCCCCTTGGCCATAAGCTTTTTGAGGACAAGAATGTTACCCTGTCCAACATTCTATCTCTAATGCCTGGCACAATGCCAACATATTTCTAGAATTCAGTTGGACATTTGTTGAATAAATAAATAAGTTATAGCAAGAATGAATGGATGTTCAGGGCACCTGGAGCCACAGTTAACCCTCTGTGAGAATCCGTAGTGATGGGACTGAAGGTATCCTCATAGCCCACAGACCTTTCAGATGGATAAACAAAAGAAGTGCTATGTACGTGGGCCTTTCTGAACCCAGCACAGTGACCCATGGGTATTACCTTTCCAAGGGAAAGCACAGGTTAAGCTGTACTCTACATGCGCCTCCAATGTTGCCATCCCCCTGAATACCGAAATAGCTGGGTGCACGCAGGCACACGTACACACACGTGCACACACACACCTGTACTTACACCTGCATTTATACTTTGAATCCCTTCTTTTGTGGTAAACACATCTGTTGCAAATTAGTTATACCTCTTTTAATATTTTGTTCCACTCATGACAAACTAATGGACCTTGAGAGTTGGCAAACAGATACATTTTATTTGGTTAATAGTGGGGATTTTTGTTTAGTTGTCTTGCTTTTAATGGTTTTGAATATGGGTCATGCACACTTATAAAACCTGGACAGATCCCAGAGGCTTCAAATATGCTGCAACAGACTTTCTTATTTGAAACGTGATCTAACAAAAGATATGAGTTATTTAATTCGGCAGGGTGAAGGTTACTTGAGGTAACTTTTTGTGCACCCTTGCAATAAAAGGAACTGGACGACAACAGGAAATAAAATAAAATCTGCTATAATGGCTTGTTTTGACTGCCTTGAGAATTTTTCTTTACAAACTATTTACAAGTTAAAAAGAAGTTAATACTCGTATCCATACAAGAATGCTGCCTGTGGAATCTTCCAAAGAGTATCAGTTGGATAAATCTTCCAAAGAGTATCAGACACCAAGATTAAGACACCACTTAATCTTGGTGTCTGAGGGAATGATTCTTTGTCATAAATTATCAAGTGCAATGCAAAATTTTATTTTAATAATAGTTATAGTTCCAAAGACTTGGAATAATTTTAAAATATAAGTTAGATTATATTCAAATAGTGTTCACTCCTTTGCATCCTACATTGTGTATGTGTGTAAATGAGAGAAGAAGAGAGGGAAGGAGAGTGGGAAAGTGGGAGAGACAGAGTTAAGATTCTAAGATTGTACCTACCCGCAAAACATCCCTGAGTTGAAACCCTCATGTGGACGTCATTTGGGGATAATCTCTGAATAAAGGCTGAAGATACAAGAGCAGCTCTCTAGGGAATGGCTTAGTTATAGAACAATTTTATCTTATTATTCTCAGTACTTGGCCCTTAGTAGTTGCCTGAATAATATTCCTAAAATAAGTGAGAACCATTAAGATTAGTACTAGAATTTCCTGGAAGTCTCCTGAGATACAAGGTTAAATTTTCCAAGGAAGTTGCATCATCTATTCTGTAGGGGTTTACAAACTCTCCAAGACAATGCGTACATATGAATGAAACCCTCTGATCTGACCTCTGGCAATGCCTTCCTAGCCCATAATCCCATGGTTTTTGCCCACAGAAAGGTGCTAACTTGAGTCTTCAGGATTTTAATGGAAGGTCTGTAACTGGCACAGTCTCTAGAGGCCATGGTTGGAAGACAGGAAGATCAGAGTCTTCCAGGAAGAAGGTGGGTGCAGGTAATTAGTAGCACCAGCTGAGCCTATCAGACTAAAGCATTGTGATAGGCAGATTTCTTAAACAATCCCCAGGATTTTTACCCCCTGGTGTACATGCCCAGTGTAATTCCCTTCCCTTGAGTGTGGGCAGGACCTGTGAGTGTATGACAGGACAGCACTCTGTGATTGCATTACATTGTAAGACAAAGGTGAAGGAATTTTGCATATACAGATAAGTTTCCAAATCAGTTGATTTTGAAGTTATCAATAGGAAATTATGGGTGGGCTGGCTGAATCACATAAAAGCCCTGAAAAGAGGGACTAGGCGCTTCCTAAAGAGAAGCACTCTCCATCTACTTGAAGGAGCAATAGCTGTGTTGTGCAGTGCCTATGGCAAGGAGAGGCTGTAGGAGCTGAGGGTCCCAGCCCTACAAGTACCAGCAGAGGACCCAGCTAAGCCATGCATGGACTCCTGACCCACAGAAACTCTGAGGTAGTAAATGTGTAGTTTTAAGATGCTAAATCTATGGTAATTTGTTGTATAGCATGAGAACTGATATAGGCATAGTTACTAACAGAAATGGCAAAAAAGCAGGAGTGTGCATAATATATACAATACAAAACAGTGCCTAACGGGAATAAATTGACATTCCAAAGTCTACTCCTAGATAGAGAACCTCTAAAAATAATAAATCGAGGAGACACTAATCACACCGTTGTGATTGTTTCTAGGTTTGTCTTCCCCTAAACTAAGCTCTGCAGGGGCCTCTGCCATTGTTATTTCTTCTGTAAACAATTTCTGTGGCCTTCTCCATGGGAGGACATGACCTAGGCTCTGTGAATGCAGAAAAGAAGATGTCAGTATGTTTGTGGAATGACTGAGGAGTTGAATACATACAGACTTGTGTGGTCGGATATGTGAGATGCTCCCTGGGAGGACTGAATGAATTGCTCCAGGAGCATTATAGGCCAATCTGCCTGGCAGCCCCCTCACCTCTATCCTCACCCTCATAGGTCTTCACAAAGAATTCACAGCATTTTTGAGTCATAAAGGATTGCTAGGAAAAAATATATAAATATATATTAATTATATATAATATATATTTTAATACATATATACACACATACATAAAAATATGTATATGTATATTTAAACTGCATTTGGGTAAGTTATGGGAGAAGGAGCTGGAGATCAACTTGCATCACTTTGTAAAGGGCCTTTCTTATGTAAAAGAAAGCTAGGAGATTTGAATGGATTTTTTTGTTGTTGATAATTGATGGTAAATGACGAAAATACATTCTACACAGAGGAGAATTATGATCTATTTTGTGTTGTGGAAGGTCTGCATGACAGGAGGCAGACTGTGGGAGGCAAGAGAAGTGGTAAGGAAGCTACAGCAGGATGCAGACATGTCCTACTCAGTCCTCCATCCCTGCAGTGCAGCACAGGGCCCATCCAGTAGTGGGAGGCAACAAGTATTGGCTGATTTACAAACCAACACAGCATCAAATGTGAGCTCCAGAGGCAACAGACATGGATGTAGCAATCTCTGATAGGTTCAGAAATAAGTTTTCATATACCACAGAGCTAGGAGAGGGGATATTTCAGAACTACCAGATCTGAGGGGCAGAGGATGGGGGTTGAAAAAGCAAGTCCAGTCTCAGGACCTCCACTGAGCTCTAGCTGGAATGGGAAAGGGTAGTCTCAACACCTGGTGGGCTGAGAGTATCCAGGGACCAGAAACAGCTCAGGGATCCAATTCAGCACCACTATTCAGACTTAGCGTCCTGCCTGAACCCCCAGTGTGAGAGTTCGGACACATTCTAGCTCAGGCCACATTAGCACCCAGTCCTCTCCATCAGCTTTTTAGGAAGCCCCTGTTCATCCTCTTTTGACCCATTTCCTTCCCTCACTCTGTGCTTACCGCCAGCTTCTCC
The DNA here is from genome assembly GCF_000001405.40 of Homo sapiens. Lineage (NCBI taxonomy): Eukaryota > Metazoa > Chordata > Mammalia > Primates > Hominidae > Homo > Homo sapiens. Next base: position 7,490,280 of record NC_000011.10, on the reverse strand, counting down.
CTCTTTGAGGATGATTCATCTCAGGACAATGTCAGGGCCAAAAAGGATTGCTTACTTGACCCATTGCTTCATATTATAGGCAGGGCACCCTCCTCTCTTTCTTCTGACTCAGGGATAAGATGTTTTTTGGTTCCCCGCCCCCCCCCCCACCAAAGCCTAACTAACCCCTCTGCCTGTGTTGACAATCCCTACATCTACTCATTTATTTGTTTTAATTGTTTAATTACTCACTGAAAACTATTTATTGAATAGACCCCATTCTAGGCACTGGAGACACAGCATTGAACATGAAACTGGGGTTCCAAGCTCTCATAGAGCTGACATTACAGATAGGGAGGTAGGAAATAACCTATGAGCCAATAAATGAACTAAATGGTTTCAAAATTATAAATGGTCTGAAAAAAATTATAGAGTAATAAGTGCTCCCAAACTCCTTTTGAGTTTTCCATCTCAGCATATTTCATACCAACCATTCGATGACCTAAGCCCAAAACCTGGGAAACATCCTGGACTCATCTCTCTCACTCATCATTTAGTTTTAATTAGCAGTCAGAAAGCCATGTGGATTCCAATTCTCAATGGCTCTCAAATCCACCTGTTCTCTGTCCCATGACACTTAATGCCAACACTATTACTTGTTGCCCAAATCATTGCAGCATTCCCTGACTGGTCTCCTCTCTCTAGTCTTAGCCTCTTCCTTCGTATCATGCCCTTGTTTAAAATTGCTCAATGGTTCTCTATAGTTTCTCCAGTGAGCTTCAACTTCCTTCATCTAGCATGCAAGGTCTCTCATTAACTGGGTCCTGCTGAGCTCTTCAACCTAGTTTCCCTACTGTCACCTCTCTAAAAAGCTTTCACTCAGCCATATTTGCGGGTCTACATGTCAAGGTGCTACAGTACCCTCATGCCTTTGGTATATTGTGCCCTGACTTGAAGTACCCTCTACTCATTCGTTTCTAACTTCTTTGTTCAAAACTGAGACCAAGTGTCACCTCATTTAGGAAGACCCTTTTCCTTATAGTGACCATGAAGTTCTTAGAAGGATTACATTGAGAAGGTATGTGAAACTTTTAGCACAATGATGGCACTCAGCTTATATGTCATTTCCCTGATGGAGGTTCTTGAATTGGAACAGACGTAATTAGCATGTAAATAAAGTCTTCCTATTTGCAATGAAAACATCTCAGAATACAAACCCTGAAGTGGGAGATTTGTCTCCCTCATTGTTTTAATGAAATAGACTCGGGCACAGAAAATTTTTCTTTGTCATTTGTGTGTTTATTGCCTGATACTGTTTATTATAATTTGAGCTGCTACACATTATTCTTAATGGCTTGGAAGTGATTCTGATGGATCACAAGATTAGACCACATCCCATGCATATCACCATCTCAGACAGCACACACAATAGTGATTCACTGCAGTTCCCATCCCTGAGGGTTGGCTGTTGCCATTTCCAATTTAAGACTGTTTCTTGGTACATTTGCAGATGCTATCTACAGCCTGGGTACTGGATGTAGAATCCACCAAACTGCTACTTTCCCTGAAAAAATCTGGGACCACACATCTCCACCAAACCAAGATTTATCAGGAGGTAGTCTCTTTGGGCTGACTTTTGGCACTATAGCCTTCACCATCTATGGAGGCTTTAGGCACTGTGTGTGAAAGAAAGAATGGCTTTGCGAGAATGGATTTCTCTTTGGACACCTGTTCTCTGTATAGCTTTCTCTCTCAGCAATGCACACAAAAGCACACCTCCAATTCTTACTCTCATTACTCTATGATGCTCCCTGACTGCTCTGAGTCTGTGTGTTTCTGAGCATAATAGTCCCTAGAAGGGCTAGGAAAAGATGCAGTTTTCTTACTTGCATTCAGCAGAGTCCGGATCTTTTTCTCTTCTTCAGCTTCTTGGAGCAACATTTCTGCCAGTGTCTTGTCCTCTGATTCGATGCACTCGTCAGCCTCTCGAAGGTATTGTATGTAGTCAATCTCCCGTTGGGCACGTTCAACTCTCAGTGCCAAGTTACCCACTGCACTCTTGTACTCACTTGTGTAGGTCTGACATCTTCCCAGCATGACAGATATATTTTTTGAGAACTCTTGGAATTCTTGAATGTATGCCCTCGTTGCTTGGGTACATTTTTCCAGCCCTTGCTTCAGTCAGAAAATAAATTTGCAAATTATTGCTTGTTATTTAAATTACCCAAATAATATAAATACCTATCATTTATAGAAAAGGATTAGAAAATTACACATCATCAAATAGGGGAAAAATTGAAATCTCCCATAATTCCTAAATTCAAAGGTAGTATTGATACTTGAGTATATCAGTTTTTAAAAGTTTTCCCAAGCATTTAGTCATACATATGTAAATATATATTTTTAAAATGTGATTTTACTATATGTTTTGTATCATCTTTTTCACTTGCAGATATATTGTGAACATACTTTGATACTAATTAAAGTATACCTATACCATAACTTTAATGAGAGCATTCCATTTAATTGATATCCCATTATTTATTCTGTTAGACTCTTTTTGAGGTACATTTACATAGTTTTTAATTTTTTGTCATTCAAACAATGCTGAGAAAAAAACTTTTTATTTACATCTTCATCAGATTATTAAGGGAAAAAAAAACCTTTGTATTTACATCTTCATCAGATTATTTTAAGGTAGATTTCCAGAATATCCGTCCCTAGCACTTGGCACAGGGCCAAGCACATAATACTATTCAATAAATATTTGCTGAACAAAAGAATAAATGAATGGAAATGGGATTGCTTGGTCAAAGAGAATGTCTACTTAAAGCTCATTTGGCATGGTTTATCAAAATTCTATCCACAAATGTAAAAATGTATGCTCCAAACAACAATACGTAAGGCTGTTTATTTTGAAGGGAGAAAGACAGAAAGAGAGACCCAAAATAATTCCCTAAATCCCTACCCTCTTTTTTCCTACCCCTCCGACACTGGCTTCTCAGGCTGGGAATGCTATCACTGTATTGTTAAGTGTCTGCGCTGGCCAACAGTGACTGCCACCTGCGACTTGGCTTCACCTCAGGTCAGGACTGGGGTGGGAAGATCTATACAGATCATATCCTTGTCTTTTTCAAATCCACATTCATAGCTATAAAAGGATCAGTCTGTACTTCATACCCTTGACAAGTTCTTAAGGTAGTGAAAGACAATTTGCAGGGATTTGGCTGGCTTTACTCCCAAGGCAAGTCGGTGCTAAATGCAGAGGGATCCTGACTGAGCATCATTCTGGCACTTCTAAGGAGGTGAGGCTCAGGAGGGAGCAAGTGAAGAAGCGCAAGAGGCCGCTCGTCTGGGAACACTTCATCCACTGCCTCCAGGCCCCAGCCTGTTGGCTGGACGCCCTTAGGAAATGCATTCGGCCTGCTATGTGGAATTACTTTACCCTGACTATAACTAGAAGAACATATAATTTGGACATGAAGATTTTTCAGGAAAATGTATAAAATAATTATTAGCAATAAGAGGGTCTTTGAAAGAAGATAAATAATTTATCAATTTAGCTTGTACAAAAGCAAGCCATTAAGTATGAATAATCAATGCCAGGGTGTGGCAAAGGCTAGGGTGGAGGGTTACATTTGTCCCTGGGAGCCTGTCCAGGCTGCCAAAATGTTGGGTTTTGCACATTTTAATGAGGTGGCAGCCCAAATGCATTCTTTCTGTTTAACTTGGCTGAAATCTGCTCACTTCTAAGTCTAAATCCAGTTCAGCAAAAGAAACTAAGACTTCTCAGTACATTGATATCATGACTTTTTACAGTGACCTAATGGTTTATCATAAAAGACAAAACGAAAAGCTGAAATCCATTATCAGCCTGAAACACTAAAACATGAAGAAAAAGTAACCAACATTTTTAAGTTTCATATTTTAAAAAATGAACTATGGTGAATAATAACATTTTAGATACATACCATTATGCCAGGCAGTATTTTAGCTATGGATTAAATCTTCAGGATAGCCTTACAACATAAATTCTACTATTATCCCCATTTTACAGATGAGACAAACTGCCAAATCAGAGCACAAAGTGCAACTGTGCTTAAGGTCTGGAAGTAGCACACTGGACTCTGGAGTTCGGCTCTAAACTGCCAGACTATGAGCATTTTAAAGTGTAACTTTGGCAATGTGTCATTTGCTATCTGGGAAAAATACAACCCAGTAGATAGAGAAGCATGGGTAAAAATAAGGTACTTCTGGGAAGCCTGTTACTTATCCAAGGTGTACAGATGCCACCTACCTCCAAGACTCGAAAGCGCTGGTAGATGTAATGCACCATGGCTGGGTCCTGGGTACACTGCGGCGGGGGCAGAAAAGCTGCAAGGAACAGAACCAGCAATGCAGAAGCTCCTCGAAGGGCCACCATCATCCTGCAAAACACCAAGCAGGGCAGTCTCTTATGCTGTGGCTCTTCTCAAGGATGTCTCAAGGGCTCCGGTGGTGCTCTCCTGCTCTATCCGCTGCTGTGGCAAATCCTCTAAAAACAGCGTTTTGCACAGCAGAGAGCAAAGTCCGCTTGTTATTCCACCCGATACGTGAGCTCAGTTTGCCAGCTAGTGATCAAGTCCAGCTGTTGGCAAGTTGGTCCCTGAGGCCTTGTAGACTGACCTGTGGCAGAGAGCTCCCTGGGTCCAGCATCTGTTGCCCTCACCCTTGACACATGCGGACCCTCCCCAGGCTAGTGGTTGCAAGCTGCTTCCTGGCTTAATTGTGTGTGCATTGGGGTGGGGGGTGAAGATGGCTTCCCCCCGTTCCCTTCCCCCAGCTATTTCCTTTTTACTTTTGCTTTCCTCCTCCCTAGTGGATTCTGCAGTCCAATCGCAGGCCTTCCCCAACACAAACCACCCCCAACTTTTTAAAGTTGGACTCTCAGTTTAGTTTCTGGCAAAAATTCCCAGGATCCTTTTCCAGAAGTCCTATTGGGAGACCCCACCCCTCATCCAGACTCCCTTCACATTCCTGCAGCTCTTAAAGGCACAGCCAGGAAAAATAAACATGGATCTACCACTATCTCTGAACAGCCAGTGCACAGGGCTACATCGCCCCTTGGGCAGAAAGGTACAATGGGCTACAGGCCTGGCCATCCAGGCTGTCAGCTGAAACATCTCAGGATGGAGCTGAGAATAATTTGATTAAGAGGAACAACAACAATCATTGATACAGTGATGCTTCCAGGGTCAAGCCATCAAAAAGTGAAACGCCTTTGTAAGGAAATCCTTGAGTTTTCTCAATCACTGGAGGCAGAATTCCCTTCATGTAGCTGCAGGCCAGAAATATGTAGGACTAAACTCCTGCAGGCCCTGGTCCAATTGAAGATAAATTATAACCCTAGGACAAGGTGGTAAAATCTTTGAATTTGTCTGTGCAGTCCAGCCCTCTTCTTATCTCAACCTGCCTTTCCATGGGAAAGGCCAGGACGCCTTGGGGTTCTTTCTCAATCACCTGCCAAACTGAGAAAGGCTGGGGCATCTATGGAATGTGAAAAGAATGCTCTCCAGGAGTCAGAAGGCCTGTGTTTCCATTTGGTCCTCACAAGAGACGCTAATAGATACCTTTATCAAAACATTTCACGTACCCCATAAACACCTACTATGTATCCACAAAATTTTTTTAAAAGAGACACATAGACTGAGAATTTTCCACTGGTGGTCCTTAAACTTCCTTATGCCCGGTAATATTTCTCCCCACCCTTCTTCCATATGGCCACAGCTCCTAACTATTCCTCCTCACCCTCTCGGTAAAAATCCCAAACAGTAGTTCATCATCCTTAGAAACAATTCCTCATATTTCTTAGAACCATCTTTGCACTATTCCCTAAACCAGTTGAACTTCAGCTGACCCTGCCTCCTAAATCCTTATTAAAAATTCTGTCTGGCTCACGCTGCTTCTCCAAGTGAGAATATTCTCTCTGAAATTACTCATGCCTAGCATTTTTGAATAAAGTCTTAAGGGTGCTCTAGTTGATTTACTTCCACAAATGCCTCAAGTCCTAACTCTGAGACTGTGAACTAAGATGGATAAGGTCCAGTGGAGGAAAACTCTGATTGTATCTAATTAACTTTTCGGTGGTGGTGGTGTGGGTAGTTCTTTCCTGGGTTTTCTAGAGCATGCTTACATTACTTTTTCAATGAAATACACATGCCATACTTACAGAGTCTAAAGAATTACTGGAGAGTCTGTAAGGGGGAAATGCAGTGGGAAGCCTCGGTTGCAGCAGAAGTCCTTGAGGTGCTTTCAGGGCTGCTGTTGCTCTTATCTCTGTGGAGTGGGCTCCAAAGAGGTTGGCTCAGGACTGGCAGGCACCATCTCTGCCCACCAGTGATTCAGGCCCAGCACCACTTTCTCTGCGGTCACCACCTTCTTCAGAGGGACACTCCTGGCCTCTCAGCTCTGACTGCCCACACCTGGTCTTAACTGGAGAGCTTCATTTACTTTTTGTAATCCCAAACAGGGACAGCAAATCTCACAGCTGGAACCCATAACCCATTAGGATTGATGACCCATAGTTCAGAACCAGAGTGGAAACTCTCATATTCTCGTGACCAGAGGTTTCATAAAGAAAAACCAAACTCACTTTGGAGACAGACCCAGCCTTGACTCGCAGTGGCCTACTGAAGCCATCTTTATTAGAACAGTCCCTCCTCAGTGGGTGCCGGGTGGATAAGGGTGAAAAAGATGGCCTGCCGCACCTAGACCTGCAGCTGGACGAAATCAGTTAGCTCCACTGTCTTCATTACACGTAACCTCTGGCCTTGACCGTTGCTATTACTAGCCAGGACAGTGGACAAGCACAGTGACTTCTCTTTTCTCCTCTGCAAGTGTCTGATCCTTCCGCTTTTCTACCCCGGTATCCTGAGAGGGGAAATAAGCTCCTTTATATCCACCACTATTTCCTCTGTGTGGTTGGATCCAGGTGACTGGTCCTTAATCTATAAGCCAGGCCTGAGCTGACTGTTTTCTCTAAATGAGAAGGAGCCGGATATATCAATTCTCTCATCCCAGTTAGCCCCCTGAAGCTGATCACATCCAGATCTCCAGTTCCTTTTGGAAATTTTTGCTGCCTTCATCCCTCTTGGCTCCATTTGCTGCTGTGCCTCCACGTTAACCGACCTTCTGATATCTAGAGCCTTCTCTGCTTCCAGTACTCCCTCACTTTGCTGAGAGATGCTAGTCAACTCCAGCAAAGTCTGGAGGAGACTTTGCCTTTTTGAGGATGCAGAACCCCAGTCAACAGAATCCCTTCTGGGATATTGGAATTCGTCATTTAGATATGAACAGGATGCCTCCTCCTTCTGTTTTTTTTTCTCTTTGCCTCTATTTTTCCCTTTATCTTTTGCTTGTCATACCTCTCCTGCTTCCCCCTTCCTGATAGTTATTTGCTGTAAGTCATCTTCAAATCTTCCAACCTTTTACCAAGTTAATTGCATTGTTTCCTGCATGAGTGATTGGAACAGCCTCTAATTCCCTATCTTCATCTCTTTAGATAAAGTGTTGGCTGATTTTATGCCAAAATGAAAGCTTTTTACCGTATAACCTCGGTCAACCTTTCTTCCTTCAACAATTGGCATCTACCACATTCATCCTCCACAACAGCCACATCTAATTGTCTCCAAGCTCCCCATGAAATTTAACATGTGGTATCTTTGCTTATGCAGTTTCCTCAGCCTGAAAGGTCTCTCCCCTTTGTAACTAGTGAATTCTTCAAGTCCTCCTGCCACCTATTTGACCCCATTCCAGGCAGAATAATACCTGTAACATGTTGAATCCTGAATCTTGGAAATTTGAGGGGAAGGCTAATCTGGGCATTGGTGCTTGGTGAGAGCTGTGGGCTTGCTGCCTCTGGGACAGACAGCACTGTGGAAGGGGAAAGAGAAGAAACATAGAACTATTAGGGGCTGAAGTGTGTTGCCCCCAGATTCATATGGTAGAGCCCTAACCCCCATGACTTCAAAATGTAATTATATTTGGAGTTAGGGTCTTCAAAAAGGTGTTTTAGTTAAAATGAGACAATCAGGGTGGACTTTAATGTGACTGGTGCCCTTATACAAAGAGGAAATTTGGACCAGGAATGTTAGTGCACAGAGAAAAGCCCATATGAGGACACAGCAAGAATGTGATCATCTGCTAGCCAAGGAGAGAGAGCACATAAGAAATGAAACCTGCCCACACCGTGATCTGGGACTTCTGGCTTTCAGAACCATGAGAAAGTAAAATTCTGTTGTTTAAGCTTCTAGTCTGTGGTATTTTGTTATGGCAGCCCAAGCAAACTAATACATATTATATCCCTAGTGTGTTCCAGGAACTGGGCTAGGCACTAGGGTTACAATGATGGACACAATAGACATATTTCTTACACCCTTAGAAGATGTAGTCTAGGCTGGGCGTGGTGGCTCACGCCTGTAATCCCAGCACTTTGGGAGGCCGAGGCGGGCGGATCATGAGGTCAAGAGATTGAGACCATTCTGGCCAACATGGTGAAACCCCATCTCTACTAAAAATACAAAAATTAGCTGGGCGTGGTGGCGCACACCTGTAGTCCTAGCTACTTGGGAGGCTGAGGCAGGGGAATGGCTTGAACCCAGGAGGTGGAGATTGCAGTGAGCCAAGATTGCACCGCTGCACTCCAGCCTGGCGATAGAGAGAGACTCTGTCTCAAAAAAAAAAAAAAAGATGTAGTCTAGCAGGGGAGATAACACATGGATACATAAATAGAATGCATTATAATTTGTCTAATTAAGCATTGATGAGGTAGTACTAAATGTCATGACAACATAAAGGCAGAGCACCTGAGCTTGGTGAATCAGGAGGACTTCCTAAAGGAGGTGACATCTTAGCTGAGACTTGAAGGTGAATAGGAAAAAGGTAGGAAATGCTCTAGGGAAAAAGAAATAGCTTGTGCAAAAACCCATACAGCAGAGAGAGCTCAGCGGACTTGAGGAACTGTTAAAGTTCCATATGAATTTTCTATGTCCGAGTAATGTTGCTGGGAGAGTACTGTAGGTCAGACTCTCCAGGAAACAGAGTCTGAGACCAATTTACATGCATGATGTTTCTTCAGGTGTGCTGTCTGGAACACCTGTGGGGAGTGAAGGATGCATGACTGGGCAAAGAGAGAAGTTAAACTGCCATGCAGTTGCAACACAGGCCTCAACTGATCCCATGAGGGGCTCTGGAGATAGGAGGGCCCATCGGATATGTCCCAAATTGAGGCAAGGAAACCAGACCTTGGCACTCCCGCATCAAGCAGTCATTGGATGAAAGCTGTGCCCAAGGAGGGAGAGTAGATAATCTTGAGTGAGGCACTTTTCTTTGGATGAGGGCAATTCCTGGAAAGGGACTCAGCTGTGAGTTGTTAATAGTTTGCACAGCTGGGAAATGAATGTCCTCCTAAAGAGTAAATTTGGGAGATGCATCAGTGTCTACTTCAGTAGGTTAGGCAGAAGCCAGACCTTGCCAAGTTTGTAGGACATGCCAAACATTTTAGGTGTATGGTAAGAACAGTGAGACAGCAATTAGAGTTTCAAGTGAATAACACATAAATAGATGTGTGTTTACAGAGGTCTCTCTTGAGGCCAGGTGAAGGACGGATTGGAGGGCAAGACTAAATTCAAGGTGGGAGATGGATTAGGAGGCTGTGAGAATAATCTGAAAAGAGAATGATGAGGGCCAGAACTAGAGTTGTGACAGTGGAGAGAGAGCTAACTGGTTGCCTCTGAGAAATATTTAGAATGTAGAATTGCCAGAGCTTGGTTAGTGATTGAATGAGAGGCAAGAGAGGGAGTCAGGTTGATGGCCAGATCCTGTGTTGTTTACAACAGGCTCCCTTCTGACCCCTTCAAGTCTAGTGTCAGCATTGTAGCCAGAGTGAGGGAGCCAGTATGCAAACCTCATTGTGTAATTTCCCTGCTTAGGAGCCTTGATTGTCTGCCAATTCCTTCCCAAGAACATGTAGATTTCTCAGGCTCAGGGAAGTCTTTGCAACTACATCTAAGCTAAGATCTATAACGTGAGTAATCAATAGGCAAAGGAGGAGGGAGTATGTGTTACATTCCTTATGGAGGGAGACACACACAGACAGCCCTTTAAAGGTTGCTCTGAGGCCGAGGCAGGAGGATTGATTGAGCCCAGGAGTTTGATATCATCCTGAGCAACAAAGTGAGACCCCATCACTATGAAAAATCACAAAATTAGCTGGGCATGGTGGCATGAGCCTGTGGTCCCAGCTACTTTGGGAAGCTGAGATAGGAGGATTGCTTGAGCTGGGGAGGTAGAAGCTACAGTGGACTGTGTTCGCACCACTGCACTCCAGCCTGGGAGAAAGAGTGAGACCCTATCTCAACAAAAACAAAAAAACAAAACAAACAAAAAAAGTAGCTCTGACCAGCGAGGCTCCCTGTAAGCATTGAACATTGAGCATTGCCTCTTCCAGTTCCAATCTCGGCCGCCTGCTTTTTTTGCAATGTATCTCCTACTCAGTTTTGCAGCCCTGTTTGATCGCCCTTGCCTAGACTAACACCTGAACCAACGGTACTTTTCTTCTTGGCCTGGGCTTATGTCTGCCTCCAGAACTGGCCCTTTATATAATTCATCCCTCCCCCACCTTGCAACCAGGTTGTATTACCTGATGGCCTCTTTGAAAGACACCTGGAAGTTTGCATGGATGCACGTAAGTTCCTCAGCCCTATTATTGGGGCCCACTTAATAGATTTTAGTACAGACCCCAAATCATATATTTTTGAGGGGCTCAATTGTCTCTAGCCCTTAGCAAACTGGAGAGATTTGAGGTGATTTCTCTAGTTCAGCCTATCCCACATACCTGTGAAGACAAGGCTCTTGGTAATGTTATATTTACAAACCATGCGATACTGTGGATGTGTCATCTCATTTCTCTATGAGACAGTCCTCATAAATAAATTTTCAGAAAACATGAGATTCCTTTTCCCTTGGGAAAATGCCAAAACATTTTTTATACTTGACTTTAGCCAAAAGGTCAAAAAGTGATGCCAAAACATTTTTTAACTTTAAATATTTTAATGGAAATCTTCCCAAGCGTGTTTCAAACTTACTTTTTCAAAGTCATTTCTTAATGTCGTAAGATGACCATATGGATATCAGCTATTGTATCATGTATAGGGACCTTTCAGAGATTATTAAGTATATAGAAATGTCTGCCTTGGTACTTACTGGCTAAGGAAAACTAGGGATTTTGAGTTCCTGTGTCTGTTGTTATATTTTCTGTCTCCCTTTCCCTGTCTCTGTCCAATCTTTGTAAATAAAGGAAGCTAATTCTCATGCTAAGACTCTGAGCAGATGAAAAAGCCCTGTTTGGCATTAGGTTTAGACTTATGCTTCAGAAATCATTTGAGGCTGCCCCCTATTTTGCTCACTCAGCTGCTCTCTGTCTCTCTCCTGGGATCATAACCTGTTTCCATGACTTGCCTTGGCTCTCCTGTGTAGCAGGATCTAGAACTGGATGTGGGTTTGTTATTCTGCTTCACTTCAGCCCCTTCCAGATCATGGCCCCTGGACTGTCTCCTCCAAGTTCATGGGTCTTAGCAATGAGTAGGGGACACACCACCTCATGACTCCAGTAGAGACCTGTGGGACCCACTGGGATAGGCAGGGGTGGATGTTTGACTACACGCTCTCTTGGAAGTCTCTATTCTCTTCATCTCTGGGTTTTTCCCAACACTTTCTGCAGCTCACTGCAAGCTCTGTCATGCATTTGCATCCAAGGGAAGAACAGAAGTTTGACAGAGAAGGTTGGAAAGGACTTTTCAGGGTATGAGGATCATCTTGTTTCTTCTTAGTCCGTAAAGAGTTTTTTTTTCCCGACTATCAAAATCATATTATAATCCACATGAAATCTGAGAGGCCCTTCCACCATTTAAGAGGAAATCATCTTCTTTCCACCTTCCCCCATCACACAGAGACAGTAAAAGATGAACCTAAACCCTCTAGACTCCATGGTGACTGTCCAGGGAGACCTTGGTAAGGACCATCACACCTCCCAAATGCAGACCACTTGGGGTGAGGGAGAGGGCACTGAATGAAGAAGGGCAGGCCTCAAATACCAAATTAATTGTTACAAATTTCAGAGTTAGTATCTGTCAGTCTGTATGAAAATCAGAGCTAGGGTCCTTAGGAGTCTGGTTTTATTGAAAGTAAAGAATAAGAATGGTTTTAATAAGTGTGCCAACTTATGGCTACATGTCTTTATTGACTTCTTGAGCCAAAGTGCTATGAAAATTAGAAGACATGGCTCTGCCTTTCAGGAACTTACAATTACTAGAACACACACACACTCAGAAAATAGTGTAAGAGAATCCAGTTGTGAGGTCACATGAGTGAGAGGTGCTGAGTGGGCATGAAGCAGTGTTCTTTCTTAAGTACTATAATGTTCTCCCAGATATATTCATTTGCTTATTGTCTACTCTTGTCTTTCCAAATCTTTGGGTTATGTAAAAGAGAAAGATGTGAGAGTGGAGTTATAGGGAGCAATCTGTGGAATTTCATGACTAAATTCTGCTTCAGGTTGGAATAAAAGGAATAGATGTATTGAAGAAGGAGTTTAAATTCGATATTAAGAACAGTTTTCTGACTGAGAAGTTTTGGGCAAGAGGATGTTGAAGCAAGTGAACATTTTTCTAGTGGATAATGATATATATTTGGGGAATCATTTAAAAATCTTCAATTAATTGTGTTAGGGAGTCAGGAGAGAGCCCTCTAGAAGGCCCCGTAAAACTAGGGGCTGATAACATTGTTTACATTGACGGTCAAAAATGACAGTCATAAGTAAATACTTGTGATATCTCCAATTCTTGTCAGATATACATTTAGTTACCTTCTATCTCCACACACAGTTTGCTGTGTCACCAACGTAGTCTGTCCAGACTACTATAACGAAATACCATAGACTGGGTGGCTTAAACAACAAATGTTTATTTCTGACTGTTCTGGAGGCTGGGAAGACCAAGATGAAGGTGCTGGCAGATTTGGTGAGGACCTTTGTCCTGGCTTTCAGATGGCAGACTTCTGACTATATTCTCACATGGTGGAGAGAGAGGGGGTTCTAGTCTATTCTGCTTCCTATGATTTGACATAAGTGAGAAGTTCCCCAAAATGCAACCTTTTCCCCCATTCCCTCTTCCTCCTCCTCCTTCCTCCTCCTCCAATCTCTTCTTCCTCTTCTCCTTCTCCTTCCTCCTCCTCCTCCTCTTCCCTCCTTCTTCTTCTTCCTTCTTCTTCAATGTGGAGCCTCACTATGTTGCCCAGGTTTGAATGCAGTGGCTCCTCCCAAGTGCTGTTATAGCACACTGCAGCCTTGAACTCGTGGGCTCAAGCAATCCTCCCACCTCAACCTCCAGGAGTAGCCAGGACAACAGGCATCTGCTACTGCACCTAGCCATTCACCTCTTCTTACCCTTTTTGCTCACTCTTAGCCTCAGTCTACTCAGAGCACAGTCTAGTCTTCTCAGTTCTGAACATTCTCCCTCAACTCCCTATGCTTTACTGGAAATGCCCTGTGGTCCGAAATCTCTCAGTGATTAGCAGTGGTGCATTCTCTGCCTGAAGTGAAGAGCCTGGTCCTGCCTTCCCACAGCCCCCAGGATGGGACAGCTGCCTGCCCCACATGCACTTGGTGGAATGGCCTCACTCTGCTCTTTAAAATAACCATGTGCGCCGGGGTCCCTAGAATGCTCACACCTCTCACTGTGATCATTCTGGTTTGGCTTTTGAACTCACTTGGGAAGTTTCCTATGAACTTATTCTCCCTGGAGGCTGAGTATCTGGTCCTAACTGGCACTAGCCAAATGCTGGGTATGCCAGGTGTGGCTGGGTGGGCTCAGGTGGCCTACTCTGAGTCTCTGTTTCTTCAGCACCTGGTAACCATATCTCTGCCAAGGGCTTCTGAAATCTTGTTTACATCCACACAGCTTGGGGAGGCCCTGGGAGTGAATAGTGGGAAGGTTACAGGGAAGGGGACTGATTGATTACTGAGAGCTGCTGATGGGGGTGGGATGTGGATTAGTGAATCCAGAGGTATGGAAGGTGTGGCTGCAGCTGGAGAAGGCTTGCTGGCCAGGAAATGATGTCATGTTGCTTGATGGTCACCTGGCTTCTTCCCTGCAGGTGAAGGGAAGTACACCCCAGGGCCAGGGCTGGCTGGCATGGGTGGGAAGGCTGGGTCTTCTCTGGGCTCTGTGTCTCCCCAGGATAGGACATACCCTTGGTCTGTGCTGCACAGGTTCCCAAGTTAGGTCTCTGGGGTTCTATAAACATTTTTTTTCTGGTGGGAACGGAGCCCTAGGACATAAAGCTGAGGGGTTACCTGCTGTTCCCAGAGAGTTCCTCCTTGGGTGATTTTTGTTCAGTGTCCTAGATCCAATATTGGGTCAATGTTTGTGCAAACTATTGGTTTCAGAGCCTTTAGCTACTAAAGGCCAGAGGCTTTTCAGGTAGTCATCTGACTATGACCAAGGTACTAGTCCTTTTCCTTTTTAGACTTGAATGAGAACGTATTCCATCTAGAAAAAGTACTGCCCACAAACCTTCTCCCTTCTCCCCTCCTCACCCAATAAGTCTGATTGATATTCTTGCTAAATGGATAATGGAATGGGTAGTTTGATTTTCAAAAACATAGGCTGAGATACAAGCATGATGGTTCTTGCAGTCAATAGAGCGTCAGGGCCCTGGAAATCCACGTCTCAGTCTGGTGCACACACAGGCCTGGTGGGTGGACAGCACTGGCTTGTGTGAGCCATGCAGTGTGGAGAAGGAAGGTTTTTGCTTTTGATACTCCAGACACCTCTGTCTTGATGTTCTCAGAAGCACAGAGTGGCATGAACTGGGGACAGAGGCATGAGCTTCCTAGGATGAAGATTTCTATCACTGCCCTAGGGGAGGGATCACAGGTTGGTTCTTAAAGAAGTAGGCTAGGGCAGGAGGGGCCCAGCACCCTCCCTGTGGGTCCCAGTTTCCTGCCCCAAATGTGAACCAACCACACAGATTGTCTTTCTGTCTTTTCTTCATCTAATACCTGCTTCTCTGTGCACAAGCTCCCCATCCAGGAGGCTCTCCTTTCTGCTGCCCTCCTCTCATCCATCTGGCTTACCTGTAGGACTGTGGTGAACTCTTTAGGGTATATTGAAAGAACTTATTTTGGTATTTAACTCAAAATGGAATTTCCTCTGTTTAGTGGGCCAGTTGTCATTTTATAATCCATGCTAGACATCACTGGTCATTACAAGGGCTTTCAGGACAATCTCAAAGTCAAATTCCTTTCCATTTATTAAAAATGAAAACCCATTGAAGGGGAAACTAAGAAACAATGGAGGGGGTAAAGAGACGGCTGATGTCTGTGGAAATCACCAAAACCTACCCTCCAGAGTTAGCCTGTGCTTGGATTTCTGGCAGCGTGTGTCTAGGATTGCATAGATCCCACCCCAGGTGCCCGGTTTCCTCAGTGCTGGGCACAAGCAGTTCCCTAGATTCACAGACACACAGACACCAGAGGTGGAAGAGCATAGAACATAGTAGGCCAACCCTTCCTCATGTGAGAAGAAACTGTGACCAGCAGGGGTGGTTTCAGCCTCAGCGGCAGGAGCAGAGCTCTGGGACCCAGCCCCAGCTCATGGCTCTGTCCACCACACTATGATGCATCTTGGTCTTGCCCAGTGTTCCTCAGGCTAGCAATCAGTTGCAAACACTGCAGGTGAAGGACAACTTTTCAATAGAAATGGAAGCCTTATTAAACATTAATGCTGTGGTCTTGGACATGATCCTTTCTTGACCCACATATGATGGGCCTGGAAAGGTGGGGTCACCTCTACTGACACTTTCCTGGCTGCAGACTGGGTTATGGAGGTGAGTGTCATCCATCCTCACATTGGATAAATTGATGGAGGAGCTGCCATGACTGAGGGTCACAGGTATCAAAGGAGACAGGAGGCTTCTCAGAAGACTAAACTACTGTGTTAGGTAGGCAGGTGCCTTATCTCTGGCATTCCCATGCAGCAACTTCTGTAAGAGTCAGAGAGCTTCTTTCTATAAAGGGATGCACAAAGTCAAGTCTCCCAGCTGTGGTAGGACCATGCTCCCCTCAGCCACTTTCAGGAAGGACATGGAGCCCTGCACCAGCCTCTTTGCAGCTGTTCCTGCACAATAATTGCATTTGTGCTTGTGTGTGTATATGTGTACAGTGGCCTAGAAATGCCAAGCACCATTATGTAAAAACCAGTGATGGGCTGGGCCAAGGCAGGAAGTTCTAGGCAGGGGTTTCCCATGGTCATGCTGTGTCTGAGTCCTTTGGGGATTGCCAAAGTCCTCTTAAGCCCAGAAGGGTAGAAGCCAAGTATAGTCACAGGTGCAGTGCTGTTTATCCCTCAGATATGGCCGTGACCTGGCTGCACCAGGGGCTGACAAGTGTCTGGCAGGATCCCTGACAGCAGAGAGTGTCTAGGAAGGTGAGGCCTGGAAATCACAGGATTGGTCAGTGGCAGAGCAGGTCCTCAGCCCCACCTCAGGAAAAGGCTGTCTCCAACCTGCACTGTGCTTGGTGGTAACTGGGTGGAGTTCCCTTTGTACTTTCTAGGAGCCAGCTGGTCTCCACCACTATGTCCAACTACCAGAATAGGGCAAATAATTTAGGATTAGAACCCAAAGAAGTGAGATCATGCACTAGAATAATTTCAAGTAGTGAGTAAAAGTTTAATCTTCCTTCCCAGTCATTAACCCCTGTATAATTACAGCTTCAAGACTGAAAGCTACCTTTCCCAAACTAGTGATTTTTCCTTGTTCCCTGGAGTCAAAGAAGGTCATAAGTTGAAGGTAGGTGGGGGAATCTTTCCTAATTTATATAAACACTTCTACAAGGACCTGCCGTCTTTATATAAACATCAGAAGACTTGAGGACCATGCTGGGGTCTTTTCTTTTCAAAGCCAGAAAAGGCCCACTGAGGGGCAATGGGTCCCACTGAGGCTTCACACATAGAAGTAGTCCTTTAGGAGGGATAATTGGTACCAGCAGAGAAGGGTACTGCTATAAAGGTAAAACTTGTTTCTGGAAGGTTTACTTACCAGTTGTTTATAGAGTTCATAAGCTCATCTCTAGAGCCCTGAATACAAATGTCTTCAGGTATTTGAAGAAAGGATTTCATTAGTCTTTGAGCTTTGAATTAGGCAAATTTTAAAAACTGCCTTTCTTTGATAAATTTAAATCTAAATCCAAGATCAAGCCTCTGGATACAGCTGCTGTGCAAAAGGAATTTTATCTAAATTGTGTGAATGTCTTGAAGATGATGTTCACTTGGTAGAAAAAAAAACTATCAATATTCCTATGTCAAATGGTTTTGAAATAACTTTAATTCAATGAATAAATTATTGGAATAATAGCTATAATAAATCTAGTATTGAGCCAAAAAATTAATTTTTCTATTATCTTTAATGTTTAAAATCACAAATTCAATTTTCAAAAAATAAAGAAAATGGATAAAAGCAATACCATCCATGTGCTATAAACTATAATATGCAATATTATCATCAATCCATTTCATATTGATATATATACTTTTTAAATTGTCTGGCAATGGTCATCCAGCTTTCACAGAGTAATCTATCTTAAGATATAGTTTAGGGAGGCAAAATCAATGACTCAAGAGGACAGAATCTGTGGCCCAGGTCCTTTTGACTTATTCTTTCCTTTCTACCAGGAGGAGGTGTCATGAGAACCACTAGCTGTTGTGAAAGTTTGGCATTAGCCTATGGATGAGCTGGGAGACCCTAATGACAGAGGCTTAGTCAAAATTTCTGGACTTCAGGGCTGGCTCCTGATCCTCTGAGGCCTTGTGGGCCATCTTTAATCTTTGTTGTTAATCCTTCCCAGGCCCAGAGCTCCTGGACACAAGTGGGAAGACACCAGGGAGTGAGGTGACAGAGGTGATCACGCAGCTAGTTGAATTTTGCAGCCCATATGCCCAGGGATCCCAGCAGCAAGTGACAAGTCTTTTGAGTGGAAGAAGGAAGTGGGTTCCTGCCATAGTCCTTGGGAGAAGCTTGATCTGTTCTCTTGGGAGACTGAGCAAAGAGAGCTTTATATCAGGGACACTGGAAGCAGGTCTGTGGCACTGCTCAGAGCTTGCTCCTTCCTTCCTTCCTTCCTTCCTTCCTTCCTTCCTTCCTTCCTTCCTTCCTTCCTTCCTTCCCTTCCTTCCCTTCCTTCCCTTCCTTCCCTTCCTCCCTCCCTCTTTTTCTTTCTTTCTCTATCTCTTTCTCTCTCTCTTGCTTGCTTGCTCACTCGCTTTTTCTTCCTCCAAAAGAACAGAGACTATTTTTGCCTCACATTCATCCTGGGCTTAGGGATGAAGACCAGGGCTCTCTCCTGCAGCTCCTAGATTGCCAATGTTCTCTTTTCCCATTTGCCTTGGAAGTTGTCCTGTAAGTCTTCCTTGGGGTACTTTCTTGACTTGTGGGACTTTTTTTCCAATTATTTTCTTTTCCTCAGTTTTCTATTTCACTTCTTCCATGAAGGTCAGCCTATCTTGGAATGCACTTGATAGAAAGTAGAATAGTGGGGCTGGGCGTGGTGGCTCATGCCTGTAATCCCAACACTTGGGAAGGCCAAGGCGGGTGGATCACCTGAGGTCAGGAGTTCGAAGCCAGCCTGGCCAACATGGCAAAACCCTGTCTCTACTAAAAATACACAAAAATTAGCTGGGTGTGGTGGTGGGCGCCTGTAATCCCAGCTATTCAGGAGGCTGAGGCAGGAGAATTGCTTGAACCTGGGAGGCGGAGGTTGCAGTGAGCCGAGATTGTGCCACTGCACTCCAGCCTGAAGTGGAGCGAAAATCCATCTCAAAAAAAAAAAAAAAAAAAAAAGAAAGAAAGAAAGAACGAACAAAGAATAGTGTATGCTATCCCAGAAAGGCCCCATTCATAACATGCCTCTCCTCTTGAAAGCTGATCTCAGAGACATACCAGCATTTCCTGAACATTGCCAAAGGCTTGACTCTGTCTTAGATGATCCCAAAGCAACACCTCTATAGCTGCGGAAGTGTCCACGGTGATTGCCAAAGGATACTGAGGGGTGTCCTTCCTCTTTGGTCCCGAGAGAGGACTGAAGAAGGAAGAGTCAGGAATTCCCATTAGAGAGAAAACCTGAGTCTCAGAGGAGTTTCACTGGCCACTCAGCCTCTGGTTGTGGTCTGTGCCAGCAACCAACTCAGGACTCCTGTGTGAGAGAGATACTCTTTGTAAGGATGTGGAAGGGCACAGTAAGCAACAGGTGAGCCTTCTTCTCTGGGTTGAGTTTGAATGGCAATACCAGAGGCTGGGCACTCCTAAGCTAGACACCCTCAATAGTCCCAGGTGGCTATCAGTGAAGTGGGTGGCCAGGGGCAGCTAAGTGGCCTGCAGAATTATCAGGAGCCACATACAGGCAGTAGACATTGTTTTTGGCTATATTCACATCCATATTAGTGTCCTTTTCTCAGTTCATTAAATTACTTTGCATAAAATTGTTTTCATTGAAAGTTCATAAGCACTGTATCAGTCAGAATCGGTTGCTTTTCTTTAGCTTATACTGTTTAACTGTCCAGTTTAGCTCTTCCCTTCTTCTCTACCCCTTATTACTCATTGCATTCTCCATGTGTGTTGAGCATTCGATGTGCTTTTAAAATGACAGCTACCTAGGAAGCCCTTTAACTCATTAACCTCCCCACTCCCACTCCCATCCCCACTTTCTCCAAAGATGGCCCTGATGAGCCACACCTTCTCGTATTCCATTCTTGTGTAATTTCTTTCCCGTTGAATCTGGGCTGATTCAAGATTATGACTTGCTCTTGACCCTAGTATGTGGCAGAAATGACTCTAGGTTCCTTTAGAACTTACTTAACAGAACCTTGTAGCATCTAGCTGGACCACTTGCAATGCTAGCTCTGGAGGAAGCCAGTCACTTTATCAGAACACTATCTTGAGATGTCCCTGTGGTGAGGAAGCCCGAACTAACCATATGGAGAGACTATGTGGAGAGAGATGTCCAGCCATTCTGCAGCTGTTCCAGTTATCTCAATTCCAGAGCCAGATGTGAGTGAAGAAGCCATTATGGACATCCATCCGAGGCAGGCATTCAGATGATGCCAGCCCCAGATGCCATCTGAGAGCAACCATGAGACTGCAGGGGAGAGCATCAACTAAGCTCAGTCAACTCAGATAATCATGAGAGACAATATATTTCTATTTAAGCCACTATGTTTTGGTGCTTTGTCATGCAGCAGTAAGTCATTGGAATGTCCCCCCTCCCACCCCCCGCATTGCAGGACAGGGTGGCCATGAAAATAGCAAGCCATTTTCCATACCTATCCTTTGTCAGTCTCCCTGACTCAAGTGTAAAATAAATAATTATTTTCTTCTCATCATATGAAATGTAGTTCTACTGATGGCCATGTGAACTAAACAATACCTTTTTTTTTTCTTTTTTAGAGAGACAGGGCCTTGCTCTGTCACCCAGGCTGAAATGCAGTGTTGCAATCTTGGCTCGCTGTAGCCTCAAGCTCTTGGACTCAGGCGATTCTCCTATCTCAGCTTCCTAAGTAGCTGGGACTACAGGTACATTGCTAATTTTTTAAAAATTAGCCGGGGGGGCGGGGGGTCTCTTTTGAAATTAGATGGTGGTCTCTCCATGTTGCCAGACTGGTCTTGAACTTCTGGTATCAAGTGATCCTCCCGCCTTGGCCTCCCAAAGTGCTGAGATTACAGGTGTGAGTCACTGCACCCAGCCCTAAATCATACCATTTAGAGTCATGATTGTTGGAGAATTTTGAAAACATCTGCATTGTAGAAACCTTTCCCCTCCCCTCCCTGACCCTTGCTCCTGTCATGTACCAGTGTACTTCCTGGACATCAAAGTGCCTGCTGCATATGTCCAACTCACTGGCTGGGAGGGTGCTTCAGCAGCAACACACATCAAGGGCAGGTCTCCTTGAAGCCAACAGAAGTAAGAGGAAGGGGCTGAGAATCAGTGCCAGTTGGGTGGGGGGACACCTGGCCTCTCCCTCTCTCGGCACCAGCTTTTCCCAAGGTCTGATCAGAATGTTTCCTTTCTACTGCCATGTCCATTTTTTCATGGTATTTTAATTTCCTTCTTTATCCTGGAAAAGACATTGGAGAATCCCCTTCCCCCAAGTTAAATAAGACAAGGTTGGAGTTTTTCAAAAGGAGCATTTACTAGGAAACTAAAGGGCAACCAAACAGAATGCAAGAGAACAGAGGCAGAGTTGCAAATGGGCTGAGGGAGTTCAAATTTATAACCAGCCTCTGCTCACAGCTGTACTGGCTAGGCAAAGCTTTCCAGACACAAAGCCACCTGCCTGCCATGTGGATAGTACTCTTTGCCTGCTTGCCCCTACAAAGCCACCTTCTATTTCATACCAATAAGCCAGTTGCATCCTCATTAGTATCCCAAGGCTGCTGGCTCTCTGGGCAGGAAGCTTCTGAGGTGGGGAACAGTAGGCACAGCTGCCTCAGGATCTCCAACCCAGGCTTCCATTGCCAAGGACATGTCAGAATTTATTGGGATTGCTGCCTGATATCTATTGGAGCCAGTCTGCTTTCTCTGGGACCATTCTTCTGGGCTCATCTGCCTAGCTTTACAGACAATATTTCTGCTAACTATCCTGGTGGCGCTAGCCCTTCATGTTTTGCTTCTAAACACTGGTATGGTGGAGGATGTCTGAATGAGGAGGGATGAGCAGAGGGGAACCTTGAGCAGAGGAAGCCAAGTTTTCCTTATGTCATCAGACATAGGCAGAACCTTGGATTCTCTTTGAATCCCAGTGGTTGGAAGCCAATCAGAGAAGTGAAGCTTGAATGTAATGACACTGCTTCCTACAAACAAAGGCCTATAGCCTTCTTAGATCTGCCATCAAAGTAGAGCTTCTTGTATAGTACTAGGCAGCTGGGGCAATGAGAACTTTCTGAAGACGTATAACGATCCTTCCTCCGCCCAGTTAGTTCCATGCTGAAATGTTAATTCAAACAGAGATAATGAGCTTTCCAGGAAGGTAAACTACAATCCAACTCTGGATTCTGCTGTAAAGAGATTGTGTGAAAAGAAAAATACTATCTTGGAGTAGTGGTGCAAATGTGTGGATGGGGTGCCTTGCACCTATAATGGGACAGAGAGGACCATTAGGTAACAGCCCCCAGTCCTCCCAGGATATGCTGAGGCCTTTGGTTTCATTTACGTGGAGGCAGAAGCAATGAGGATGAGGCGCATAGCTGGCCATTGGTTGGCAGACTTGGTCAGGAAGGAAGCTGAGTAATGAATGAGATGCCTGGGGAGGGCCCTTGACCTTCACTCTTGTAGGTATTTCCATCCCCAAGTGGTGTGAAAGTGATGTATGTGTCTGAAGTGAGAAGGAAACCTCTATGTGTGGTTGCCCAAGGCTATGACTCTGGGCTGTTGCATATGGAAATACCCCAGAAGGCATTCAGGCCAGAGAAGCCCAAAAGCTGTGCCTTTCTATAGGGGATGGCTGTGTTCTCTCTCCATGATCTCATCTCACCCATTGCTGTACCAGTTTCTGAGGCTGTTCCCTTAGTGGACGAATGTGCCTAGGAAAGGATATTCCACAATGCTCATGCCACTGAGATGTATGCCCTTCTAACTAATTACTTTTCATTCTAATAACACTCCCAGTTGAAAGGAAGGGGCTGCTAGCTACTGAGTGAGTAGTGTTGGGGGTCTCTGATTCCTCAAAATCTGGTTTTAGCAGAAAACAGGGCCATGTTGATACTGGTACTCTCTACCACGTGCATGGGAGGAGGCAGTGAATTTGCTGTGAACTAGCCCTCCTTGCATTAGATTTTTTCCAGGGAACAGCCTGCTTGTCTTGGTATTCTCTTGGGGCTATTCCTTGCAAATCTGGAGCACTTCTTGGGGCACAGTTATTTTCTGGAGACAGTCATTAGCTCAAAGGTAGTCATGTGTGAATTGAGATCTGCTGCCTATTTAGCACCTGGATATATTTTTAAATATTCTGTCCTTCCAGGGCATTCTAGAAAATAATATTATGTTGGAATAACGATTTCCAGGGCAGATGCTATGTCCTCATCACCAAGGGCTTCATATGAAACATTGAGTCCTGGTACTCTTGGTACTGTCACTATATCTATCATTTGTTTTTGTTCATAGTCCGATCTTGGTTCTTGGCATGAGAGACATGCTTCCCTGCAGCACATCACCTTGGGCCACCTGCAGAAGGTGGCTGGACCATTCAGGTTCACCAAACCCAATCTGGAAAGAAGGCCAGTTAGTGCTGTGGTTACAGCT
Source organism: Homo sapiens (assembly GCF_000001405.40). Lineage (NCBI taxonomy): Eukaryota > Metazoa > Chordata > Mammalia > Primates > Hominidae > Homo > Homo sapiens. The sequence continues at coordinate 7,466,915 of NC_000011.10, read as the reverse complement.
GAGCATTTGGTCACTGAAATCGTCTGGATGTTGCTGGATGGAAAAAGTTACTTAAGATCTTTGTGAGATGGTTGTCCTATTTTGTCCTTGGCACAAGCAGTCCTCTTACCCATGGTCATCGTTTCTGCAGGAAGAAAAAACAAAAAAATAATTTGGCTTTCATTCATACATTTTTTTTCTTTTTTTTTTTTTTTTGAGACAGAGTCTTGCTCTGTCACCCAGGCTGGAGTGCAGTGGCGCGATCTTGGCTCACTGCAACCTCCGCCTCCTGGGTTCAAGCAATTCTCCTGCCTCAGCCTCCCAAGTAGCTGGGATTACAGGTGCCCGCCGCCACACCTGGCTAATTTTTGTATTTTTAGTAGAGACAGGGTGTCACCATGTTGGCCAGGCTGGGCTCGAACTCCTGACCTTGTGATCTGCCTGCCTCGGCCTCCCAAAGTGGTGGGATTACAGGCGTGAGTCACTGTGCCTGGCCCATTCATACATTTTTAATGTGCACCAAACAAGTGCCAGGCATGGTAATAGATGCTGGGGATACTAAGCCCATAAGTAGGACACTCCCCCTGCTTTCAAAGGGCTCACAGATGGAGATATTATGATGTGAGAAGCTGCATAGAATACTGCAGGGGCAATGGGAAGGGAGAAAGTAACTTCAAAGGGATTGAGGAGGTCTATAGAGAGCATTCTGATTGATGAGTCTTGAGCTAAGCCATTTAGGCTGAAGAGGAATCCCTCTGGAAAGAAGAAGGGTCACTTGGGGTAGAGGAAAGAGACTGTGCAAAGGCAGAATGCAATAAAGGGCATGGTGCATTGAAGGAATCATCACAATTTGGTGTGACTGGACTGTAGTGTGAGGAATGAAGTGGTCGGAGGTAAGGCTGGTGATATGATTTAGTTGTGCCCCCACCCAAATCTCAACTTGAGTTGTACCTCCCAGACTTCCCACGTGTTGTGGGAAGGGACCCGGCAGGGGAGGTAATTGAATCATGGGGGCCGGTCTTCCCCGTGCTGTTCTTGTGATAGTGAATAAGTCTCACGAGATCTGATGGGTTTATCAGGGGTTTCTGCTTTTGCTTCTTCCTCATTTTCTCTTGCTGCTGCCATGTAAGAAGTGCCTTTTGCCTCCTGCCATGATTCTGAGGCCTCCCCAGCCATGTGGAACTGTAAGTCCAGTTAAACCTCTTTTTCTTCCCACTCTCGGATATGTCTTTGTCAGCAGCGTGAAAATGGACTAATACAGCTGGGATGGAAAGATGAGGTCTGAGTGGTGCAACATCATTCCTTGTTTCCGAGATGTGAAGGAGGGGCTCTCTTAAGGAAGCCCCAGACTTAGACTAGCAGTATCTCTTGTGTTTCACACTCAGCCCAGCATTCAACTTAATTTAAACTCAGGGCACCTTCCAGCACAGATTAAATGTAGTAATACTGTGGCCATAGAGAGAAAAAACTGAAGTGACTTCTATGGATATAGGAATAACAAAATTTACACGTAAACTATAAAAGAGTAGCAACCATTCTGACAATGAAATTTATGGACTTCATTTCAGAGATCAAAAGTTCACATGTGAGGCTATAACTTACTTAAGGAAAGTATTAAAAGCCAGTGTGTTCACTGCAAAGGGAAACCACGTTTGATTGTGACCCGTGGCTTTGAAGTGTGTGCATGTGTGTGGGCACACACACACATCTCTGGGAAAGGGGTCTTTGTTTCTGTGTCTAGGAAGAAAGACTGAATGATATTTGTCTTAATATTGTGGTTCAAATATCAGTTTGCCAGATCAGCTGCTACCCTGGAGCACCATCCAAATAGCTCTACTTTCGTTTTTTTTGAGATGGAGTCTTGCTCTGTCCCCAGGCTGGAGTGCAGTGGCGCAATCTCGACTCACTGCAAGCTCCACCTCCCGGGTTCATGCCATTCTCCTGCCTCAGCCTCCTGAGTAGCTGGGACTACAGGCGCCCGCCACCACGCCCGGCTAATTTTTTTTTTTTGTATTTTTAGTAGAGACGGGGTTTCACTGTGTTAGCCATGATGGTCTTGATCTCCTGACCTCGTGATCCGCCCGCCTCGGCCTCCCAAAGTACTGGGATTACAGGCGTGAGCCACCGCGCCTGGCCCCGAATAGCTCTACTTTCTAAGCCACCATCTACATCAGGCCCGTGGTTCCCTAGCCGCTCTTTCAACTGTGAAACCCATACCCATATCAGTTTGCCAATTCCTGAGTTCCTTCCCATCAGAGAAAGCAAATTGTTAACAGGCTCAGTGTCACCAATGAATGTGGTCTGGAATTAGTTGTGATGGTATCAGCCCATATTCCTTCATTTTTGGGTACTTATTGTATGCCAGGCACTGGGATATGGACTTTACAAGTTCTTAAAAGACCCCGTGGGGTTCTTTAATGGAGGATGCAGCGTTGTAGAGACACTAATTTGCACAAGGCCACACTGTGACTAAGTGTCAGAGCTGAGATTTAAACCCAAGACTTCCAATTTCAAAGTCCAAGCTTTAGCAATTATGTCAATTCCCTCTGTAGGTCCAGTCTACATTTCTGATGTATTAAAAGTACTTTATCTGCCTTGGCTTTCTAGACTCCCTAAATCTAGCCAGATGAGCTTCCTTTAAGAACCCTAGTCCAAACTAGTAGCATACAGCAGGTGCCACATCCCACTTATGGTTTCCTAGCTGCTTATCCCATTTCTCTGGATTCCCCCAGCTAGTGACATGCATATGTATCTTGTTTGCCCCCACAGTTCTGTGCACAACCTCATTTTTCCCTATTATGACCTAATTTTACCTCTTCATTTAAGCAGTTCCTTCAGAATGCTTTGGGTTTAGCTCTCCCAAAGTACCCAGCCTTAGGGACCACCTCTGTACCTGATTTCTTATGGCCTGTCTAAAGCCTGCTTAGAGGGCTAGGCTGCAACCTTAGCCAATTTTTTTTACCAGTCCCCATACCCAGGGATACCACTAGCATTGGCATTGTTGCCAATGGCCAAGTCATAGCACAGCTCCCACCTGAACTCCATAGCTGGGTTTTGCTCATTTGGTGAATTTCCTTGTGTGTGTAATTAGCCAGAATCAAGGTCAGCCTCTGGAAATACGGCGGTGCAGCCTACTGGTCTCCCCCTTCTTAAGGTGCAGCCCTTCACTTGGGTGAGTTTTCTGGGCTCTGAATCTTTTCCTCTTCTGGACAGCGCCACTAAGGTCCTAGAATGCTTGTGAGCTGGGACCAAGCCCACAAGATGACAGGATTAAGGAGTTTCAATACATCTGGTGTCGTGATAGGGTCATTGCTACCAGCAATATTGCAAGAAAAGCCTCTTGAAAACAAACTTATTCTAGGGAAAGTCAAGCATACAAGTCAGTTCTGAAAAAGTTGTCTCAGGAGAAGACATGAGTAAATTTTGCTGTTGTTGTTCAGCCCCCTTTTGTCTGGCTTCTGTTGGGGGAAGACTAGAAAATCTCAACCAAATCAAACAAAATAAGCAAATTACACCTTTCCAAACTCCTATAACCTAGTGAGCTGTTTTTCAGCCAAAAATTGTATAAAACAAAATGTGAGAAAAGAAAGATTTTTCCATAATTCAGAAAAGCATTGACCCAGTGGGATTTTGTTGAGAGGAAGGTGGTAGAGACTCAGTCATCAACACCGGAGACAGTAACGGTGGTTTAATAACTGTTGAGCATAATGCTAGCTTGGCTGGTTCCAGTGCTGGTGCCAGCCCCATTTCCATGGGCAGAAGCAGCAGTGTCCTTGTTATGAGACCTGGTGGGCTCCCAGGCAGTACCAGGGGTTTAGAAGGTACCAACAACTCCAGTAGTATCAACAGGAAGTAGTGGTTACAATCCTATCTGAACAGAGAAGATTGTAAGTGAATTCAATTGTCCTGAGACATAAGGATCTAATTTGAATTAAATTGAATTGAAACCAAAGATGAGAACTGTCCTAATGAAAACTGTAATGTGAAGTGACATTTCGATCACAAAAATGACAGCTGATATGAGACAGGCCATTGAAACAGACCCCAAATTAAGAACATGAAAAGACAGAGTGAAACATTAGATAATATCTCTCTGTGAATCTGAAAATGGGACTTTATTACAGGAAGTACCTAAGGGCTCTGAACTAAGAAGCTTGTCAAAAATGGAAGTGATTCTTATTACATGATTTAATCTTATTATGTACTTAATATTGTTAAATTTACATTTAAAATTTTATTTAAAAAGCACAAAAATCTCAGGATTTTGTTGACTATTTATTGCTTACCACAGCTTTGCAAATATATGAAGATTCATCATGCTCTGCTGGTTTAGAATCTGATTTTGTTGACTGTTGCTTAGCACAGCTTTACAAATATATGAAAAATTATCACGCGCTGCCAGTTTACAATCTGATTAGCTTCTTTCTGTAAAGAGGACATTCTATTTTTTTTTTACTTCCTCTCTCGGCTTTAAGAACAAGTATGTTAAAGAAATAAAGCAGTATGAATGTGACTATACTGCCTTTCAGGAGATTGGGCCAGTAGCATGGAAAAATGAAAGGGTCCATTTGGGCAACAACTACTATTTATTGAGTGCTTAAGCACTAGCTCTATCCTAAGAGCTTTGCATACCTTATCTCATTCATGCCTCACCTTAACCCTCTGTGATAGATATTACAATTACAGTTTCACAGTGAGGTAACTGAGTCTGAAAAAGGCCAAATAATAAAGGTAGTAAATGGCAGAGCCAGAATCTGCCACCATGCTTTTATGGATTAAAATGTATGCTCTTAAGTGCTATGCCCAGAATGGTAAATTATTGTGCTTTGAATGGTAACTCCACTACAGCACCTTTCTAGAAAGGATTCTTAGTCCAGAAATGAATTCTGAACAGTCCAGACTTCACAGGAGAGTGTGTTAAGATTCACCGTCAAGTAGACCTTGAGGGGAAAGGTGGCAAATGGTGCGTGGCATGTGTGACATGTAGATTGTTATTTACTGAGAGGGGCTCATTAGAAACAATCAAGAAGCAAAGGCTACAGTGAAGGCACCATTCAGAAGGTAAGACAAGGACTGTCATATTTTTCGATGAGGTGGCAAGATAGGAAATTACTATAGGGCCAAAATTACTCTACCTGATGAAGTAAAGTGGAGGATGTTTGGAGTCTGTTACTTCAAATTAATATTCATTACATGTATTCATCATTCAACAAACATTTATTGAGCACCGGGCATTTGTGCTGAGCCCTAAGAAAACAAAGTTATGCTCAGCGCTGTGGCTCACGCCTGTAATCCCAGCACTTTGGAAGGCCAAGGCGGATGGATCACCTGAGGTTAGGAGTTCGAGACCAGCCTGGTCAACATGGTGAAACCTCGTCTCTACTAAAAATACAAAAATTAGCTGGGTGTAGTGGTGGGTGCCTGTAGTCCCAGCTACTTGGGAGGCTGAGGCAGGAGAATCACTTGAACCTGGGAGGTGGAGGTTGCTGTGAGCCGAGATCATGCCACTGCCCTCCAGCCTGGGTGACAGAGCCAGACTCCCTCTCAAAAAACAAACAAACAAAACACAAAGATAAATAATGCACATTCTATTCTTGAAGGGCTCAGTGTGGTCAAAAGAAGACTATAGAATCAAGGATGAAGAGAAGGAACACAGAATAAAAGGACGTCTCAGCAGGAAGCTCTGTGACTACTATGTGTGAGTGTGTGTGTCCATAATTCCATCTACCCAAATCACGGAATAGGAATGATAAAAGTTATAACAAAAATTCGATAAGGGTGAAATTGGAAAGATTCCTAGGATATATGTGATGCACTGGGTTATAAAATAAAATTCCATTAAAAAGCCTAGGATTGTCTCCCACTGACAGTACAGCAAGCAGAAGCCAACCAGAAGAAGAAACTTGCCTTATTAATTCATAGCTCTGGTAAAATTCCCCTGTGAGGCAACCAATGCCCCATCCCATGTCTGTGCACGGTTATTCTACCTCTGCAATTTGGGACTCAAATCTCTGGTCATCTCTGTAATTTCAATTCCTAGAAAGAGCTCCTAAACTGATCATTGTGTTCCTAGTAATTAGAAGAGTAACTGTGACACAGAAAGGGTTAACAAATAAGAATTATAAATGATGCTTTTGTGTAAACTTTATTTATTCAAGTGCAATACACATGTTGTTATCCCAATTTTTGTTTTTAAGCTAAATGCTTAACAATCTGATACACTAGAAAATTATAAGATTCATGATTTTAATGGACATATTTAGAATAACTTAACTAGTTAAATTTATAGTCACCATTTAAATGCTTAGGAAAATCTATTATACTACATTTATAAAGCTTATTTTTAAGATATTGAAATGCTTAACATCATTTCACCTAAATGTATAAGATTTTATTTGTTAGCATTATAAGAGTTACATGATTGAGAACAATTTTGTTTAACACCTGCATTAGATGTTTGGAGTGTTTAATATAATCACATTTTAAATTTGTGATTTTAGCTTGAAATATTCACAGAAATGTAGTTAATCAATTGCTTAAACAATGCTTAAAAATTTAGGAGAATTTTACTCACTAGATTTATATCTTTTTTCTCATTTAAAAATATTTAAGAGAATTTGATTAAACGTAAAATTGGTGTTTAAAAGTTTAGGAAAATTTAATCTGTCAAATTAATAAGCTAATGAGAATTTAGCAAAGAACAAGTGAAAAAAGTGTTTTTATTTCAAAACAGAATTATTAGATCTATAATCATTATAACAGTTAACATTATGTAGAATTTGGTATGTACTATTATAAGAATATTAGATATATTATTAATCCTTACCACAATCCTCTGAGGCAGGTACTTTTATTCCTGTTCTACAGATGAGAAAATCAAGGTACAGACAAGTTAGTGACTGCTTCGTCAAGTGTGTTAGTTTCTTAGGGTTGCCATAATGACGTATCACAAACTGGATGGCTGAAAATAACAGAACTTTATTGTCTCACAGTTCTAGAGGCTAGAAGTCTGAAGTCAAGGTACCAGTGGGCCCATGCTTTCTCTGAAAGCTCTTGGGGAGAAGTCTTCCCTGCCTCTTCCTAGCTCTTAGTGGTTGCCAGCAATCCTTCGCTTATAGCTGCATCACTCCAATTCCTGCCTCCATTGTCACATGGCAGTCTCCTGTATGTCCCTCTAGGTCTTTATATGGCTTTCCTATAAGGACACTAGTCATGGGATTTGGTGCCTACCCTGATCCAGCATAAGCTCATCTTAACATGCCTGCAAAGACCTTATTTCCAAATAAGGTGACATTCTGAGGTTCTAGGTAGATGTAAATTTTGGGAGGACACTATTCAAACCAGTACCCCACCAATATCCAGCACATTGGTAAACCCAATGTCAGTTCTTAATCTTCATTTTATTTACATCTTATTTGTCACATCTGGGCATTCCCTCTTCCTGGAAACAATTTCTTTCTTGCCTTCTAGGATACCAAACCCTCTTGGTTTTCTTACTACTTCAATGACTTGCTCCTTCTCAGTCTATCGGTTTCTCTTCTTTTCTTTACCTTTAAATAGAATGTCCCAGTTCTTAGTCCTGGGACCTCTTCTCTTTACCATTTACATCTCATCCATTTTTACAGCCTGATCTTTCTCTGGAACTCTAGATTCCTGCATCTAACTGCTATTTTATGTTTTCCTATGGATATCCAATAGTTGCTTCAAACCTATTAGGTCTAACTCCTGATCATCCCACATAGGTGCTCTACCTGCAGTCTTCCTGAGCTCACTTAATGGCAGCTCTATCTTTCCACGGTCAACCTTGGAATCATCCTTTACTTTTCTCTCTCATACCCTACAGAAAACCCTATTGGGTCTCCCTTCAAAATATACCCAGAATGTAACCATTTCTCACCATGTTCCTTGCTTCTACACTGTCCAAGCCTCTGTTATTGCCATCTAGATTATAGCAGTAGACTCCTAATGGGTATTCTCACGTCCAACCTTGTCATTATCTAGTCTATTCTCAACACAGCAGCAGAGAGATCAGTGATAACTTTGGATCATGTCACATCTCTCTTAAAAATTGCCATGTTGGCGAATGAGCCAAAGTACTTTTGAAGCTCTACTGGGTTCCAGTTACCTGAGCTCTGCCCGCTGTTACCTTTCTGATCTCATCCCCTACTTCTCTCTCTTTTTTCTCTCCTGCATCCCCCACATTACTCTCCTCACTATCCTCGTGTGAACCTCCTTAAGGCCTTTGTATTGGCCGTTCCCTTAGCGTGTATTTCTGCATGGCCACAGGGCTTGCTCCCTCACCTCCTTCAAGTGTTTGCTCAAATATTGCAATTGTTTGTGAGCCCTACAATTACCTCCATTAAAATTAACCCCCTGTAAAAAGTAAACAATCTATGTCACACTTCTGATCCCCATTGCTTGCTCTATTAAATTAAATTAATTAATTAATTTTTTTGAGATGGAGTCTCACTCTTGTTGCCCAGGCTGGAGTGCAGTAGCATGATCTCGGCTCACTGCAACCTCTGCCTCCCAGGTTCAAGTGACTCTCCTGCCTCAGCCTTTTGAGTGGCTGGGATTACAGGCGACCGCCACCATGCCCGGCTAATTTTTGTACTTTTAGTAGAGAAGGGGTTTTGCCATGTTGGTCAGTCTAGTCTCGAACTCCTGACCTCAGGTGATCCGCCCATCACAGCCTCCCAAAGCGCTGGGATTACAGGTGTGCGCCACCGCACCCGGCCCTATTTTATTCTTCATAGCATTTACCTTCACTATAACATAATACATCTGTGTCTCCCACTAGTCAAGTTTCACTAGAGCAAAGATTTTTGACTATTTTGTCCCTAAAAATGTATCTTCAGCACCTATAGTAGGTATTCAATCAATATTTGTTGAACAAATAAATACATCCTTGAAACTCCCATTTCCTTATGCAAAGTGATTGTTTCAAAGGAAGCTTGATTGATTCTTACTTGAACAGAATTCTTACAATACAGCAAATGATGCCATACAGTGAAGCACCTTGAAAGATTGCTGGGATAAGCTGACAGCATGGCAGCCAAAATAGTGACCCCAGGCTTGCAGGAATTCTGTGCTTTCTGGAGGAAATGGTCATGGGTTTCCCAACCTGCCTTTTAAACTAAGGTAAGTCTCTTATAAAGACCTTTATGAGAACTGTTTGAGCCCTCATGACACTGCAAATCCATCTGAGATGATGACTGGGACCTTCACTGCCACTGTCTTCATTCTCATGGGTGTTGCCTGGCTCTTTGGCATTCAGAGCTAGCTCTCAGTTGCTTTGGTGCATTAATAGAACCACTATGCCTGTAGATTTGAAGAAAAATTGACATGGAGAATTTATCTAAGAAATCAGTAAGTAAAACTTGTAAAAATCATTTTACAAGTTGTAAGATAGAAGAAATTGAAATTCTGTCCAACAAGAACTTATTCAATGCTGACTTTGTGCCAGGCATTTTGCCAGGTGCTTGTTATACAATGATGAATAACACTTAGGCCCATTCTCAAGGAGCAGTGGGAGGTGCTGGGGATGACACACACACAGATAATATCAAGTGGCACCAAATGCTATGTCAGGGGCAGGCACAGGGTGCTAGGAGAGGATAGCACAGACGAGAAGCATTTAGCTCATACCACAGGATCTTCAGAATGCTTCCTGAAGAAGCTGACAACTGATTAGATGCTAAAAAGACAGGCTGGATCTAGGCAGGAAAAGAGGGGTTGAAAGGACAGCACAAGAAAAAGTTAAAGCAGAAGCAAGGGCATGGGGGTGAATAGAAAGCACTGTGTGAACCACCAGCCATTAGGTGTGGCCCCAACATAAAGTATAAGGAGGAGATGGAGGCAGGGTCGCAGAGGACCTTGAATGCCAAGGTAGGGAACTCGATCTTGATCTTGTTCAGAATGAAGGGCAGTTATTGAAGGATTTTTAAGTGGGAGAGTTACATGCTCAGATTTGTACTTTAGTACTTGAAGGAGTGTAGAGGTTGGATTGAAAACAAATAAGAGAGTCAGAAAACCAGAATTGAGTGATAGTATGGGATCAGCTGAAGCACCCCTCTTGCCTTGACAGATCTCACTGAGCCTGGCCCTGTGGAATTACTGGTGAGTGAGGATGGGAAGGAGGTCGTTGCCTTTAGCACTTGAGAACTCTAGGTGGCTGGTCCCAAAACAGGACGGGGCTGTTTAAATTTAGCATTTCCTGAATAGGGACCAATGGAGTTCTGAAAAAATAAGTCAAAAATATAAATACCAAAGAGATAATGAATGAAGAGTCATATATTTATCACCCACTCTCAACTGACCCTAAACTTTAGTGAACAATAAAATGGACATTAGATCTGTTCACCTGTGAACTTGATTTCAGGATATCACCATTACCACTTATGGAGGGTGGCCATTTTCTGGCTAAAGAGCAAGATCCCAAGGTCCTCTAGCTCTCATTTGCCTGACATGGGGAAGACACTGGAGGGAGGTGTAACCAGCCTGCTGCATGTGCAGGCAGCTTGCCTCTCTCCTCTGGGTGCCTCCACCCACTGTGAGGAGCTGTGTGCAGACTGTACCTTGTTTTAATCCTCCCTTGAGTACTTACACACTGACCAGCCCCCTCCTGCCTCCTGACTATTGCATACTGGAAACTTCTCCATGATCAGAGAGCAAAAGCTCAATTGCCATGTTTAGTAAAAGGTCTGCAGTAAGTCCAAATCAACTAAAAATAGTCAATTTAGTGGGTACTGACAGACCCTATGCCCCAGACCTAAAGAGTTCACATCAGGAGAGAAGACAGATGTATCCAACTAACTACAAAATAAAAATGAGAGGTGGTAAGTGGTAAATGTATAATCAAATACAATCTAAATACAATCAAACTATTAAGGGAGTACTTCATTCCAAATGGGGCATTGCTCACTAGAAACTTCATGGAGGAGGTGGCACCTAAAATGAACCCTGAGGATTATGTAGGACTTTTAGACAGTGGGTGACTTCCTTCTTGGGCACCTGCTGGGATCAGCCCCATCTGACTGGATGGTGATACTTGCTTTAGCAGACATGACCCAGGGAAAGGCCATTTTTGCCCAGAATTTACACAGGTCACAAAGAGCAGCTGTAGAATGCATAGCCTATTGTGATACCATGAGGGACTAAGTACCAACCCCATGAAGTCCTCAAGCAGGGGCCTTCACCCCTTTCCCAGGACCTTCACGTTCTCCTTTCTTTCTCCAATGGTGATTTACAGATGTGTTTTTCTGTATTTGGGAAAAAGTCTCAGAATTAGCTTAAATGAGCCAGGGACAATGGCTCATGTCTAAATCCCAGAACTTTGGGAGGCCGAGGTGGGTGGATCACTTGGATCCAGGAGTACAGGACCAGCCTGGGCAACATGGTAAAACCCCATCTCTACAAAAAAAAAAAATACAAAAATTAACCAGGCGTGGTGGCGGGTGCCTGTAGTCCCAGCTACTTGGGAGGCTGAGGTAGGAGAATCGCTTGAGCCCAGGAGGCAGAGGCTGCAGTGAGCCGAGATGGCGCCACTGCAGTCCAGCCTGGATGACAGAGCAAGAATCTGTCTCAAAAAAAAAAAAAAAAATAGCTTAAACATTGGAATGTTGTATGGAATATACACATCTAATAGGTTGAATAGAACTTCATTTTGAAAAGTCAATTAAATGTGTGCTAATTTTAGAAAATGTATTGTCTTGCAGCTTGCTTTTTTTTTCTCAGTGAAAGAGACAGAAACAAAGGCCCTTAAATGTGTTTGAAAAGAGGATACAAGATAAGAAACTTTCTTTTATCCTTAAAGGTTTAGAGGCTTTTATTGATATGTTATTAATAATATTAAGATTTTTGGCACTATTCCAACTATTAGCTTTTCATCTCAAAGATACTCACAATGTCAAAACAAATAAAACCTATTAGCTGAATTCGTTTTCTCTCATCTGTGTATCTGCTGTCCTCTATACACTGTGGCTGATAGTAGGCCACGGCATGTATCTCTCAGCCATGCTGTTAGCATTGGGCCTTTGTGTGACTTAGAAACAGAAGCCTCCTCCAGGCAAACTCACCACTTGGTGAGTGGAGAGAAAGCTGACTTTGAGCTGACTTTAGCTTCACACATCTCCTCATCCTGGCACCCTAGTGAAGAAACCACCTGCAAGACAGTGTGTTGGGGTGCTGGGGAAACAGCTCTTTGGGGAGGTATCAGGGGCCTTAGGTTATTAAAGGTAATGCCCAGGTCCAATCTCAGAATGAGAGGCTGTGTTATTCTGCATAACAATGTAAAATGTGTTCCCCGTAGGCAGTTTCCTATTGGCAGAGACAATTATGATATTAGATGGATGTTTCTTTCCCTGGCTATAGAATTTTTAATTTCAGTTACTCGCATTGTCTTCACTCGTGTTATCCCCAGCCCTTAGGAAATCTTCATTAAATGCTATAGTCTGGCATTTGCATGCTTTGGGGGAATGGGGAAAGGGACTGTGTCCGTGCTTGGGATAGGATGTGGGGATAGGGCAGGGAGAAGATGGTGGCTGGGAGAAGCAGCTGAAGGCCTCTAAAGATGGCTGTAGAGAAGCCTGGAGTGCAGCAGAGAGCGGAAATGGTAAGCATCATCTGGAATCATGAGATGCAAAAAAGACCATTCCTCAGGCCACTGCAGAGACAAATGGGAGGAAGACATCAACTAAGGGCTAGAGAGAAAGGGTGGGGACTCAGGGTATTTGAGTATTAAAATGAAGGGTGATTCTGGGAGCTGGAGGCTTGGACTCTCATCAAGGGCTGGAAATCAGGTAGGTAGCAAGGAAAGGAAAGAAAAGTGACTGGGGAGCAGCAATGTCAGAAAAGGGGCGACTCACCTGGACTTAGGGATTGGTATCCTGCCCTGTGGGGAAGCTGAGCCCTCTTGGCCAGCTGGGAGCCTCTGGCCTGTCAAACAAGAGGAGACCACAGAGGGTGCCTGCTGAAGGAGACTGGGCTTAAGGCCTCTTCCCTGGTGCTCCTGAGGAGGGCGACTGAGATCTGAACTTAGGGGCCATGCCCTCTGCGCCCTGGCCTGACTCCCTTTCGGCCTCCTCTCCTACAACTCTACCTCTCGTTGCTCATGGTCCTGGCCACACCTGCCTCCTCTCTACTTCTGGACAGGCCACGCTGGTCCTTGCTCCAGAGATGCATGCTGGCCATCTGCTCTGTGATGGAAATGCACTTCTCAGGCCTCTGCTTGGCTGTCTGCTTCTGGTCAGTCAGGGAAAGTGTCATTTTCTCAGGGCCTTCCCCAGCCACCCAGCACAAAGGAGTGCCCCATCACTGCTGTCACATCTTGCCTTTGTATTTGCATCGTCCAGCTTGTGATGACCTATTTTCTGTTCAACTGTATGCAATTTGCCTGTCTCCCTCCACCAGAATGCAACCTCCACGGCACAGGGGTCCCCACTCACTGCCTTGCTCAACACCTTATTCCCAGTGTTGGGAATAGCATGTGGCATATGGCGGGGCTCAGTAAACACTGGCTGAATGAATGTGTGCATGCTAGAGACCAGGACAACTGAAGATGGTCATGGGAACTGATGATAGATAAGCCAATGGCTGGCTCCTAGGGGTTACAGAAACACTTTGGAGTATCTTCCCAGCTTGTACTGACAGTACCCACTCCTCCCCATAGTGGGCACGCCACCATGCCTGGCTAATTTTTGTTATATTTGTAAAGACGGAGGTCTCAGTATGTCTCCCAGGCTGGTCTAGAACTCCTGAGCTCAAGCAATCCATCCGCCTTAGGCACCCAAAGTGCTGGGATTACAGGCATGAGCCACGGTGCCCGGCCTCATTTTATTCTTTAAAGGAGTTTCAGGGCCGGGCGCGGTGGCTCACACCTGTAATCCCAGCACTTTGGGAGGCCGAGGCAGGGGGATCATCTCAGGTCGGGAGTTCGGGAGCAGCCTGACCAACATGAAGAAACCCCGTCTCTACTAAAAATACAAAATTAGCTGGGCGTGGTGGTGCATGACTGTAATCCCAGCTACTCGGGAGGCTGAGGCAGGAGAATCATTTGAACCCAGGAGGCGGAGGTTGTGGTGAGCCGAGATCGCATCATTGCACTCCAGCCTACGCAACAAGAGCAAAACCTCACCTCATAAAAAGGAGTTTGGGTTAGGTTTTCTGTTCCTAGAAGCCCAAAGCATTCTACTTGACTCAGGGTGTGATAACTGTCCCGTTCAAAGCTCTCTGGGCAACTGGCTCCATTGCTATCTTGTATGGAATTTATGTTCTGCTCTAAGGACCAGTCTCTCTGAAAGGAGTATGGGTAAGGCAAAAATAAAAACAAAAGCACTCTGGAAGGGAAGGGGACGTTCAGAGCTGTCCTAATGGACAGACCAGGAGCAACATGTGGAAACCCCAGTGAGATCATTTTGACCGTATAGAAGCAAAACTTTGTCAAAAATTAGAACTTCTTCAGAGCAGCCTCTCAAGACATTGCACAAGAGGATGAGAGAAGATTGCCTTTGAAATGGCCCCAACTTACGTACCTACACCTCTGTGGGAAAGAAGCAGTGGACAGAGTCAGAGAGCAGCTTTTCTGAGTGAGGAGAACTGCAGGGAACAGAATCAGGAGTGAGAAGGCCTCTGGGAGCCAGGACATTCTTATCTAATACTTGAGGCCAATGTGGCAACAAGCAGAAGTGCTTGTGAGTAGATTTTCTACATGTTAATTACTTAAGATTACTATACTTTTGATTTATTTTACACTTGAATTTGATTTCTTATCATTGTTTGTTTTTCCTCAGTGTGTGTGTGTGTGTGTGTGTGTGTGTGTTTTAAATATAAACCTCTATTAATGCTGTCAGTTCTGTCTTACTTAGTGACCCTTGATTGCTCATTCACATTTTAAAATTAACCACTGGGTATTTTGTGTATTTTTTCTCTGCTTTTGTGTGTGCAGACTAATTTTCTAGCTATCTCTTTCTCTAGAGTTGGAATCCAACCAGCAGCAATGTCAGATTTGTTGTTGTCGGTCATGAGGTACATGCTAGTCCCTTGCAAGGAACAGTTTCAGGCACAGCTGGATCCAGAGGTTCAGACAGTGTCATCAGGACTCATTATCACCTTCTCTACTTCTCAAGTATGCTTTCTTTTGTTTCACTCCATCCCGGAGTGCACTCTATTATTTTGATGGTGAGATAGCAGCCAACAACCCCACATTTGCATCCTCACAGCTTCAAGTCCAGTGGAAAGATGTGACTTTTCCGGATAGTTCCAACAAAATTCCTGGGCCTAAATTGGGTCACACACTCACCCCGAACCAATCCCTGAATGTGATGATTGGGCTTAAGCCTGGGGAGATGCAAAGACATTCCTGGAGCTGAGGATGTGGATGCCTCTACCCAAACCACATGGTTAGAGGGGGAAGAGGGGTGAGTCCTCAAAGGAAAATGTGGTTCTTTTATCTGAAGAGGAGAAGAAAAGCTGCATAAGCAAAGTCATACATTTTCACTTCAGGCCTTTTCAAGCTAAGATAGCGAGGGAAATTATGTTCTGCTTTGGGGGAGTAAAATCTTTGCAAATACAACATTTAGTCTTAACAGAATGCAACATTTAAAAACACATCTGTGGGAAAACCACACAGAACACAGCATGCCTTCTAAAGTAAAAAAGAGTATTCCATTAGCTTTCAGAGTTTTAAAAACAAAGGGCTTTCTGTTAATAAATTTTAGTGCATATTATTCAGTGCATGTCCTATGTCCTACTGGGTTTAGAAATTATGGTTATTTTGAAGCATTTGATTAGGTGGGGAGGAAACATCAGAAGCAAAACAACTGAAAGTACATTAGCAAAAAACCTACATCACAAATCATTTGGGAATGTGAAGTCATAAAGGATGATGAATCGGTGCCAGCAGGATGGAAACAAAAGAATTTTCTTAAAAATTCTAAGGCATTGTTCTAGTTTTAATTGTTAAGTGAGCTGAATAATAACAGCTGAGAAAGAAAAGTCTTTTAAAACCAGCATTACTGTGTGATCCCGACACTGACCATGTCAGAAACTGATTGTGCTCTGACTGGTATAGCTGTGTCTTCAAAGCCGCTTGACCAGCACAGATGTGAGGTTGAGAGGTTTGCTGACATGTGTCGGCATGTGTAAAACTTTTTCCAGGGAGAGGGCAAGAGAAGGAAAAGAAAAGTTAAACTGGAATTCCAGTAGGTTGTGAGATTCATCTTGATGATAAAATAATGAAGAGAGAAAGCCTTTCCTAACAGGTGGAGAGAAGTAAGTCCGCATTTGGACCCAAATAAGCTTGGTAGCTATGTCCAACAGGCAGAGATGGAGGAACACTGTGAGTTTAAATCTGTATTTTGTCAGCTTTTCTTACAATAACAACTCCAAATCTTAGTTGCTTACAACAATACACACTAATTTCTTGCTGATGAGTTTGTGGTTGGCTGCAGCTCTGCCAGACAGGTAGAAATCTACTTCTGCGTCTTCTTGTTCCAGGACCGAGCTGAAGAAGCCCCCGTCTTCCAGCGCATGTTATTCCCATGACAGATGCTAAAAGTTCAAGGGGGTGAGTAGAAACATGTGGAACTGGCATGTTGTCATCCTTTCATATTCTATTGATTGAAGCAAATCCCAGGCCCGAGTCCTAAGTCATTGGAGTCAAGACCCTGACAAGAGTGTGCTGGGGCATATAACCATGAAGAAATAATACCATCTACCTTAATCTGATAGCTCGGCCAGTTATTTGCCTCATGATGTTGGATAAATTAGTTAAGCCTCAGCTTCTTTTATCTGGGGAGACAAAACTGTTTACTTCACAGGGTGAGAGTTAAACTGGGGATGCCTGTACAGCACTGAGCACAGTGGTCTGGATAGAGTAGAAAATGTAACATTGGATTATTATTCATCGGAGGGATCATATTACAGGCAAAGCATGCCTGCTTGGGAGGCGGGCAATGACTGGCATCGGGGAGAAGGCAGACAGGAGTTGAGAAGTTAGCTGGGCACAGGGGAGGGGGTGGTAGTTGGGCAGGCAGGAGAGGGTTTAAGGTGGTGGGAAGAGCAGGGGCCCACCAGACCCAATGCTCACAAACACTGGGGAATGGACGAATAAATGGGTACATGAGGAGAGACAGTTCAGGCCCTCTCTCAAACAACTCTAGGAGAACAGCTGGTCTGAGGATGGCTGTGGCTTTATTTTCTAGGATAGCCTGGTCACCTTGCTTCCTGTGGGTGAAGCAGACTTTGCCCCTTGAGATCAAACCTGGCAGGCTGTGCTTTCCACACCCCCAGTCCAGTTGCTTTTCTTGTCCCTACTGTCATCATATCCTGCCCTGTACTTCCCCTTCTCCAAACCAGCCCCCACTTCCACTGTCTCCAGCCTTCCTCTGGTGCTCCACACCTACCTCCCCTACATCCTTAATCCTTCATGTAAACTTTCTATCCACTTTCTCACTTCAACTGAATCCTGGTTCTCTTTTGAAGTCACAACACTTTCTTTGTAGCACTCTCAAGAGGCCACTTAGTCCCTCACATTCCATGCATCTATGCACCTCAGGGTGGCCTGGCAAGGTTGTCGCTTTTGCTCCATTTTTTTTTTTTTTTTTTTTTTTTTTTTGAGGTGGAGTCTCACTCTGTTGCCCAGGCTGGCTCACTGCAACTGTTGCCTCCTGGGTTCAAGCAATTCTCGTGCCTCAGCCTCCTGAGTAGCTGGGATTATAGGCATCCACCACCATGCCCGGTTAATTTTTGTATTTTTAGTAGAGACAGGGTTTTGCCATGTTGTCTAGGCTGGTCTCAAACTCCTGATTTCAAGTGATCCGCCCACCTTGGCCTCCCAAAGCGCTGGGATTACAGGTGTGAGCCACCATGCCTGACCTCTTTTGCTCCTTGATGCCTTTGCTCCTCCACTTTCTTATAACCCTCTGAGTCTTGGCTTCTCCTCCCTGGTTCCATCAGCAACACCCTTGGCCACCCTCCTTCATTCTGTGAAGACTAAGCCCCTGCTGCTCCCAGTTTTCCTTTCCACCTCAAGCCCTGAATCTGCCCCACCCCAGTCAACTGGGCCTGGCAGCCTTCTCATCCTTAGTGATGACCCATCCACCGTGAAGCCACGACTGAAAAGAGGGGTTCAGGTCTCTGGGGAAGCTGTAGAGACCCTGCCCCTCACTCATTGGGCCCTGCTAAAGAATGACGTTTGAAGGCCTATGAAAAGTGAGTTATTTTAAGATAATTCTTTTTGCTCTGTAGAGCAGGTTTTGCCACTTTTTCAAACTATTTCAGTATGTCTGGAAAACAGAACCACACACCACACAACATCGGAGATGCAGGGGGCACAGTTGCCATTTTCAGCGTAGATTGACGTGCATAATCGCAGCATGAAATTGCAATCAATAAAGCACAGTCATCTTGCTAAAGCGGCACACTCACAGCAGATGCTGTCTTCCTTGGAACAGGAGGTGTGTGCTGCTACCCCGTTCCGCCTTGAGGCGAGCCGCAGCAGGGATTTGGAGCCCTGAACGGAGAAGATGTGCATGAGGTGTCTGTGTCCACACTGCTTTTAGCAGGCGCCATCAAAGGCAATGATGTTTTCCCCAAGTCTCAAGCCAGATCCCTGCACCTGAGTGTGGCGCCCTCTCACTGTAAAGGCTGCATTCAGAATAAATCCCAGATAGAACCAGATGGCTCTGAAGCCCTTCGGAGAGAAGGCCTCCCCATTTCTCCTCAGTTTCACAAAGTCACTAGACTGTCTCAACAATATTTAGGATATTTGTGAAATATCCCAAAGTTCACGGGACCCCGAGCCCCATGGCTATTCTCTCCTTGCAGACTGTCAAGGCTTTGCTTAAAGCCCCTACAGAGAGGCAGAGCTCATGCTGTTAGGCAAAACATGAGATGCTGTTGGTGAGGGTGTTTTTCATTCAGCTTTTTCGAGTGTAGACATTTGAACGTGCAATCTTCTGAAACCATACAATGACTGTCAATGAAGGATCCCTAATTTCTGAGTCAGGAAGGAATTTGCACACTTCATGCTGAGCAAATGAGAAGCTGAACCCACCCTCTTGCTCTCATTCAGCCAACACTGGGCACCTAGTTGTACGCTGGGGCCTACACAATGGCCTCAGGATTCAGAGATGAATGAGATACAGTATCTGTTCTCAGGGAACTCATAGTTGATTCAGGAAAACCAACACAAAATTACAAAATAGCATTATGGGAGCTATCACAAAGATATATATACAGAGAAAAGGTTATCTGTATGGCCTCAGGATTCAGAGATGAATGAGATACAGTATCTGTTCTCAGGGAACTCATAGTTGATTCAGTAAAACCAACACAAAATTACAAAATAGGATTGTGGGAGCTATCACAAAGATATATATACAGAGAAAAGTTTATCTGTATGTTGAGTTCGAAGGAAGTGAATGTTTGTGAGGGAGCTTTGTGTAGCTATCGCAGACAAAGAGAACAGCATGAGCAAAAGCAAAGTGGCACCACAGAGCAGTGTTGCCAGGGTACTAGAAGTGGCCTGTGTGCTGGGGCCGGGGCATAAAATGTTCAAAAGCAGTGATGGGCTGTGCCTCCAGATAGAGAGGGGTCAGGTTGTGAAGGCCTCTGTGTGCCCTCTAAGGAACTTGGGTTCTAACCTATAAAAGGAAGCCACGGAGAGCCAGAGAGAAAGATGGAGAATTGGGGTGAGGTACCAGGGTGAGTCATGAAGGGGGCAGGCAGT
The DNA here is from genome assembly GCF_000001405.40 of Homo sapiens. NCBI lineage: Eukaryota > Metazoa > Chordata > Mammalia > Primates > Hominidae > Homo > Homo sapiens. The sequence goes on along the minus strand of NC_000011.10, from coordinate 7,447,207 downwards.
TCCCTGAGGTATTCACTATGGTACAGGAAGGTGGCCACATCTGTCCCTGCTCAGAGAATCAGCGATATGAGGGCAAGATTGATCAGACCCCGAATCAGACACTTCCAGAACATTGGAAAGCTTTAGTGGTGCATCAGACAGAGTGACCTCACCAGCTCTGCAGACACACACACTTCCATGTTGCCAAACTGCAAATAGTGAAGCAAAAGGGCACCAGGATGTATGCCTCTGGGCCCTGAGGTGGACAGCCCTGGCGATGCTGATGTGTCCCATGCTTCTCTCCCAAGCTCCCCTCAGGGATTGGGTCCTCACTGCCCAGTGGATCATTCATGATTCAGCAGTGATTGCAGGAGGCCTGCGGAGCTGACCAGGGACCAAAGTGGGCTCACAGACAGAAAGGGCAGGGCAGGAACCACCTACCCACATTCTCCAGGAGGAGGGGAGGAGAAGCAAGGAGAAATGAGGGTATTGGTCTTCCGCCTCTGGAGAGGGAGCTTGTGGGCATCCCCTCCTGCTTCCCCTTGAGGGAATCAAGGCAGAGAGGCTGGGGGGGATGGCCAGGGAGGGCTTTTTCTTCCCTTGCTCTGGGAAGTGCTAGGATCTACGTTCCTAAAAGACCATCCTGTGGTACCTGTGGTATACCACATGCTAATGTTTGGGATCAGGAAGTTGTCATGTTGTCACTGGCTCTGGAGATCACTGGACAGGAGGACCAGCCCAAGAGTAAGCCCTCCTGAGAGTTCTCAAAGCAGGAGAATCAGTGTTTCTGGCCAAGACTCCATAAACCTCATGAAGCCTGGTTTCTCCTTTAATAATAATGATACTAATAATAGCTAATATCCATTGAGCACACATTAGGTACTAGGCACTCTTGTAAGTGTTCTGCATTTATTAACTTATTTAATTCTTACAACTCTCAGAGGAGGTTAAAAATTAATCTTCACTGTACAGTCCTTCCAACGATAACCATGATTATCCTTGAACATAGAGACTTGATATTCCAGCTCCATGATTTCAGCAGTTGGGAGCTTTTCATTTCCTTTGCAGCCCTTGGCTCGGTGATAGGCACAACTATAAGGTCAAGTGGGTGTTTTTCAGGCAAGTCTGCCACGTGGACTTGATGCTGTGCCTGGGGCTGGTTCCCAGCTTGGGGCTCCCACATAGACGCGGCTTATGCCAGGGCAAAAGCCAGCCTTGTGACCAGTTCTATGCCAGCTACAAGAGCTGGGCTTTTTAGTAACTTCAGCACAGGAGCCACGTACCGTGTACAGTAGGGTAGGATTGTCTGAGCCCAAACACTGGCCAGAGGACTAGTGCAGCCATCTGGAAGAGTCAGCTCACAAAGAGGAGACTTCCTCAGGGCCCCACTGTATAGACAGTGCCTCTGGGATTCCAGTGTTAGGAACAGTCTGAAGAGGATTCAGCCCAAGACTCCTGTCTATTAGAAAAATTGCCTCCCTGGCTGAAAGAGGCCAGGAAGCAGTTGCATCCCTGTGGGCCGTCTTCCCAGATGCTGCTTTGTGTGGTGTAGAAAAAAACAAAAAGTGACTTAGGTCAGAAACTTGAGGCATGACTATATCCCACCGTCAGCCAGCGAAAGCCCATGAGAAAGAGAGAAAAGGATGGTTGGAAGTGTAGGAGGAGAACAGGCATATTCAGGGTACCAGCAGTGCAGCAAGGTTTTTGGAGGAGCACCAGGCTGGAGCCATGAGAGGGTAGGGTCAGGGAGGAGGGGTACAGAGGGGGACTGCAGTCAGAGGTTCCCAGGCGACCATCCCCAAGGGAAGTCAAGGTCAGAGAGAGCAGAGAGCAGCCGTGGAGTCCAAGGCTGGACAGTGAAGCCCAGGGGCAGTCCCAGCCCATGCCACATATGCTTTCAGAGGCCCTGGTTCCCGCTGAAGCACATTTTTGGACATTTGATTTCTCCCTTCTGCCTCTCTCCTTTTCTTGTACATACATGTATGTTGAATAATATCAATTATCAAAGTTTACCTAGCATCCATTAAGTTCCAGATGCTGTGTTAAACATGTTACATTCATTTTTTCATTTAAGTCTCACACAGCTCTGTGAGGTAGGATCTATTGTTGTGTTGCTAAAGAGTGGAATAACCTGAGGTTTAGAGGAATTTAGAAACTTGCTCAAGGACACACAACTCAAAAATGGCAAAGCCAGAAAGTGAAGCCAGCTCCAGCACTCATGCTTTTAAATACCACACTCTCTCCTGGGTTCCCAAAGTGAAAAGACCCCATCCTGACTTTGATAAGTGGATGACAGCCCAGGGCCCTAGCAGAATCCCAGCAGGGGAAGACTCTCCTGGAAGCTCCTTGGCAAAACAAGCCACCCTCTTGTCTGTCTCCAGCCACTGACCTCTAAGTCCCAGTGCTAATCCTGCTTTGGAAAATCACAAACTCCATGGGAGATCAAAGGCAAAGTCCCAGCTCCCGCCTATCAATCCATTCCTGCTTGGCCCTTTATGTGGTGCAGGCCCCCAGGGAGGCAGCAACCACAAGCCAGGAGATACTCTCGGCTCTGCTTTCATAGAGAAAGCCTCCATTGGCTATGGAAATTGGGCAATTTTTCACTTAAAACCATCTGAAAACAAACTTCAGTGCCTTCAAAATTATATATTCACAGAACATTTCTAGACTCTGGAATAGGATTAGATGGTAATGATTTAATTGATGGTTAAGTGTGTAGATAAAATGAATATGCTGAATTCTTTCCGTAATTATCTCTCCAAGGAGCCCCAGCAGCTGTAATTACTGTCTGAGGCCAAAATTATAAACCAGCTGTAGTTTTAAGCAAAATACATTGCAGCCTCCACTGGATCATTGAAGAAAAGTCGGTCACGACCAGCACAGAGGCCCACTAGGACCCATCAAAAAGGGAGCACAGCCCTTGAAGAAGTTCATTCCCAAACCTCAGGGAATATGTTCTGGCAGCATTGTTCTACATCCTGGTGCCTCACTGTCACTGCACGCTGCTCTCTCCTTGCAGCTGGAAACCCTTCTTCCTCCCCTAGGAAGATTTCTCAGACCTGTCAGTTCATACTGATCTCTCACCCTGAGGATTAGAGAGCAGGCTGAGCAAAAAGAGGCACTATTAAATCTCAGCCCAGGGAGGATGGAGGAGCCCTCATCGACCTGCAGGTAGACTGGCAGTCTCACTACAACTCAGAGTCTGTACCCTTTTTGTAGCCAATAGGCCAAATTAGGTTCTAAATCTACTTCTATAGTAACTGGAATGTTACTTCTATAGTAAACTGGAATGGCTGCTTCCACTGATCAAATGAATCCAATCATGACCAAATTCTCTATAGAAGCTAAGCTCTTGCCTGAATAGTTATGCAAAATCCATGCATTCATTCAACAACCGTCACAGAATTATGGAGTACCTCCTATGTGCCAGGTACTATGTGAAGGATTGGGTATACAATGGCAAATAGAGCAGATATGGCTCCTGCACTATTGGACTGTGGCTCTTGAATTATCCTTCACTTGACTTGGAACCTGCCAACAGTCCTGTCTGGGACATTAGGATCTGCATCTGGAGATGAGGTGGTGGGTAGAAGAGAGTTTCAGGATGAAGTGGGCATGCTGAAGGTGAAGAACGGAGCACATGAGCTGCTGATTTCAGCTGAGCTGGCTGGAGACACTGGCCTTGGCTCCCAGGAGCCTTGTCTGCTGCGCAGCCTCTTTCATGCATTCAGCACTTCCTGAGGTGCCTACCATGTGCACGGGCTGTGCTCTCTGTGGTTCACTCCTTCTACCCCCTAAAACATGGACCCCATGCCCTATCCTTGCTGTGTGGAGCTCTTGCTAGGTATGACTAAGACAGAATACAGTACCAGGTAACACCATAACTGTTATTAAACAATCTAATTATTTTCTTATGTCTATTTCCTCAGCCAGATTGTAAATTCTGTGGGGGATGGGACCAGCATTTCCCCATTATACCTCAGTGCCAGGTAGGGTGCTTTGCACTTGCTCAGAAATATTCGGTTTAAAATAAATTCTCCAACTCCACTTCCAAAGGGGAGGCCAGGGGATTCCTTTTCAGGTGAACATGTTAGGCAGTCGGGTCTGCAGAACAATGAGCAAATCTAGACTTCCACAAGGGCACACCAGAATCCACTCATTCCCATTCAAAAAGTCCTCTCTCTCATTCTCATTCCTTCTTTCATTCTCATTCTCATTCATTCATTATCTCTCTCTCTCTCTGCTTTTCTCCCTCTCTCTCATTTTCCTCACTAGACTGTGTACTCCTGGAAGGCAGGCGCCATGTGTTTTTATCACTGAATCCTCAGTGTCTGGACATCGCGTGGTACACAGGGCCCCTAAATACTTTTTTTTTGAATGGATGTATCAATGAACCCATCAGAGTCCTGAAGAGTTACCTGCAGTGATGTCAATGGCCAGGGGAGGGCAGCAAAGGGCAGCAGAGCTGATGGCAGAGGCCCTAGGAAAGGCCTACTGCTCTTTGAGAGACAGATGCTTGTCATTGGGTCAAGGAACCCATTACCCATGTGAGTATTTGGAGATATTGAGAGCCCCAGGACTGGAGAAAACGGCTGACAGGAATCCAGAGAAGCCCAGTGTCATAAAGGAGGGGGACCAATTTGAGTGGGGAGCTGCAGAAGTGGGTGCCCAGTGCTGGGGGTGAAGGTGTGTGGAAAGAGGAGCTGAAATCCCGATTCCCAGCAAGATAGTCTAGAGTCACAGTGTTGGCAGCACGAGTCCTGTGCTGAGCTCTCTGGGACTCCAAACATGCCTGAAGGGCTTTGCCTCTCTGGTTCTTGAAATGACAAGTGTTCCGAAAGACGGGTCTGACACCATCCTCCACCCTGGTTTGCGCTGCAGAAGAGTGGGAGGAGAGAGCCAAAAGCAGGCCACAGCTGTATGTGTGTGGAGACGTGTTCTCCAGCCCCTCTTCGAGTCCCACCACAGGGGTGGGAAATGGCAGCGTTGGGTCTGTAGAGGAAAAGCTCCTCCCCTCAGCCATTTTCACTGAGAGCAGAGCGTTGATGGCATGTGCAGAGACATGGCAGGAGGCGGTGGGGTTCCTGGGATCATCTCTTATCTGGAGAGTTTCTCAGTGGGCGCTGCTGGTCTGGCAAGCTTTGAGATTCAGATTTCGTTTGCTGCCCTGTGGTGTCTGTGCTGGCTTGAGCTTTTTGGAATAGGCTACAAAATGGTTTGCTCCCAGGAGGTGGATAATGGAGTGCAGAGTTGTCATGAGAAGAAACAGGGTGCCTGTGGGGGAGAGTCATAGCTGGAAGGTTGGCTGGGTATTGCCAGGGGAGAAGGGGATGGTGTTTTTCTTGGTGTCCCAGAAGAAGGGATCCATCTCCAGGGCTGAACCTGTTGGGCCCACACAGTCCCATTCCTTTTGCCAGTGACTGCTTCAAAAATTGGCATACTTCTGGCCATGATGTGTAAGGAGCCAGTTTGCTGGGCACTTGAATAATTTTTTCCTTGCTCTTAACAGAGAGCTACAAGAAGTGCGTTTTCCTGTGGCTACTTTCATGTCTGGATGCAATGCCTAGACCTGCATCCATCTTGCGACCAACCTGAAGATGAACAGAAAGGAAGGAAGGATGGCCCAATAGCCTGGGAAGAACTGGTGTTCCTGATACCATCATTAACCACAGAATCTACAATCCCGGAACCCCCCATCCTTAACCATGGAATCTACAATCCTATCTCTAGACCCTTTGTCCAGATGCTACAGTTTCTTTGTTCAATCTAGTTTGTGTCAGGATTTCTGTTCATTACATCAAAAGTATTCTAATACTTGTAGCAAAGCAACTGGAGAAGTTTTCACTTTGTCTTTAACCAAAGAAGACTTCCAGGAAACATCTCCTCAGTGGGTTTCTCCCTCACCACTGGATTTTTATCTCTGTACTAGTGCTTTGATTTGTTTTAGGAGTCTCACCTCTCCACCTGTCATATTTCCCTGGCAGGCTCATTTCTGCTAATGCCCACAATATGTGTATCAATGAGCTTTCAACGTTAGGTACACAGCTCTTCAGGCATGTATAGCACATTAATCTGTCTGCTTCTAAGTGGTCTGTTGACATGTTTGGGTGCCAGTTATATCTACAAGGCTGTGATCATTGTCCTGGGTTATTCTGTTTGTTCTCTCTGCAGGATGCATTAGGACACCCAAGGCCATGGCCATCACTTACATCTAGGATTCAATCTTATCTCCTGTGAATCACTGGAAACCTCCTGTCCTGGAACCCTTTTTTTCCACATCCCACTGGATGTCATTCATAGCAACTGGTCTTGTGGGTTGTCTATTTTATTGTGTTGTCTTACTCTTCCTCCTGGTATCAGTTTTTAAATCCTCTTGATGAGATCAGCTGATCAGTCGCTAAGCAACATAGTCCCCCATGTCTTTGTAAGATTCTCTGCACTCATGGCTAGAATGATTTATTCTGGTATCTTAAGCTGTGTTTCAGAACCTCATTCTAAATATCAACCTATTCTTGTAAGTCCACTACTGATCATCTTTAGATATTCTTCAGTCTTCCAGAGTTCCAAAGGGCAGTAGGAAGAAGCAATGAAAATACCACCTGTATTCTCACATCTTTCATTGTTCCACTCAAAAAATACCACCATGTTCACTTCTGGTGGAACGTTTATGTCCATGAGAAGCAGTGGCTTTGAAGAGTTTTGGCAGACTATGGCGCCTTACTCAACATTGGGAAGGTATCTTGCCATCAGACCTTTTGGGTCTCCATGAAACTTCTTATACCCCCTCTGGGAAAAGTCACTAACTGTGATCTTACTGAGCTTCTAAACACAGCATTTTTTTTACACTTAAGTGAGCGGGGGTCCTCCTCATTTGTGCTTCTCTTCTTGTAAGGGTGACTTCCTCCCAGTAGGATGAATCTCATGCCTATTTGTGTTATTTTGCTAATTCCAGCTTCTTTTCTACTCAGGGGGGTTCCAACTCTTTTAAGGTCTCATCTTCAGCACTTCTAAACTGTGGGAAACTATGTGAAAACAAATGGAGTGGCCAAACACACCATTCATCACTGTGCTTCTGGACAGCTGCAAGTCCATACGTGTTCTGGTGAGTCTTCAGGTTGTACGGGAACAGAGGCTGAATCAAGGCAGTTCAGTGAGAGTCTAGATGGGAGTGCTTATGGTGTTCTATAATAAAGTACTTATGGAACAATAATAGAAATGGATTCTTAGAGAAGCCCAAGAGAAGGAACTATGATTGCCTCATTTCCCTGACATTTCTAAGTTTGGTGGCATAATCTAATTGACCCAACCCACCTTGGGGTGCCAGGCCATGTCATAAGTCACTGGACAGCCCATAAACAGCTTTCTGGGAGCATGTCCCCATCTTGATCCAATCACCTGTGGCCAGGACATTTTACAAACCTCGGTGGTTAGGGCTGCTTGTTCAACAGATATTAGGGGTGAAGTTGTACATGCATGCAGGGGAGGCTGAGATGGTAGGCACCGTGAATAACATGTTCCAGGGTGGGCTCTGCCTCTTGTCTGCTCTGTAACATACCCCTGCTTCCTTGTCCTGACCTCTCATTTGCTAAAGTCTGATTTCCAGCTTTGAAGTCTCTGCTCAATCTCTCCAGCCTTCTGCTCATGTCTTCACCTCCTACCTTGCAGCCTGTCTTTTGACTTGATGTTGCTTGACTGCAATTCCTGTGACTTGGCCTTGGGGTCCACTCCCATGAAATGCTTCTCTGGCAGCCTTGGCAGGTGTGTCCCAGTGTTCCTGAGTTCCAGTGTTCCTGGCTGTGTCCTTGCACCAGAGCAGGCTGCTTGAGATTAGACACGCTCCTCCCTCCTATCAGTCCACCTTGGCTCTGACACTTTCCTCAGCCTCCTTTTCTTTGTCTGCTGGAGCACAGCAAAGTTTCCCAGAAGGTTTAAATTTACATTCTTGGTCAAGGTCTCACACCATCATGACACTGAAGCAGATAGAGTGACTTCCTTCTCTTCTAAGCTGTGTGCATGCCTCCATGCCCCTACTAGTTTGTATAATTCCAGTTTCTATAATTTCTTCCATTCTTTCCTGAAACTTTGTGCTTTCTGTTAAAGTAGGTTTTTAGGGATATTTTTCAGGTCGGTTCATCCCTCTGAATGTCTTGGGTTTGTCTGATTGAAGCCAAATGGACACAGTGAGTGTTTCCTTTCTGAGTGGAGGGAGGTGGCTCTTGCATCACCTTTGGGTCCTTTAGAGCTTTAGAGTAAATGCTCAAAGACTGCCCACAGCTGGATTTGCTGGCTGTGAATTAGATCTGGGAGGAGAGGACTTAGCAGGAAAAAGCTTCTGTATCTAATGCTGAAATCAGAGATGAAGTCTGAACAGAAGTGCGACATCCAAGAGTCAGGGGCGGGATGTAGGAGGTGCATGGGATGACAGGGGCGGGGCTCTGATCTGAGAAGGGCAGTTTCAATGTGCACAGCAGAGCACTGGGGAGGGGATGTGTTGTTCCATACAAGCTGATGGAAGTTGATAGAAGAATAGGAACAAGGCTTGGATGGTGGCAAAAGACCTACCTGCACCAATGTGAAAAAAGGGGCCCTTTCAAGGCTGAGCCAGGTTGGAAGAGGGCAGAGCTGCTTCCAGGACACCAGAGAGTGCAGCAAGTATGCAGAGAAAACCTGGGCACCAAGAGACCTGGGAGAGAGGAGGCAGATGGGTGGGCCAAAGTTCTGGTAGTTGGGAAAGGTGATAGAAAGCACTGCATTAATGCTGGGTCCTCTGCCCTTGTACTAAGAGCAGCACATGGCTGCCTCTGAATCCTGCCCATGGAGTAACATTTGCTTCCATATGCCACAAAGATGAGATGGGGCCCTGATGTGCCTGTTATAGGAGGGCAGAGCATCCTGTGTGCTCTGTGAGAAGAGCTGGGCCACGTATCTCCAGGTCAAAGCCCGCACAGCAGTTATCCCCTCCCTCTCTTGTATCTTCAACCTTTCCTTTCCTATTGGGAAGGATTTCCGTATTTCCAAGAGCCTGCTCAAGTGGGGTCAGCATGTGTCTCTGGTCACCACCCTCTCCCCTGTGGAAGGCTGACAACTCTCCCATCTATACAAAATTTGAAACCACCAATTATATGATTGACACTATTACACTGGAACAATTTCCTGTCAGACTCCCCCACCAGACTCTTTACAGGCCGGTGCTTCATCTACATCTCTCTGTCCACAGCACTTGGTGTAGTATTCGCAACCTAGCAGGAATGAAAGAGTCCGTGTGGAGTCAAGCACCTCAGGGAACCCCTTGAAAGCAGTGACACATACCTCCAACAAGAATTGCCTCTTCCTTCCTTCTGTGGCTTTGCACAGCATTTTTCTTTAATTATAAACACAGTTGGTCTCTCTATGCTGTTTAGGCTAAGCACAGCACAGCTTCAAACTGGAAGGTTAAATATTTGTGGTAAAAATAACTTATTTGTGCCCATGCAAATGTGGCAACACAAACTCAGGCATGTAGTGTTCTATGCAGAGAAGCTAAAACCAAGGAATGACATTAATTTCCGGTGAAAATATGTGATGACAATCTTAGAATTCTGGCTTTTCAGAAAAAAAAAAAATCACTCTAGAGGGTCCTAAAAATATGGGCAGTTGGTGATGAGTCCATATTCCTTCTTATCACTCCCACACTGGATCCAAATACAGTGGTCGTTTTCAAAGTGCATATCACACAGTGTTTATTGAATCCATAATGGGCAGTGGCCCATTATGGGTTTGTGAAATTAATTTAATGATTGTGACCAGTAGTCTATTTTTAATGAAAAAAAATTAAAAAGTGCATCACGTTATGTTTATTAATTTCGTGAAACTTTTGTTTCAGTTTTATATCTATGTCCATGTCATGACTGAAATGTATATCTAAATGTGAATCAATGCCAAGAACATTTGTGGCACACTGCTCCCTTCCATGTAGAACTGGGGACTTATTGAAATACTGTGCTACACCTTACATTCTTAACACTAAAGTCTTTGTGAAGCACTGGAAATTCCAAGAGCCAGAGAAATGAGAAACTTAGGCTATCTCTGGAAAAGTTATCCTTATTTAAGCACTACAATAGAACAATAAAAAATAAGCTACTGGAAAGCCTGGGTAGAGTTACAGTTTCCCAGAATCTTAATTGGCTGCAGAAAGGAAACAAACACTTGTCCAGCGTCTTTCACTGCTTTCACCAGATATTATGCTAGGTGCTTTCAGGTATGTTGTATCATTTAATCATCCTCACACAGTTATCTAAAACTAGCTACTGATATCCCCATTTTACAGAAGAGGAAATGAATCCTCAGAGAGATGAGATAATTTGCTCAAGCTCAGCAGCTCGAAGTGGCTGAGCTGTAATTAGGTTCCTCTTCCTGTTAGACACTAGTAACAACAGCACAGCTGAGGTCGTCCACCAGGAAGTTGAGCTGGGTCACGTCTTCCTCTTTGATTAAATGATTTTGCTCTCCTCAATTTGTCTGCTTCGATCACAGTAGCTCTTGCATTTATCTGTTTTAGACCTTCAACTTTCAAATTAGATTTGACTTCATCAAAGAATTTGGCCAAAAACAAACAAACAAACAAACAAAAAAACCAACTGGACACCACTGTATTAAACAAGTAATTTAAGTCTTTGTGTGTATGCTTAAGTTTGCTAAGAGCTCTTACATTTGTACATATACATGCATATAAACAGCATATTACAAATAATCTAGAAACATATAGGAGCACCATGGACCCTCAGTCTGAGATCCGACTAAGCAACTTCTCATTTTACAATTCAAATGCAAATCCATGTTAATCCTACTGAAGATACTGTCCCCACTTTCCCTCCCTCCAAGGCCACCAAATTCCTTTCCCTGTGGCTGGCTGCTGCACCAACACTTCTCTCCCTTTTCCTAACCTGCTCTTTCTTCAGTTTCTTTACTGCCTGGAAGGAACCTTATAGGTAACCTACTATCCTACCCACCTCAATAGCAAGCATGTCCTGCTCAGCAGCACAGAGCCTTAAAAACAGAGGCCACCTAATGTTCTCTTAGCATGGAGTGGATAGTGATGGTGGAAGGGCTCAGTCCTTAAATTCCAAGCCCTCCTCTCTAAAATTGGAATGGGTGAAGTCCTGAATCTGGCCCAGATCTGTTTCTCCTATAATAGTCCTGGCTCACCATTATTCCCTGTCTCATGGAGTTCTCTTCTGGTCTTTTCAGCTGATTTTTTTTTTTCTTTTTCTAGATGAAGTCTGGCTCTGTTGCCCAGGCTGGAGTGCAATGGCACAGTCTCGGCTCACTGCAACCTCTGCCTCCTGGGTTCATGCAATTCTCCTGCCTCAGCTTCCCAAGTAGCTGGGATTACAGACATGCACCACCATGCCCAGCTAATTTTTGTATTTTTAGTACAAACAGGGTTTCACTATGTTAGTCGGGCTGATCTTGAACTCCTGACCTCAAGTGATCCACTCCCCGCAGCCTCCCAAAGTGCTGGGATTACAGGCGTGAGCCACTGCGCCCGGCCTTTCAGCTGATTTTCTAATCAAGAAGTTATATCAGTCTTTGTCTGCAGTTGCTCAAAGACTCTCTTTTAAAGTGCAGAGACTATCCACCTCAGCTATAGCACAGGGCTCAGCACTGTATTTCCAGTTATGGAATACAGTTATTTCATATATGTTATATTATTCTTAATTCTGTCCCTAGTTCCTGCTACTGAGGAAGTCCATACTCAGCAGGACAGTCTCCTGGTCTGCCATGAATTCAAACACAATCTGTAAAGACAGTGAAGGAAGCTACATCTGTGCATGGGGGCTTTAGAGAATTATTGGCTTGAAGCAATAAGAGGAACATCTGGGCTGAGTAGTCCTCGAAGACTCTCATGTGATTCAAAAGTCCTTTTCTTCCTTATTATTTCCTATCTTGCTCTCAAGCATCTCCTCTGGCAGCAGCAACTGGAACTAAAAGTGATTTCTCTATAACAGCGAGCAAGTTTCTCATGGCCTTTGCTATTAACTCTTTCATGCCTGCTGACCTGCAAAAGAATCAGGAGGGCTGGTGCTGGAGCAGATGGCGCACTGTGAGTGATGGTTTAGATTCTGCCTGGACTCAAACCATTTGGTTGATGGCGGGAACCTTGATTTTCCCCCTTCTTATCCTGAGAGTGTAGGGTTTCTCTGAATTATTATTTCTTTCTTTGCAAGGATCCCTGGATCCTCATTCCTGATATAAGACTAGTTCTAGGTAAGTGCACATTCATGTGATATATTGGTTCCATACTAGGCAATGGAAGTGCCACATTATCTGTAAGGAGCAGGAGAAGAGCCATTAGCCCCAGTCCTGGGAACGAACTTTCTGTAACTTTAAGAAACATAAAACTTTAAATGCAACTGAAAGATTATATTCTGTCACCTCCAACTACTCACCCATAAATACAATAGGCACCACGGAGGCTAGGATAAAGTGCAAATTTAAGATTATAAGTGTGCTTATAATAAATATTGACAACATCATGCCTTCAATGTTATCAATGTTGATGTCACCCTGCAGGCCCAAGGTAGAGAGGTAGAACTGCTCCGCTGGCTGCCCTGCCATACTTTGGGGTCATGTGATACGATCTTCCATAGCCACGGGGCCTTGGTTGTCAACTCATTCCTGAACTTTGTGTGCCAAAGTGAGTCCAGCTTCCACACCCTTCACCTCCACCACCAGGCTGATCCAGACTGCCAGGCTACGATCCTCCAAGCAGGATCCTACCTTGATCTTAAAAACTTCCTATGAAGAGCTCTACCATCATGTTTTCTAAAACCAGAAGCCCACCCTAATCCCTGCCTGGCTTTTGGTTCCTTCATTAGAGGCAATCACTGCCATAGAGAGCCCCACTCACTATCCCTCCATAGACGCCTTAGAACTAGGTTGGGAGCACGAGATGCTCAGCCTTTATATTTTGTTATCTTGAACCACATGGGAGTCTTTGAGGACTACCCAGCCCAGACATTTCTCTTATTACTGCAAGCCGATAATTCTCTAAAGCACCTAAGCACAGACGTAGCTTCCTTCACTGTCTTTACAGATTGTGTTTGAATTCATGGCACAGCAGAAGACTGTCCTGCTGTGTATGGAGTTCCTCAGTAGCAGGAACTAGGGACAGAATTGAGAATAGCACTAACACCAGAAATACAGTGCTGAGCCCTGTGCTGTAGCTGAGGTGGATGGTCTCTGACTCTGTGGGCCTCTCTGCAGCCAGTCCAATTCCTGTCTTTCTCTTGTGAATAAATGTTGCTGGCTCCAACTCAGCCTTATTTTTTGATGTGATTCTGACTCCAGTCATTAAGGGGGATGTCTTAGTCCTTTTGGGCTACTATAACAAAATATCTTAGATTGGATAATTTATAAATGACAGAAATTTATTGCTCACAGTCCTTGAGGCTGGAAAGTCCAAGATAAGGTGCTAGCTGATTTGGTGTCTGGTGAGTGCTAGCTCTCTGCCTCATGGATGGGGCCATCATTCTGTGTCCTCGTATGGTAGAAGGGGCAAACAAGTTTCCTTGGGCCTCTTTTATAAGGGCACTAATCCCATTCATGAAGGCAGAGCCCTCATAACCTAATTGTTTCCCATCTCTTAATACCAGCACATTGGGGATTAGGTTTCAACATATGAATTTTGGGAGGATGCAAGCACTCAGACCATAGCAGAGAGAGAATGCAGATAAAGCCCCAGCAAAAAGCACACGCAGATGTGGATGTATTTGGATCCACTTCTCCGTTCCCATTTCCAGGACTTCATTAAGCATTAATAACAGGAAGAAAAATTCAGAATGTTCATATTTTAAAATTTATAGTCAATCTTAATCCCTTTGGATGGTATTTACTTTCTTGATTGGTGTATTAGTCCATTCTTGCATTGGTATAAAGAAATATCCAAGACTGGATAATTTATAAAGAAAAGCAGATTAATTGGTTCACAGTTCTGCAGGCTATACAGGAAGCATGGCACTGACATCTGCTTGGCTTCTGGGGAGGTCTCAGGAAGCTTTTACTTATGGCAGAAGGCAAATAGGGAGCCAGTGTGGCAAATGGCAGAGCAGGAGCAAGGGGGGTGGAGGTGCCACACACTTTAAACCAGATCTTGCAAGAACTCCCTCACTAGCATGAGGGTAGCACCAAGCCATGAGGGATATTATCCAAACACTTCTCACCAGGTCCTGCCTCCAACATTAGGGTTCACAATTCAACATGAGATTTGGGCAGGGACAAATATTTAAACTATATAATTCCACCCCAGCCCCTCCCAAATCTCATGTTCTTCCCATATTGCAAAATACAACCATGTGTTCCCAATAATCCCCCAAAGTCTTAGGTCATTCCAGCATTAATTCAGAAGTTCAAAGTCCAAAGTCTCATCTGAGACAAGGTAAGTGCCTTCTACCCATGAGCCTGTAATATAAAAAATCAAGTCATTTACTTCTAAGATACAATAGAGGTACAAGCATTGGATAAACATTCCCACTCCAAAAGGGAGAAATTGACCAAAAGAAAGGGGCTAGAGGCTCCATGCAAGTTTTAAACCCTGCAGGGCAGTCATTAAATATATATATATATATATATATATATATATATATATATATATATATGTATATATATTTTTTTTTTTTTTTTTTTTTTTTTTTTTTTTTTTTGAGATGGAGTCTCACTCTTGTTGCCCAGGGTGGAGTGCAATGGCACAATCTCAGCTCACTGCAGCCTCTGCCTCCCACGTTCAAGCTATTCTCCTGCCTCAGCCTCCCGAGTAGCTGGGATTGAAGGCACCTGCCACCATGCCCAGCTAATTTTTGTATTTTTAGTAGAGACAGGGTTTCACCATGTTGTCCAGGCTGGTCTCGAACTCCTGACCTCAACTGATCCACCTGCCTTGGCCTCCCAAAGTGCTGGGATTACAGGCGTGAGCCACCATGCCCGATTGTTGTTAAATCTTAAAGCTCCAAAATAATCCTTGACTCTATGTCCCATATCCAGGACACACTGGTGCAAAGGGTGGGCCCCCAAGGCCTTGGGCAGCTCTGCCCCTATGGTTTTGCAGGGTTGGCCCCCAGGGATGCTCTCGTGAGCTAGGGTTGAATACCTGTGGCTTTTCCAGGCACAGGGTGCAAGCTGTCAGTGGATCTACCATTCTGAGGTCTGGGGGCTGGTGGCCCCCTTCTCATAGTTCCCTTAGACACTGCCCCTGTGGGGACTCTGTGTGGGACCTCCAATCCCACATTTTCCCTTAGCACTGCCCTAGTAGAGGTTCTCTGGGAGGGCTCAACCCCTGCAGCAGGCTTCTTCCTGGGCACTCAGGCTTTCTCATACACCCTCTGAAATCCAGGCAGAAGCTGCTAAACCTTCACTCTGGTACCCACAGTTAAGCACCTGCAGGCTTAATGCCACATGGAAGCTGCCCAAGCTTATGGCTTGCATTCTCTTAAGTAGCAGCTGGAGGTGGACCTGGGCCCCTTTGAGCCATGGCTAGAGCTGGAGCAGTAGGGATGTGGGGAGCAGTGTCCTGAGGCTGCACAGGGCCGTGGGGCCCTGGTCCTGGCCCACAAAACCATTCATCACTCTTAGGCCTCT
The DNA here is from genome assembly GCF_000001405.40 of Homo sapiens. NCBI lineage: Eukaryota > Metazoa > Chordata > Mammalia > Primates > Hominidae > Homo > Homo sapiens. The sequence continues at coordinate 7,431,616 of NC_000011.10, read as the reverse complement.
GAACCTGTAATGAGAGGGGCTGCTGCCAAGGTCTCCGAAATGCCTTTGAGGTCTTTTTCCCATTGTCTTGGATGTTAGCACCTGGCTCCCTTTTAGTTATGCCAATATCTCTAGCAAGTGGTTCCTCCACAGCTTGCTTGAATTTCTGTCTTGAAAAGCTTTTTCTTTTACTGCCACACGGTAGGCTGCAAATTTTCCAAACTTTTACACTCTGCTTCTTGTTTAAATATAAGTTCCAACTTTAAGTCATTTCTTAGGCTGTCAGAAGCAGCCAGGCCACATCTGGAATGCTTTGCTGCTTAGAAATTTCTTCTGCCAGATACTCTAGATCATCACTCTCATGTGCAAACTCCCACAAATCCCTAAGGTATGGACACAATACAACCGAGTTCTTTGCTAAAGCATAACAAAGATGACCTTTGCTCTTGTTCCCAATAAGAGCCTCATTTCCATCTGAGGTCTCATCAGTCTGGACTTCACTGTCCATATTACTATCAGCATATTGGTCACAACCATTTAACCAGTCCCTAAGAGAGTTCCAAACTTTCTCTCATCTTTCTGTCTTCTTGTAAGCCCTCCAAACTCTTCCAACCTTTGTCCATTACCCAATTCCAAAGCTGCTCCCACATTTTCAAGTATCTTTATTGCAATACCCCACTTCACTTCTGGTACTGCTTTTCTTGCATTGCTATAAAGAAATACCTGGGACTGGGCAATTTATAAAGAAAGGAGGTTTAATTGGCTTATAGTTCTTCAGGCTGTACCAAAAGCATGGTACTGACATCTGCTTGGTTTCTGGTGGGGCCTCAGGAAGTTTTTACTCATGGCAGAAGGCAAAGGAGGAGCCAGCATCTCACTTGGCAGAGCAGAAGCAAGGCAGGGTGGAAGGTGCCACACACTTTTAAATGACCAGATCTTGCAAGAACTCACTATCAAGAGGACCGCACCAAGCCATGATGGATATGACCCAAGCACCTCCCATCAGGCCCCACCTCCAACATTGGGGATTACAATTCAACATGAGGTTTGGGCAGGGACAAATATTTAAACCATATTAATTGGTTTTATGACCGCTCTTTAGTAAACTTTACTAATATGAACACTTACTATTAATATGTAAAGCATCTAAGCACACACCATTCAGATCCTAAGCTATGAAGGAAAAAATCACCCTATTGTTTTCCTGCCTTATTCATAACTGCTTCTGTTTCTGACAATTTGAGTATAACTCATCATAGTGTACCATATACCTAAAAGTTACAATTGCATTATATAATTTCTCAATGAATGGTAAAGTTCCCCTTGCTTTATAGAAACCCTCTTTTCTTTATTTCAAGCATTTTGATTATCAATATCATCACATTTTACATCCTGAATTTTATCTAAGGTGCGAAAAAAATATGTAATTCTACCACCAATGACTGAAGACTTTAAATATACATTTGAGTTTTACATAAAAATAGATAACGTAGAAATAAAAATAATACTAGAATTGCTAAAATTATTGTGTTAAAAGAGTGTAGATCTTCATTTTTGCTGTAAATAAATGAATTGCAGTACATCACATAAGACATTGAAGGGAAAGGACAGCTATGTGACTGATCTTCACTCCTGAGGAACTGTGCCTTTATCAGCTCAAGGGAGTGATCATAAAATGAAGAGCTTCCCACAGGCCCTGAGACTCCATGTAGAATTTGAATAACATATAAATGCAAAAGGAAAATAGTTTTTTTCTTAACCTTATATAATATTTGTATGTCACTGAGAGTCAAGTGTCCCTCTTTTCACCATGCTTGTTTTAACACACAAGTTAATTATCTGAACATTAATAATTTGCTCCATTAGGAAAACTTTAATGGGAGTCTACTGTGGGCCACACACTTTGTTAGGTATTGGACATACCGCAGTGAGCCAGGCAGAAGAGCTGATCTCGCGACAGCTTTGGGAATGGTTCTCTTCACTCCCAAAGAACACCAACTGGGGCAGTGTGAGTGTTCACCTGTATCCTAAATAAGATGTTTTTCATTTCAAATAAAATAAATTCTGCTTAATATTGCTTACACAACCAAGGGAATATATACGTTTACATACTTATAAAGGCCAGAGGTAACACTATGTTTGGGAGAGGTTTGATTTAGGAGCTCAACCACATGACTGAGAATCTGGTTTCTTTGTATCTATGGGCTTGGTTTCTCCCTAAACCTGGATCTTCTATAGAGATCCAAAGAAGCCACAGCTGCTCCCAGGGTATATAGTGCTTTGTTTATATCCAACAAGAAAGAGAGAGCATCTTTGTCCAAACATTCACACCAAATGTTTTATAATACTCTTGGACTGAATCAGCGTATGCAGTGGTAATCCTTATGGTTAGCTTGACAGGTTTAGCCTGGAACTGTCATATGTACCATCACCAGAGACAAGGATGGAGCCAGGCTCCCTAGAATCATTAATCAGAAATCAGGGCCATCAGAAAAGGGGCTTGATGCTGGAGAGGCAACTAATAAATATTCACTCTGTCGGTGTATGGGTGCCCACAGGACTGGGCAGGATCTTTTGTGAGGTTCCCTTCTGCTTTTTGTTGCTGGAGTGTGAGTACTAAAACCACCTATTCCAACACAGACCCTCCATTAATTTGGCTGTACTATTCTATTGTCTTCATTACTACAACTTAAGTATTCACTCATGGGACTTCCCAATTTCTATTCCTTAGAAAGCATCAACAGTTTACACCCCAAGACTCTTTGAATCCCAGGCTCAAAATCCTCAACTTGCTGTTCCACCTCAGCTATTATATCATGACACTGATCCAAACCTAACCAAGGTCCCCACCTCCCCACTTCATCTCCCTCGTCACATGGAGAGACCCACCTTAAACCACACTTCAAAGTCTCAACAAATGAGACTCTGCCCTTCCCCTTCCATTACCTGGGAAAGCAATAAACTCAGCTTTGTCTTATCAATAGGTTGTTCTGGTGATGTTTGGAAGACAGCATTTGACAAGTGCGTCTTCTGAAAGATTCATATCCAGGAGCAGTGGGCTTCCTGAGTGTCCTCTGCCAGGGTGCTCCGCCTTTGCCCCAGGCCCCATTCCCCAGGAGGGAACAGTCTTCCTCCCACCACACTATCAGGAGGGAGTGTGTTTCTTTCAGAGAGTGGCATAAACCACTCTGGTTCATTTCATCTGCGGGGAAAGAACTGGCCTATCATGTTAGCAATCACCTCTGAATGCCATCCCTGGAGATGGAGACAGCTGATGGCTCAAGCCCATTGTCATCCACCTTCCTATTTAATAGCTATTCAAGTGTGCAGCAGGGATGCTCCAAGGCAGTGACTACTGGAGCAAGGTCATCTGTAATGACAGGAGAGTCAAGATGCAGTTGACTTTCTGTTCAGGCAGAAATGTTATTTTCTACCACATTGTCATTATCTTTTATACCTCTAGTGTTTACCCTAAGTACTCCTATGTTTTGTATGATTACTATCTCTACAAACCTTCAGAAAAGTCACAAAAGTCACCCATCCCTGACAAAGATGAGAAAATGCCTACCGTCTCTCTCTCTTTTTTTCTACAGATAATTCAATACAAGAAAGAAGATTTGCTTGGGAAGGTCTGAATGGCCCTAGCTTTGTTTGTTAACCATAACCTCTACCAGCTGGAAACACAATGCCCCACTAATACTAACAGTGCCTGCTTGTCCAAACAGCATTCTGGCCACTTACAGCAATTGACACAAATTCTAACAGGTCTGTTAATGTTTTTCAGATCCTAAACTTGTAGTAGATTTTTATGTTCTCTGCAATCAGTTTTGCTTCAGCGGCCCTGCAGGTGTTTATGCGTGCTGGCATGCTAAATCTCACCATTCAAAATAGTTTATTTTTTACAACAAAATCTGAAGAATAATTTCTTCATTTTGTCAAAAAATACCCCATTCCTATTATTTTTCTCTTCTTTATCTTCACAGGTAGATGGGGCAAAGCATTACCTTGTGTAAAACTGCTGCTAAAATATATTCCTAGTGAGAAAGGTCAACTTGTGGGCTAAAGTCCTTGTCACCTCCTGATCAGTTTTCACTTAGGGCACAGCAGTCTGCCATTCACCATTGGGATCTCTGTGTGTTTCTTCTCTCTTATGAAAGGACATATTGAGCGCTCTAGGACTTGGCTGCCTACATCAAGTAGAGGGGGACCCTCATGATTCACTAAGGGGCCTCAGTTCTGAATATTTCTCATTATTCAAAAATGCAAAGCCATTGTCATTACGTGGCAGTTTATTGGAACCAAGGGAGGAATTGGTCCCTTTTCATGTTCTTCTCCTAAATAGAGAAAAGGTAATTAAAACTTGGAGCTTAATAAGGGCCATCTCTATTTGAACAGCCTAATACAAATCCATTCTCAATACCTTTTTACACCTTGTCTGAACTGACTTCTACTGTGTACTCCACTGCATGGGAATTCTGGAACTTTAGAACGAAGGGAACTCAATTCATTCTATATATATCTCATTCATTCATTTTTTTTTCATTTGTTCACCAAATGCTAACTCAATACCTACGTAACAGAGATAATGTTCTTATTGTCTGTAAATCAGAAAATGCATGCATTGAATAAACGCCATATATTCTTGGAAGCTGAGGGCTGATAACTCAAGGTAAATGATCAGCTAGTCTCCTATGAAATAAGTATCTTATTTCATGTTACATGTAGAAATGACCATGCAACTTTATCTTAAAGCCAGGCCTTATTGAGAAAAAGGGGATCCAAATTCCAAATGTTTCCTTACATGCTGAGAGGAAACCTTGGAGGTCTGAGCGTGAGTCATAGGTAGAGGGAAATCATGCTAAGATATATATTGTTTCCACCAGACAGGTAGAGGAAGCAGAGACCCTTTGGCAGAAGAGATACAGAGAAGAGAGGAGGAGAGGTTCTGGCTTTACCGTTCAGGCTTGAAACCCCAAGTTTAGATGGATTGAGGGGGAAGCTTAAGGCAAACATGACCCCTGGGCCAACACAGGCTAGAGGAACAATGTAGAAATGACCATGTAACTTTATAGGCATGAAGAAGATGCCTGTGATGGCACTGAGTCTCCTGTGGCTCCCTTGTGTGCCCAAATGCCTGAAGGATGTGAGAGTATTGGTTGTTAGAATTTCAGGGAATTCCACCAAGTGGGGAATGACTCTGTATTAAGGGCTGCAAAGAAAAGCTCCCAGGCCAAGCATTGAGTGGGAGGTGCTACCTGCCCTCAGGGATCCACAGGGACTTCAACAGCTGATGTGGGGTCTCATCAGCCTCAAGGTGGCCAAGTTTCTATGCTGAGACTATAGCCCACAGTTACACCAGCCATGATCCTCAGCAGCAGAGGTAGTGATGATGAAGTCTGATGCCCAAAGACAAGCAGAACAATATGCACAGTTCCAGCCAATGCCACGAGGTAGCCTTTGTACTTCCCTATACCTAGCTGGGAGGGAGGAAGGAAGGAGAGAGGAGACTCCTAGGAAGAGGAGAAAATAATTATCCCAAAGAGACTGACATAACCTGGAAAAGACCGAGAACTACTAATTAGCAAGATAAAGTTCATTTACCTCTTCCTGTTTCTTACCAAGATGGTATGTATCCTTTCAGATAATAAATAAATTTATGTTTTCTTGCCCTATTTTAATGTGATTTAAATGTTTCTTGTTTTTTCTGTTTTCATTCATAACAAAAATTTTGTTCTCAGAGACACTGAGACATGAGACACGATGCTGGACTATATTGGGGGGGAGCACCTCATCATATGGGCAAGATATTGCAGCAGCATGTAGCCCTCCACGTCCTGACTGCTCACTTCTCTTTCGCCATCCCCTAACACACGTATTAGGCTTTTGCTATGTTCATTTATCTAGCCCATAAGCCACTCCTTCAGAGGGCAATGCATGGAATTGGCAGCCTTGGTTCCCCACCAACTGACAGGGGTCTGGAATTCAGGTGTTTCCAAAGACCTGCAGTCTTGGGGGCCTTAATGCTTGCTGAGTAGCAGCACTTTCTAGGACTTTCCCTATTGTACGTTTCAGTCCATGCTTTTCTTTTTGTCTTGTCTCAGTGTTCTTCCCTGCTAGTCTGGTTCTCAACAAGACCCAAGCCCTGCAACACACCCAAATCCCCTTGATGGGAACCTGATTTCCTACGTGGCTTTTCCCAGTCACCCCATGCTCTCCCCACTCCCATCTTTCCTGGTGAATTGCTCCTTTCCTAAATCTGTTGTGAATAACAATTTGGCCACAGTGCTAAAGCCTCTCACTCCTCACTTTAAATTCCTTTGGGAAACAGTCATTCATGTTCATTTTAGACAATTTCCCTGTCCTGTGCGGACTCTTCTCAAGAAGTCTACTCCCAAAACTCCTGCTGAGGTAGGTCCAGGTCACATTTTCATGACCCCAGACCTACAGCAAATTGCACCGGGATGGACACCTAATCAAATCTTGGGCAATCAGATACATTCTCCTGGGAATATGTGGATCTCCAAGACTCCAGATAGGCCCTGCTGGACACTTGACAGATAATATCTAGAGATGGTTTACACGGGCTGCTTGTGTAACTACAAGTCTGGGTAACTGACAGTTGCTGTAGTCCTTTGACTCTAAGTTTATACCCTTCTAGAGGCTGAGGGTGATAAATGAGGGCTCTGTTTATGTCTGGGCATATTGTACCATAACTGCCTTCTGGTTATACTTGGCATTATGTAATTCTGAGTTGAAGAGGGGCAGGAGGCTCAATGAGCTGGTCCCAGCAGACAGTCAGACATGCAGAACTTTTGTAGCTGTATGTACGTGTATGCACAAAGGTTGAGCTTGGAGTGAGGCAGACATCCAAAATGGGGCACGCCTTGAGTAGAACTTTGGTGTTTGGAATCCTACACCTATGCCTATAGGATAATAGTGCTGATCTTGACTATATATTCTGATCGGATTCTCTTTCTTCTTTTAGAAAAGTGAAATTTCATTTAACCAGATAGTGTCTGTGTCTCGTCTTCCCACCAAACCAAGATTAGTACTTATTCATACAACAGATGTTACATGGCACTACACAGGGAAGCGATGAAAACTTGGAACTATTTCCTATTATTCTCCATGAGGCTTATGATGTTGGTCATCTTGACATACAGGAGGCAGGAAAGGTGTTGTGATATGGCCAGGCCGAAACCATCTTCTCTTGAATTGGTGGAGGAGGGTGCCGTGCTAAGGGAGCTCTTAGAGCTCTGTCATCTGAGGCCCTATGGAGGGGGTGCTCCGATTCCTAAGCCCTAGGCAGTCTGCTTGGGGGAGTTTTCACAGCTTTCCAAACCTTTGGCATCATGGGGAGTAAAGGGAGCCCTACTGGCTGACCTTTGAGTGTGCAGTGAATTCATCCAGAATTCCTGCGAGAGAAACGGATTTTTGAACTCACTGGCTTTGAAGATTCCATCTGCCACCTGCCCTGGCAAGGTCAGGGTGTATTGGATGCAACCCTGAGCAGGCTGCCAGATCTCTGCAGGGCTCAGAGTTTAGACCTAACCAATTCCTCAGCAGTGAAGAGCTTCTGCCAGGCCAGCCTCCCTCCATGCTAAATCCCAGGGCCCCCATCTTCGTTCTCTCTCCCTCTCTCTCTGTCTTCCATACACACATGCTCATGAGTGCACACTCACATACTCTGTTATCATGAGCACTGAGATTTAATTGCTGGTTTTTGTTTTAAAGAAGACATTTAAAAGGTTCTTAGAGAGCATAACAGCAGCCTGTCTTTAAGGCCAAGGAAAAGAGGAAAGAAACAAAACTTAAATATGTGCATCTGTGTTTAGCCAAGTACTGGATGACCCCTTCCCCCCACTCTGAGATGATGGCTCACTGGGGTGCAGGAGTGGTGGATTCCCGGCCTTTCTCTTATTCTCCATGACACACATGGATGATATTTCTTCACAGGACATAGGCCCATAAGGACACACAGCAGCCCCTCAGAATGTGGGGCATACATAATAACAACTATAACTGAAAACTTTACTGAGTGTTTATTATATATCAGCTACAATGCTGCATTTCATATAAATAGATTGTTTAATCCTCACCATCCCTCTTGTGAGACAAGCACTGTTATGGCCACTTTACAGATGAGAACACTGAGGTTCAGAAGGGGAAAAACAAACATCTAGTGAGTGGCAGGACAGCAATTCGAATATAGGTCCTTCCAACTCCAAAGTGAATGTTTCTGGCCAGTCTGCCTGTTGCCTCCTCCATCCTTACAGCTGCTAACGAAGCATGGCCAACCTCTCCAATACTGTTTTTCATCTCATCTGGTACCATTGCCCCAATTCTGCCAGCTCAATGTTCATTTTTAAAAGAAAAAGCATCACTTCCTCTCTCAGGATGGATCTGGAGTCCCAGACGTGTACTTCAAAGAGACAGGAAGCAACGGGGAAGAGGCAGCCTCCCTCTGCCTCTGCTTATAGGAAGGTTTGCCCTCCCCCTGCTTATATGAAGGCTTGCCCTTCATATAAGCCCCACAGGCATTTCATTTCCTTAGTTCTGCTGTAACAGTTCAGAAATGACCATTGTATTGGCCAAAGTAATTTTAGCCGCTGTAACAAATGACTTCTAAGTTTCAGTGGTTTAACCCTAATGGCATTTACTTTTCAGTTACATAACTGTGGAGCACAGATTTCCAAAAAGCTGAGTGTTTGGGGTTTGAGGAATATCTCTCAGGTGAATGAATTTATATCACACTTTTTCTCCACAGTGAAGGAAAAGGCCTCCAAGGCCTGCTCCCTGCACTCTCCTTTGTGTAACACGTGCATATACTGCCACTCAGGGACCCGTGTGCAACACTCCACCCAGGACTACTCCCCTGCCCAGGTCACTGAAAAAAAACTGCTTGTGCATGAATCAGGGCTCACCTCTCAGCCCTACACCACACACCTCATCCTTACTCCTTTCTCATTTCTTGTTTCCTGAGAAGCACAGAGCTTTAACACTCTCTGATACTCCTAATTACCAATAAGAATTAAAGTCAGCAATGGCTCATAAGGGTGCAAAAAGTCTATTACAACTCTTCTAAATGCCACTGCTAGTGACAGGCCCCCAAAATCTAATGAGCCCACAGATGGACTCCTTTGAGAATTCCACCAGGAGCTGAAGAAGTGAGGTATAGTTCAGTGAGCACCAGTCTCCAGCTCCTTCTCAAGTGGCTCATAGATCCTGTGGGTCTCCCTTAGGGATCAATTTTGCTCCTATGGCCCACGGGCAGAACTATCCTTAAGAACCCGCAAATTAGGGGGTCCTAGGCTCTTCTTGAATACATCTGGGTGCCCTGATGGTTAGAATCCATAAACCCTGTCCTGCCTTCTCCTTCCTGCCCCACTTCCAACAAAGATGTCCCTTGGTTCCCCTGTCTGGGTTTGGGGCCTCTCTGCCTCTCTGCCTCTCCACAGCCGCCCTGTGTTCACTTCAACCAGACTCACCTGACTATCAATGGCAGGGGTGCCCACACTGGGTGAGGCTCTAGTCTTGGCCTCTCAGATGGCTTTGCATGGAAGAGAGCTTCCTGCACCAGGAGAACAGAGGAAAGCTCTCTGCCTGGAACCCACGCATCCTCAGTAAATAACTGCTGCTGCCCTCCTGGCTTTCCAGTTCCCGGGGGCTCAGTTCTCTTTACTTATTGAGAGCATGAAGGAGAGATGCTTCACAATCTCCTCTAAGCACAGTAAACATCTCTCTCCTTTGCGCTTTTGTAGCACTTTATATGGATGGAAATGCTTGTATTTGTGCCTCTCGAAGATTAGTTTACATGTCATCTTTTGTTTATTTTACAGTCTGTAAGTTCTACAAGGGAAAGGACTGTTTCTTATTCATATCTGTATTTTCTGTAGCTATTATAGCATTGGACCCTCAGACATGTTACTTAGGGAGTGCAAATTATTTTTGAGAGAACAAGTTAGTGAATAAATAAGAGAGTGAATCAATGAGCAAAGATAAGTAGGGGAAGAATGAATGAGAAGTAAAGGGGGAGGGAGTGAATGAATGAGGATGTGAGTGGCAGAATGATGGCCGGTTGACTCCAGGTTTTCACTTTCCTCTTCTCTGCAAACAGAACCCTGGTTTTTAGTTGGACACATTGACACCCAACAAAAAGGTTACATTTCCAACTATCCCCTGCAACTTGACATGTCCACGTGACTAAGTTTTGTGACTAAATTAAATGTAAATAGCAGTCTTGCATGAGAATTCAAAGAGAATCAAAAAGGGAATGTGTGCCCTTTTGGCTCTTGCCCTTTTGCACATTTTTGTGGCCTAGAAAATATGCAATGGTTGGAGCTTAGCAGCCATATTGTATAATGAGGGGACTTCAAGGAACAAAGCCACACTGGGACTGTGAGGCAGAAAGACAGAAGTCTAGGTCTCTTGTTGATCATGGAGCTGCTAAGATACTCCAGACTGCCTTCCTCTAGACTTTTTGTATATAAGAGAGAGAAATAAATTCTCATTTCATTTGTTTTTAATTTATAATTGGTTGTTTTGGTTTTTATTATATGTAGTTGAACCTGATACTAACCCACTTGCCCAGAATCACAGGTTGGTGCCAGAGCTGGTCTTAGAATCAAGGCCTTATGTTTTTTCCAAAGTCAGTCTCAAGTCACTGTACGAAGGCCTGAAAGTCCCCACTCACCCACACCTTGCAGATGCCCTCCAAGTACCAACCCAAAGCCTTAACACAGAAGCAGAGAATCTTGATCTTTTAAAAATACAATCAAAATGAGGGATGATCTCTGATCAATACTCAAAACCTACCAGACTGGTGGGAAGCACAGATTCAGCCTCAAATTGAATGCAAGTCCCAACAGCCCCAGGAAATGCAACCAGGAAAACCCGTCTATGACCATAGATCCTGGTGCACTCATATGTTTGGCAGCTCCTGCATTTCAACAGTAAAGCATTTACTCTTATGCAAAGTGGAGCATGTGGATTAGGGTCTTACCTCCACCAGGGAATGCCAGTGTGCAATGGGCTTCCGAGGATATGACAACATTTCACTCCAGTGGTCTCTGCCCAGCCTCTCAGCCTCGTTGCCTACTTGACACACGCCGATGATCTCATTGTGACCTACACTGTGAAAATGGCCCACAATAGTTTTTTCTTAAAATTTTGGTATGTAAGATCAATAGCTACTCAATTAAACTGATGAAGGAATTGGGGATGTGGTTTTTTGTTTGTTTGTTTGTTTGTTTTTTCATTTCCTCACTTAAAACTACAGGCTAAGCTTCACGGCCAATAGGACTTGGGATCTAACGTATACCCTGGCTGTCCTAAAACTGACATGGGTCAACTTGTTTCCAAGAACCTTGTTCAAAGAACCCCACGATTTGTGCTAAGGATGCCACCTCTCGTCCTGGATCTAGGCTGGCCTCCATGTAATAAAGAGGGAGTCATCTGAAATGAGTTTCTTGCAATAATGGCTGCTCTAATTCCCACAAGAGGCAACCAAGCATGGGTGAGGGAGCAGTTTTGTGTCTGGCAGCCATGGGTCTTCAGCCCACAAACTAAGGTAAGTGAAGGAGGCTTATGGATCTTCCTGCTTCCTCTCTTTAGAGAATACTGTTATTGTCTTATACTTGTCCCTCCTTTCTTCTAAGTTCAGCTTCTTTGGCCCAGTTAGTTTCCCAACTATAGAAAGATACATAGCTCCTTTGACCTTGAGGCTAATATTTCTTTTTTTTTGAAATGGAGTCTCACTCTGTCACCCACGCTGGAGTGCAGTGGCATGATCTCGGCTCACTGCAACCTCCAGCTCCCGGGTTCAAGCAATTTTCCTGTCTCAGCTTCCAAGTAGCTGGGATTACAGGTGCATGCCACCATGCCTGGCCAATTTTTGTATTTTTAGTTGAGGCGGGGTTTCACCACGTTGGCCAGGCTGGTCTCGAACTCCTAACCTCAAGTGATCCACCTGCCTCAGCCTCCCAAAGTGCTGGGATTACAGGTGTGAGATACCATGCCCGGCCAAGGCTAATATTTCTGAAACTCTCCCTAGGTAGGTCCCCGCCTTGAGACATTTTTGTTTTCTCTAGCAGTTTTTTAAAAAGTCCCTGGTATAACTGGACTGATATGGCCAATTCTTTAATTCTATGGGATCCAAACTCACATACTTTCTCTTTTTTTTTTCCCTCCTGCAAAGATGAGTGATTTTTCTCCTATTTGTGTATGGAGCATAAAGGTGAGATGAGGGTGGGGAGGTCACGTGAAGGATATTTGAGTCTCTGCCCATTAAAATCAAATGCATGCAGAAGCCCCATGAATTCTGCCATGAATTTTTCCAGGCCAGATTCATGAGTTTACTGAGAATTAAATTAAGGCAGAGCTCACATAATCAGATTTGTCCATGCAGGAAACTTGGCAATAGCTTAAAAATTGCTGGCCTAGGCTTCCACAGTTGGTGGGCAATGTCCCCTACTGGGGCCTGACACTGTTGGTGTTGTTTCTTGCCCACAGGAGATGGGACAAGGTCTACTGCTCAGCATGGGCTGTCACACTCATGGGCAGCTGAGCCAACCCACGTGCTCCTTGGGTTGGAAGACTGTCATGCTTCACGCAGGCATCTGCTGGAAAGAGTGTTCAGGTCACTGAAGCTGCCTTCCTGATATTTCAGAGGTATGTGGGAAAATTCTTAGTCACAAATAATATTAGAAGTCAGAATATTTTTTTTAATAATTGTGTCCAGACCACGTGGGAGGTTTCCAATTAAAGAGAGACTTTGCATTTTAGTCTAATGACTGGTTTAACATGTATAATTCCCTGTTGGTACTTCCTTTGCATATTAAAATGACTGTTTTTCAAATCTGTCCTTTAAATACACAATTGGCTACAATGCAGGCTATAAATATCTCTTCTGTGCTGTATTAATTAAAAAGTTGAGCATCTTATACATTTTAATGTACCTTGTCATCCATACTGATTCTAGCACTTTCAGGAGAACATTTCTGTGTTTGTTTTCAGACTTAAGTAGAAGGAAACAATCTTTATTAAATACTTGTGAGAAGGAAAAAGATTGAAGTTATGTATTTGGAAATGTTGATGGTCTGGCGAAAGTAATCATTCTGCCATTTTGAGTGGAATCCTTCCAATGAAGGGCAGTTAGCACTGCCTGACAGAAGATAAAACCTGTGGGGCCACAGCTCTCCAAGCTGAGATTCTAGGAGTTGTGCAAAGATGAAAAGGGGAAGAGGTGGAGGTTGGGGGAGGATGTAGGAATAGGAAAAAAAATGAGAACGGGGCAGAAAAGAATGGGAGTGCTGAGAGACACTTTGGTAGTCTGACTCTACAGCATGGTTTAGAGGTGACTCCTGTCAATGTGCTTCCCATGCACTGCTAGTTGACTCATTTCCTGCAGCCTGGGACACCAGGTAAGAATCTGTGGCTGCTGCTCCCCCTCTGCCTTCCCAGTCCTGGGCACAGTGAACTTGCACTGGAAAAGAGTTCCAGGTATCTCACCGGTCATAGTCCATGACTGCTATGGACAAGTGGATTTGGTCAATGTTCTCGGGAGGGACATCAAAGACTATGGCTTCGTTGTAAACAGGATTCAAGGTGTTCCTCTTGGTGGATGTTTTCCTCTTCTTCAGTCGTCTGCCATCACACATCAGCGAGACTTTCACATAGGGATCTGGACAGACCATGAGAAGCAGGAGTACTGTGAGGATACGTATAGATTTAGGTGGGCAGTTATATCACTGTGAGTTTTCATGGACTATGGTATGCTGAACTCCTTTACCTGCCTGTGGACTGGAGTTGGAGGACTGTCATTAATATGATATCTGGGGAGCAACTAGTTAGGATAATTAAGTCACTCATTCAAGAAAAAGCACAGGATACTGTCTCCTGAAAATGTGTGTAATTTAAAAATAGTTTGAAAACATCTGTTAAGGAATTAGGAGACATTCCAGCTAGAACTCAAGACTGGCCTGGCCAGGATAGCAAGAGAAATGCACCAGCATTTCCAAGGCTGAAAACAGGCCCCCCAGCTCTGAGCCACCTCAGGGAATCTTTTCAGGTCTTTAAGAAAGGGAATTCCTAGACTCTGAATTTCTGAATTCCTAGAGGACAGAGAACATCTGGGAGTGGAATTCCTTAAGTATAGAGACCTTGAGCCCCTAGAGTGGCCTGCCCTTGGGTTGCAAAAGGAGAAGCAGCTCAGCATATCAGGGAGAGAAAGGCCACAGGCTTCCTTGGGGTGCAACACTGTGATGGGGTAACAGGTGGCAAGGCTGGCCTCTGCTCCAGATAGGGCTCTTCTGGTCCTAACAGCTATCTCACTCTTCTTCTGTTTATTGGGAAGTCCTTGTTCTATTTTCACCTGCATAACCATGCATTGCTCTGACTCCTATATGCAGTCCAGTAGGGACTTAGATGACCAGAGGGACCACAGCTTTTTTTTCTTTCTGCTTAAAAAAACAAAAACACTGGGATATAGGATGCAGAATATATTGCATCTGATGTTCTTTGATTTCAGAGGATGTAAGCCAGGGTGTACTGGGTGTTTTGTGACCACATTTGGGAAACACCTGCAGAGGTTGCTTGTGAATTTGCACAGTTAGCAATGCATATAGAGGCATTTTTTTTTTCTTGTTAGAGTTCAGAATTTAATGCTTGGTTTACTGGAAAAATCTAAAATTCATAGTTCCCTTTAATAAGGACATAGGATTGTTCTCAGTCTTCAATGAGCCTGGGATGATGATATTTGAGGAAAGACCCAATTAGATAAGCTTTATCAGTGTGTGTAAATGGTAGGTCCAATTCACAATTATGGTGAGGGAGACCCAAGAGAGTACTATTGTCCCTTGTTATCCACAAGGAATTGGTTTCAGGACCCTTCACAGATAGGAAAATCCAAGGATGCTCAGGTCCCTTATATAAAATGGCATCGTATTTGCATATAACCTACGCACATTCTCCCGTATACTTTAAATCATCTCTAGATTGCTTACAATACCTAATCAGGCATAAATGCTGTGTAAATAGTTGTTATACTGTATTGTTTAAAAAACTGTATTATTTTTATTGTTGTATTACTTTTTTCCTGAGTATTTTTAATCCATCGTTGGTTGAATCTACAGATGTGGAACTGGTGGATATAGAAGGCTAAATGTAATAATAACAATAATTAACAATATGTAGCACTTAATATATGCTAGCACTGTTCTCATGGCTTTATATTTATGAATTCAGTTTTACAACAGCCCGGTGAGCCAGACGCTATAATTACTCTCATCTTACCGATGGGAATCCAAAGCTCAGAGAGGTAAAATGACTTGCCCAAGGTCACACAGGTGTTAGGACTAGGGCTAAGCCTAGGCAGTCTGGTTCCAGAGTCAATGTGCTTTATTACCATACTAAAACTTTATAAGGTACTTACTACAGTAGAAGTGCATGAGGAAGTCTGAATTTGAAAATGCCCCACCTGATGCTCCTGTTATGTCCATTGCCTTTAAATTCCTTGCTTTTATAATGGTAATGGTCAGCCTGCCAGCCGTTGGAAGATAGCACAGGGAAAACATCAGCTCTCCCAGATCCACGTTGTCCTGTTGAGAAAGCACAAACTAAAGTATTAGAAAGTGTCTCCAGCCTGGTGTGCAAGAGGCTCAGCTTCAGGCCACACTGAAAGGGAACACACTGCCCCTTTTGCTCAGCTTGTAGAATCCCTGGTATCTCTTCCGTTCATGTCAGTCACAGGGAGAATAATAAATCCCTGCACTTTGGGAGCACCTCACCCTGAGGAGGCACAGCCTATCTTTGGATGGCAAAGCTGTAACCCTGTTCAGGCCTCTGCCACCATGTATCCAGTCACCGGCAGCCCTGTACAGACTCATGTGTCCAGGTAGCCCAGAACACATCCTCCAGTGCATAAGTCTCACAGCCTTAACAAATCCTCCACAGACTCCCCTATGTGGCTCCACTCATATCACTACTACAATGCACACAGAGCCTCTAAGTCAAAGTTACACAAACAGGTGCCCTCCAGTACTGTAGTGCCCCACCCACGGCCCAGGGTAGCTCTGCACACAGCCCTATGCAGCATCATGAAGCCTCTCAACAGGTTTCCACACCACCCCACACACTCCCGTACACAGCCCCCTCAAACTTGCGACCATATCCTCCCTGTGTACTCCTGCATACCTCCAATCTCCCACACGCGATCCCCATGCCACAGAGCTCAGCACACACCCTGGCTGCATACGATCTGTGCAGACCAGCACACGGCTCCACTGGACCCTGGAAACTTACAGTCTATCGCATAGCTCCAAACAAGGACACTGCATGAGCCTGAGAGTGGCACCCTGCGAGCCCACACATTCAGAGCCCTGGACACAGCCAAGTACTCGCCTAGTCCCGCACAGCCTCCTTGCAGGGAGAGAACAGAGACCCAGACCCCCAGGTGGCCCTGCTGCCTGCCTTTCACAGTTCCACTTTGCAGCAGCTCTTTTCTTTTGCTGGCGTGCCTCTAAAGACTCCCCATTTCCCTCCACTGGGGAAGATATCTCAGGCACTGTGCAGCCATTCAGATAGGTCAGAAGACACAATTCTCTTTCTCCTTTTTAGCTCAGGGACAGTATAACCAGAAAGGAGGGAAAAAAAGCCATTTCATTTCGTTTCAATTTCTGAGAGATACCTGAGGTTATCGAGCTGAGGTGCCTGTGTCTAATTAATACAGTTTCCTACTGACAATGCTCTGGGGATTCAGGTTCTTGCCCTCAATGTCCAAAGCTTTCCCTCCCCTTCTCAGTTCTCCAAGGATGCTTCTATTTTTAGAAGCACAGATTCGGCTCTGGAAGGTCACCTCGCCCAACCTCCCTTTCTTGATTGCTTCCACAGGAGAATGAGGCAAAGGGATCTCTTTGGTCACTAAGGCAGACTCTGTGTCTTCTTGCATCATGCATTGCTTGCCCAGTGTAAATAAATGACCTCTCCTTGCAAGCTAGGCTTTGCTGGTTCCTGGAGCCATGACCTCAAGGGACCCATGTGACTGGGCATTCCCCTTTTGGGAGATATGGGGGCTTGGGGACTAGAATTCTATACGACTGGAGGTTTTACACACAGCAGACTCTGGCTTGTTCTGCAGTGCTGGGTTCCCCATTGCAGGAGCAGTGTCTGCCCTTACTGAAGAGGGAAGGATTGACCCAGCCTCCTGCTGGTGGCAGAAAGGAAAGAGAGACCACAGCTGTCCCCACACATCACCCTTTTGTTTCCTGACTCCCTGGCCCACTTTGCTCTTCAACTTCTGTTCTTCCTTTAAAAGGCTTTTCACGGCACCTAGCTCTCTCCTCTCCCCTCATCCTTCTCAGAAAATCTTGGTTTGGCAAAGTAAATACAGAATTAACCAAAACTATGCCTATGAAACTTCCTAATCAATTCTTTCAACATACATTTCCTGAGGGCCCGCACTGTGCACACACTTTGTAAGGTTCGGGATGTGAAAATGCATGCCGTCTAATCTCTGCCCTCAAGGCTGAGGCACATAATTAAATGTGATGTGTCAGATTACTTCCATGCTAGGTATGGTGGTTTGTTTGTTTTCCTCCGACATAAGCCCATTCAAAAATATTTATACAATATGGCTATTTGCTCATAAGTTAAAAGAGAAAAAAATCAAACCTCAGACTTGATGGTATATTCAGAATGTAAACCAGGCAAAAGTCCATATTTGTACTTTACAAAATAGCAAATTAGCTGGGTGCAGTGGCTCGTGCCTACAATCCTAGCTACTCTGGAGGCTAAGGCAGGAGGATCACTTGGGCCCAGGAGTACAAGTACAGCTTAGGCAATCTAGCAAGATGCTGTCTCTTAAAAAGAAAAAAAAAAAAGGAACAAACAAACAACAGGCAGCTATGTGCCTCTACCATGGAAAAGAACCAAAATAGCAAGTAGATATTCACACTTGGAATAGATCATCTAAGAGAGAACACTGGAATTCCACAAAAAAGTGACAGGAAGCACCAAAGGTAACAGAGGAAATGGAAGCAATGTAGCCTGCTCGGGGGGTTTGGCTGGGAGCTGGGAGAAGCTCCCTAACACAGGGAAAGGGTAAGTGAGAGACCTCCCAGGGTCCACATTCCCACCACATACTATCTTACTGACAGGAGAGCCCCTCGATCCTCACAGGCCTAGAGACTAACACAGAGAGCTGCCTAGAAATTGCACAGTGGTATTGCTTCAAAGAGGGAGCTCATGCTGTGACCCACAGGCCTGTAAGCCCTGAGCAGCACAGTGACATTCTGAAAGCCGAGCCCCTAAAGGACTATGTCTTGCCCTGGTTTTGATGCCACTGATGCTACCACCAGGCCAGGGAGGAGATGAGGCCAGATACTTTTGTGTACCCTAAGGATAAATCCCGCTGTCACTAGAGCTGCAAGCTGCTGGGGGACTGAGGCATGAGCAAATCACATGCTGCACAACTACCTACCTATGCTGCTCCCAATGAGAGTGTCTGTGCCCTCCCCAGTGGCAGCCCTGAACTGAAGCCACCAGTGCCCTCACCTGAGCATTCTGCTGACTGCCTGGGGACCACCTTGTTCCTACCTATCATAGCCATGCCTGAACATATTACCAGGGGACCTGAGGACAAGTCTCAATTCTGCCAACCTAGTCCTGTCTTCTCAGTACTTGAGCATGCCATCCAGGGGCTTGGAAATCACCCAGCCTAGTCCACTACTGTTGGCACATGTGCACTCTTCCCAGGGTCTGAGGTGCGGGCAACTCAACCCCCTGATAACCACCACAATTGGCACTCACTTGCAAGCACCATGAGACTGGCCCATCCAACCCATTACAGCTCAGACCAACTTGGATTTCAGTGAGTGGCCCAATCACTGCTATTGCCATTGCCCACATCAAGTCTGCTGACCAAGGGCAAGAGAACCAGTCCACATGCCAGGCCCACTGCTGCCACTACTAGCATTTCAGCAAGCCACCTGGAAGCCCAGTAATTGGCCCACTTGGACCCACTAATACCAGAGCCAGCATACATCACTCTGGGGCTCAAAGACAGGCATCTTCAGACCACTGCTGTACCACTGGCCTACCTAATAACCTAGTTCCCAGAAAACTTTACCACAGCCTCCACTAATAACCACACCCTAAGCTATCAAGGAAATAAATCACAGATACCACTGATACTATTTATAGCCAAGGAGATCATACAGAAACTACGCTATTGCTTGCATCCAAAATCAAAGCCAAAGTGCCCTACTCAACCAACATCATAGATAATCTTCAGAGAAGAGTCCTCTCTACAAAAGCAAATTTAAAAAACATGGAATAAGTGATTGTTACATCAGATGTGCAGATATTAACATAAGGACACAGGAAACATGAAAAAGCAAGGAAATATGACACCTTCAAAGGAACACAATAATTCTACAGCAACAGATACCAATAAAAAATCAATGAAATCATGGGTAAATAATTCAAATTACTGATTTTAAAGAAGCTCAGCAAACAAGATAATTTTGAAAAACAATACAGAAAATTGGAAAAGAATTCATCAAAGAGATACACATTTTTTTTAAAAGAACCAAACATAAATTCCGGAACTGAAGAATTCATTGAATAAAATACAAAATACAGTCAAAACCTCCAACAATAGATTAGATTAAGCAGAAGAAAGAATCTCAGAACTTGAAATCTTTTGAAATAATCCAGTCAGACAAAAATAAATAAAAAGAATAAAAAAGAATGAGAAAGGCTTTGTGACCTATGGGACAACATAGTGACTCAATATTCTAATTATCAGTGTCCCCAAGGGCAAAGAGAGAATGAAAGGATTAGAAAATCTATTTAATGAAATAATAGATGAAAACTTCCCCAATCTAGAAAAGACTCATATAGGGGGCTCAGAGAACCCCACACAAATACAGAGCAAGAAGGTCTTCTCTGCAGCGTATTATAGTCAAACTACTTAAAGTCAAAGATAAAGAGGGGATTCCAACAACAGCAAGACAAAAGTGTCTAGTCACCTATAAAGGAAACCCCATCAGGCTAAGAAAGTATTTCTCAGCAGAAACAATACAGGGCAAGAGAGACATATTCAAAGTGGTGAAGAAAAAAAGCCACTTAAGTATATACTATGTAGCAAAATTATCCTTCACAAAAAAAGTCCTTCCCAGAGAAGAAAATGCTGAGGGAATTTATCACCACTAGACTGGCCCTAGAAGAAATATCCAAAGAAGTCCTAAACCCGGAATAAAAAAGATAACATTTACCATCATGAAAACACATCAAAGTATAAAACTCACTGGTACACCAAACACACAAATGAGGAAGAGAAAGAATTCAAATGGTACAACTACAGAAAACAACCAAACCAAAATGACAATTAGAAAAAAAGAGAGGAATAAAGAACATACAAAACGATCAGAAAACAATTAAGAGCATGGCAGGAACAAAGCCTTGCATATTAAAAGCAATCTTGAGGCCGGGCATGGTGGCTCACACCTGCAATCCTAGCATTTTGGGATGCCGAGGCAGGTGAATCACCTGAGGTCAGGAGTTTGAGACCAGCCTGGCCAACATGGTGAAACCCCGTCTTTCCTAAAAATACAAAAATTAGCCAGGCGTGGTGCCAGGTGCCTGTAATCCAAACTACTTGGGAGGCTGAGGCAGGAGAATCACTTGAACCTGGGAGGCAGAGGTTGCAGTGAGCTGGGACTGCGCCATTGCGCTCCAGCCTGGGTGACAAGAGCAAAACTCTGTCTCAAAAAGAAAAAAAAAAGAGATATTGAATGGAAATAGATTAAATAATCTGCTTAAAATATATAGACTGGTTGAATATATAAGAAAACATTATCCAACTATATGCTGCCTACAACAAATACACTTTACCTGTCAAGATACATATACACCCAAAGTAAAGGGATGCAAAAAAATTCCACTCAAACAGAAACCCAAAGTCAGCAGAAGTAGCTATACTTAGATCAGATCAAACAGACTTTAGGTCAAAAACAGTAAAAATGACAAAGACAAAGATGGTCATTATATAATGATAAAGGGATCAATCCAGCAAGAGGTATGATACAACAATTCTGAATATTTATGCATCCAACCCTGGAGTGCCCAGATTCATAAAGCAAATATAACTAGAGCTAAAGAGAGAGACAGACTCCCATAAAATAATATTGGGGAAATTCAACACCCCACTTTCAGCATTAGTCAAATCATCTAGACAGAAAATCAACAACAACAAAAAATTGGATTTAAACTACACTTTAGACCAAGTGGAACTAACACACACTTACAGAACATTTTATTCAACAACTGTAAAATATACATTCTTCTAAGCAGATGAAACATTCTCCAGGATACAGCATATGTTAGGTCACAAAACGATTCTCAACAGTTTTAAAAATCAAAATCATATCAAGTATCTTCAGGTCACAATGGAATAAAACAATAAATCAATACTAGGAGGAACTCTGGTACCTACAGATACATGGAAATTAAAAAACATGCTTCTGAATGACCACTGGGTCAATTAAGAAATTAAGATGAAAAGCAAAAAATTTCTTGAAACAAATGTAAATAAGACATGTGCCAAAACCAATGGGATAGAGTGAAAGCAGTGTTAAGAGGAAGTTTGACATAGGCAATAAATGCCTACATCAAAAAAGTAGAAAGATTTCAAACAAACAACCCAATGATGCATCTCAAGGAACCACAAAAGCAAGAATAAACCAAAGTCAAAATTAGAAGAAAAGAAATAATAAAGAGCTGAACTAAATGAGATAGACTAAAAAATACACAGAATAAATGAAATGAAAAGTTGATTCTTCAAAAAAAAGATAAACAAAATTGATAAACCACTAGCTAGACTAACCAAGAACACAGAATACAAAACAAGAAATGAAAAGGGAGATATTACAACTGATACCACAGAAATACAAAAGATCATCACACACGATTATGAATAACTGTACACTAACAAACCAGAAAACCTAGGAGAATGGATAAATTTCTGGAAATATACAAGCTACCAAGATTGAATAAGGAAAAAATAGAAAACCTAAACAGACCAATAACGAGTAGCAAGATTGAATCAGTAATACAAAGTCTCCCAAGAAAGAAAACCCAACTACTGGATGGATGAACAGCTGAAATTTACCAAACATATAAAGAAGAACTAATACAAATCCTCCTAAAACCATTTCAGAAAACGAAAGTGGAAAGACCTCTCCTCAAGTCATTATATGAGACCAACATTATCCCAGTGACAAAACCTGACAAGGACACAACAAAAAAGAAAACTACATAAATCCTCAACAAACTACTAGCAAGTCAAATCCAACACACATCAAAAAGATAATATACCATGACCAAATGGGATTTATACCAGGGATGCACTGATGGCTCAACATATGCAAATCAATAAATGTGATACATCACATAAACAAAATCAAGGACAAAAATCATATGATCATCTCAATAGATGCAGAAAAAGCATTTGATAAAATACACCATCCCTTCATGATAAAAACTCTCAATAAACCAAGTGCAGAAGGAACATGTCTCAAAATAATAAAGGTCATCTATGACAAACCCACAGATAACATCATACTGAATGTTAGTATGAACACTACTACTGAAAAGATGAAAGCCTTTCTTCTCAGATCTGTAACTCAACACAAATACCCACTTTCACCACTCTTATTCAACATGGTACTGGAAATCTTAGCCAGAGCAATCATGCAAGACAAAGAAATAAAAGGCATCATTCAGAACAAGGATCTCTGAGGAAAACAAATTAAAAAAAATGAAATAATAAAATAAAAGGCATCCAAATTGGAAAAGAGGAAGTCAACCATTTCTTTGCTGATGATATGATCTTATGGAAAAACCTAGACTCCACCAAAAAACTCTTAGATTTGATAAATTTAGTAAAGTTTCAGAATGCAAATCAACATACAAAAATCAGTAGCATTTCTATATACTGATAATGAACTAGCCAAGAAAGAAATCAAGAAGGTAATCCAATTTACAATAGCTACAAAAAATACCTAAGAACAAATTTAACTAAGGCGTTGAAAGATCTCTATAAGAAAAACTACAAAACACTAATGAAGAAATTGAAGAGGACAAAACAAATGGAAAGACATCCCATGCTCATGGATCAGAAGAATTAATAATGTTAAAATGACCATACTACTGGCTGGGCATGGTGGCTCACGCCTGTAATCCCAGCACTTTGGGAGGCTGAGGCGAGTGGATCACCTGAGGTCAGGAGTTGGAAACCAGCCTGACCAACATAGAGAAACCCCATCTCTACTAAAAATACAAAATTAGCCGGGCATGGTGGCACATGCTTGTAATCCCAGCTACTCAGGAGGCTGAGGCAGGAGAATTGCTTGAACCCGGGAGGTGGAGGTTGCGGTAAGCAGAGATCATGCCATTGCACTCCAGCCTGGGCAACAGAGCGAGACTCCATCTCAAACAAACAAACAAAAAAACAAAATCATACTACCTAAAGCAACTATAGACTTAATGCAATCTCTATCAAAAAACCAATGTAATTTTTCACAGAATTAATAAAACAATCCTACAATGTGTATAATACCAAAAGAGAGCCTGAATAGCCAAAGCAATTCTGAACAAAAACGACAATGCTGGAGGCATCACACTACCTGACTTCAAAATGTACCAAAAGGCTACAGTAACCAAAACAACATAGTATTGGTATAAAAACAGCCTTATAGGCAAATGGAACAGGATAGATAGTACAGAAATGAATCCATGTATTTACAGCCAACTGATTTTTGATGAAGGCACCAAGGAGAAAGAATACATTCTTCAATAAATGGTGCTGGGAAAATTGGAGATCCACATACAGAAAAAGGAAACTGGATACCTATGGCTTCTCATGTACAAAAATAAACAGAAGATAAATTATAGACTTAAGGCCGGGCGCGGTGGCTCACGCCTGTAATCCCAGCACTTTGGGAGGCCGAGGCGGGTGGATCATGAGGTCAGGAGATCGAGACCATCCTGGCTAACAAGGTGAAACCCCGTCTCTACTAAAAATACAAAAAATTAGCCGGGCGCGGTGGCGGGCGCCTGTAGTCCCAGCTACTGGGGAGGCTGAGGCAGGAGAATGGCGTGAACCCGGGAAGCGGAGCTTGCAGTGAGCCGAGATTGCGCCACTGCAGTCCGCAGTCCGGCCTGGGCGACAGAGCGAGACTCCGTCTCAAAAAAAAAAAAAAAAAAAAAAAAAAAAAAATTATAGACTTAAACATAAGACCTGAGACTGTAAAACTACTAAAAAAATGGAGAAAACATTTCAAGACATCATTCTGGGCAAATATTTCATGGCTAAGGCCTGCCTGAAGAGCAGACAATAAAACAAAAAATAAACAAATGGGATTATATTAAATTTATTAAATTTAAAAGCTCATGCACAGCAAAGGAAACAATCAACAGAGTGAGGAGAAAATGTGTTGAATGAGAAAATACTTGCAAACTACTCATCCTATGAGGGACTAGTATGCAGGATATAAAAGGAACTCAAACAACTAAAAAATTTTTAAAAACCCAAATAATATCATTAAAAGTGGGCAAAAGACATGAATAGATATTTATCAAGAAAAGACATACATACAAATGGCCAAGAAGTTTATGAAAAAATGCTCAGCATCACTAGTAATTAGGGAAATGCAAAATAAAACCACATTGAGATATCATCTTATCCCAGTTAGAATGGCTATTATTAAAAAGACAAAAAATAACATGCTAGCAACAATGTGGAGAAAAGGGAATTCTTATATACTGTTGGTGTGAATGTAAATTAGTACAACCACTATGGAAAACAACATGGAGTCTTCTCCAAAAACTAAAAATAGAACTACCATATGATCCAGCAATGCCACTACCAGGTATTTAACCAAAGGAAAGGAAATCCGTGTATCAGAGGGATACCTGCACTTGCATGTTTACTTCAGGGGCATTCTTAACAGCAAAGACATGGAATCAATCTAAGTGTCCATCGACGGACAAATTAATAAAGAAAATGTGCTATATATATATATATATATATATATATATATATGCGCAATTGAACATTATTCAGCCATAAAAAAGAATGAAATCATGTCATTTGCAGCAACAGGAATGGAAATGGAGGTCATTACGTTAAGTGAAATAAGTCAGGCACAGAAAGACAGATACATGTTCTCACTCATATGTGGGAGCTAAACAAGTTAATCTCATGGAGATAGAGACTAGAATAGTAGATACCAGAGGGTAGGAAGGGTGTGTGGGTGGCAGGTGGGATATAGGGAAGTTGGTTAGTAGATATAAACATACAGTTTGATAGAAGAATAGGCTCCAATATTTGATAGCAGAGTAGAGTGACTATAGTAGCAACAATATATTTTATATTACAAAGTAGCTAGAAGAGAGGACTTGAAATGTTACCAACACATAGGAATGATAAATACTCAAGATAATGGATCCTCCAAAAACTCTGACTTGACGAAGACACATTCTATGCATGTAATAAATATTCATATGTACCCCATATATATCTATAATATTTTGTATCAAAAAAAGGAATGTAAGCTCTATAAGAACAGAAACTTTCTCTGTCTTGTTGCATCCCAGCTGCCTAGAACAGCCCCTAGTTCAACAATAAAAGATGCTCAATAAATATTAGTTGACTCTTCTAATGAAAACAAGCAAATTTTTAAAAAAGTTCTCAAGGAGAAAATGCTTGATTTTATTTTCAAGTGCTTGTAAAATAAATCCTTTAAAGTTTTCTAAATTATAAAATTAAAATGACAAAATTCCAATATAGAAATTTTCAAGTAAAATAGTAAAATATCCCATTTTCTCATACATATACTAGCCTATGTCATTCATTTCCCAAGAGCAACAGTGTGAATAATCATCCAGATTTTTAAATTTTCACTCATTCATCCATCCATTAATTTATTCATCCATTCACCTATTCTTTTAGCATTTGTTGTGGTTGTGGTATTTGAGCATTGTTTTTTCCAGATGCTGGGAGCTAAATCATCAGTGGTAAACAACAGACACTATGTTTTGAGGAGATATGGGCTTGCTGGGATATGGAACAAGAGTTCATTGGCATCTGATGCTAATTCTGCTTTCTCCCCATGAGCTGATGCTGATTTGTTGTCAAGAAGCTGTAGCTCTTGATGTTTGTAAACATTCCCTTCAATCAGTGGTTCTCAACCGGGAGTAATTTTGCTCCCCAACGAGACATTTGACACTATCTGGAGGAATTTTTGCTCGTCACAACTGTGGAGGAGGGTGTGTTACTGATATCTAGTGGGTAGAGCTCAGGGATGATGCAGAGGGAAGCCACTCAATACAAAAAATTATCTAGTCCAAAAGGTCAATAGTGCTAAGGTTGAGGAACTCTGATTTACACAGAAATGCTTAGATTCTTACTAAAAGTTTTCTGGAATGATAATAAAAGTCAAATATAAAGGGTGGCAGAGTATTTGGCTTTTTTTTTTTTTTTTTTAACCTTGACAGGTATCAGATGTGAAGAAGTGTTACTGACAGCTGGGTACCCTGGAAAGCACAAGGGGAAGAAAAACACCATACAAAGAAAGCTTCATTTACCCCTGCTTTGTGTGGCTAAATATGGTATTGTTAGAAAGATATATTGGGAATTTATAGCAAGCTGATGTGAATTCTCTATCTGTCGATCTATAAACTCTTTCTGTGATCTGTATGGTTGTAGTGGCCTTTGATCACTGTAGTTTTTGTCTAATCCGTGCACTTTTGCATTCCTTTTCTTAGGTTGTTTGGTGAACTCCTTCCCACCTTTATGAATTTCCTTCAGAAATTTCTGCGGGAATTCAGGTTGACCAAAGCATTCATGCCCTTGTCCACTGTTGTTTGTTTAGGGATATGCACATAATCCAAACAGGACCACTTAGAGTCCTCTCTGGGGTTGAAAAATCGATATTGAGATGCATAAATGTTTATTTTATTAACCCAAATAACCCCAGCTAGAATTGTTGAAACTGTTGTAAGTTTCTTATACTATATATAGTATAAATGGCATAATATCACTTCAAGTTAGCCAGTATAAGTTAAAGATATATACTCTAAACCTGAAAGAATTGGCTAAAATAAAACAAGGAGTTATAGCTAATAAACCAAAAAAGGAGACGAAATCAATGATTAAAAATATTCAGTTAATCCAAAAAAGGCAGCGAAAAGGAAAAGAGAAAAAGATTAGAAGAGACAAATTTTGATAGAAATAGAAATCAGATAGTAAGGTAGTAAATTTAAACTAAACTATCCCAATAATTACTTAAATGTGAATGGTCTGAACCTCTAAATAAAGGCAACAATTGCCTGATTCAATAAATGGCAAGACTCAATTATATGCTGCCTTCAAGAAATCTACCTTAAATGTACAGATACAAATAGATAAAAAGTAAAAGAATTAACTAATAAAAATAATTAACACTAATAAAAATAAATGCCATACTAATACTAATAAAAATATATCTGGAGTGGCTAAATTAATATCAGACAAATTATATGTCAAAGCAATAAATATTACCAGGGACAAATAGAGCTATTACATTATGATAAAGGCCTCAACTCATTAAAAATGTATAAAAATTCTAAATGTTTACACACCTCACAGCACACTCTCAAAATACATGAAGCAAAAACTAAAAGAACTGTGAGGATAAATATACAGACACATCCCTAATTATAGTCAGAGATTTGAATACCTAAATAACACTATCAGCTCACTTGGCCTAACTAATGGCATTTTATAAAGAGCCGTTTACCAAACAGTAATAGAATATACATTCTTTTTTTTTTAGGTGCACCAAGAACACTATACAGGACAGATTATATTTGAATTATAAAACAGGTTTCATTTAAATTTGAGAATTTCAATCATACAAAGTATATTTTCTTACCACAATGGAAATAAATTAGAAATAAATAATGAAAAGGAATCTAAAAAATATCAGTGTATTTGGAAACTAATACATGTGTGTGTCTCTCTCTCTCTCTCTGTTTATTTATTTTGAGACAAGGTCTTGCTTTGTTGCCCAGACTGGAGTGCAGTAGCACAATCACAGCTCACTGCAGCCTCAATCTCCTAGGCTCAAGAGATCCTCCCACCTTAACCTTACGAGTAGCTGTGACTACAGGCACATGTCACCATGCCTGGATATATTTTTAAATTTTTTTGTAGAGATGGAGTCTTGCTATATTGGCCAGGCTGGTCTTGAACTCCTGAGCTCAATACCTCAGCCTCCCAAAGTGCTGGGATTACAGGCATGAGCCACTGTGCCTGGCCTCAACACATTTCTAAATAATCCATAGGTCAAAGAAGAAATCCAAAGGAAAACTAGAAAGTATTTTGACCTGAATTAAAATGAAAACACACATATTAAAATTTGTGGAATGCAGCCAAAGCAGTATTTACAGGGAAATTTACAGCACTAAATATCTATTTGACAAGGACAAAAATTTCATGTCAATAACCTCAGCTTCTGTTCTAAAAATCCAGAAAAATAAGAACAAATTAAAGTAAGCAGAAGAAAGGAAATAATTAAGATTAGATAAGATAAAGAGGTATAATTTCAAATACTAAAATAGCCACTAAAAAGCTAATCAGTATATATAGTCTGCCATTATTACAGATAAAATGGAATAATAAAAGTGCTCAATCCAAGAGAAAAATAAGAACAAAAGTATGGATGAAACAATTAGAATTAGAAAAGGCAGATTTAAACATTGACAATTACATTCAATGTGTATACTTAATAACTTCAGTTGAAAGAAGAGAAATGGTCAGATTGGATAACAAAGCATGACTCAACTATATGCTGTCTACAAAAAACCTACTTAAAATATCAACACAAAAAAAGATTTTTAAAGGATAAAAAACAAATTAGGCCATGTAAATACTAGTCAAAAGAAAGCTGAAGTGACTGTATTAATCTCAAAGAAGATTCCAGACTAAGGAACATTTCCATGGAGGAAACAGACATTTCATTGATAAAGGGTCCTCAAATCATCAAACAGACATAACAATTATAAATGTGTATGCATCTAATAACAGACTTTCAAAATACACTAAACAAATCTGATATAATCAAGAGTAGAAACAGTCAAATCCACAAGTAGAGTTAGAGATTTAAACACTGCTCTATTAGTAGTAATTGACTGAACATACGAAAAGAGAAGAAGTAAGAATATAAAAGACGTGAACAATGTTATCAATCAACATGACCTAACTGATATTCACTCCACCCATCAATACTCCATCCTACAACAGCAAAATGCACATTCTTTTCAAGTGTATACTGAACATCCACCAAGATAAACCATATTCTTGGCCCTTAAACTCAAGAAGACTAACATTATAATGAAGTATATTTTTTGTCAAGAATGAAATGAAATTAAAATTTACTCATAGACATCTGGAAAATCTCCAGATATTTAGAAATTAAATAATATCTTTCCAAATTATCCACAAATTAAAGAAAAATAACAGGGATATTAAAATTATTTTAGAATGAACTGGAAATAAAAACACAAATATCAAAATCTGTAGGACACAAACAAAGTAGTGCTTATGAGGAAATCTATAGCGGTAAATGCTTATGTTCAAAAAAAAGTATCATTTCAAAATAATGATTTAAGTTTCAACTTAAGGAACATGAAAAACAAGAGAAAATGAAACAAAAAGGAGATATAAGGAAAGAAATAATAAATAAAGGGCAAAACCAATAAAACATAAAAGAACTAGAGAAAAATCAATAAAAACAACATCCTAGTGACACTGGATCAGAAAAGAAAATGAGAAAATATTAATTATCAACATAAAAATGGAAGTCTGTAAATCTGTATAGATACCATAGACATTAAAATAATAAGGAAATTTTATGAATAATTTTATGACAAGAAATTTGACACCTTATATAAAATAAAAAAATTACTTAAAAGATAAAAACAATCACACCACACTAAAGAAAAAATAGATAGCTTGAGTAGTCTTATATCTACTAAAGAAATTAAAGTCATTGCTAAAAACCTTCCAACAAAGAATACTCCAGATCGTTAAGGAAAAAATATCAGTTCTACACAGCTTTTCCAGAAAACAAAAGAGGTGAGAACACTTCCCAACTAATTACAGGTTGAATATTCCTTATCCAAAATGCTTGGAACCAGAAGTGCTTCAGATTTCAGGTATTTTTGGATTTTGAAATATTTGCATATATATATTTGCATTATATATGATATATATGTATTATATATATACAAAATATAATGAAATGTCTTGGGGACAGGATAATGCCTAAGCCTGAAATTCATTTATATTTCAGATATATCTTACACGCATAGACTGAAGGTAATTTTACAAAAAAAAGTTGTTTAGTAATTTTGTGTGTAAAACAGTTTGTGTACATTGAACCATGAGAAAGCAAAGATGTCATTACCTCAGATATTCCTGTGGAAAATCTGTGGTGGTTTGGCATCACCATCATTCTTGACTATAAATTTACGTTACTGATAATCACTTTCTCATATTTATTCACAAATAAATAATAGTAAAATAATGACATGCCATTAATACAGTGAAAAAATAATGTATTCAGGGTAACCAAATAGCACACTAGCATCACCAGAATACCTGTATCAGCTGTTAAACAACAGATAGCAGCAGGCTTTCAGTCTCCACCTACATTATTATATATATTACATATTATACACATGTTTTGATTAAAAGGTTACTGTACACTGTTTTTTATTTAGGTGAGAAGGAACATCAGAAGCAGTTGAGGGACTAGGAGGTGGCTTCTCTCGGGATGAGGAGGCATTCTGCTAGAATGGCTTTTAAAAATATCTTCTCCAGAGTTATCTGCTTTGACACTGATTTTTGTCTTAGAAGTCTCTCTTTGATTTTATAAACTGACATAATTTCTAGTTGTCTTATAAATGCATGCTGCTCTAGTGAGTGCTTCAATAAACCTATCACACATTTTCATGATGTCATCTATGGGCACTTTTTCTGAAGTATTACCAATATTATCTTCAATGTCATTATTATTACAATCACCTTGTTTCAGAACTGTTTGACTATTTCACCATTGTTTGGTTAATGAAGGAACAACTGGAGTTTAATTACTGATTTTAGAAACTTCTTAATATCTACTTCTTCCAGCTGACTGACAGACTCTGAAGGTATATTTTTTGCATATGTAAGGTCAGGCATTTTCTTCCCTCACTTGACATATGGAATACTTCAAAGTGATCACTTTTTTCATCATGATGAGTGGACATAGTTACAGGACAGAAGTTGTGTCAGGCCTGTATAACTGTGTATTTAGTTGCTGTGTTCCAAGCACTGGCAACAGCATATATGGCATCATTCATGCTAAACTTCTTTTGAAAACACTCCACATCCATGCCTCTGCTCACTGCTGCTAGCATGCTGTGCAAGAAAGTGTTTTTATATTTACTCTTCACTGATCTAAGCATACCCTGACCACATGGCTGAACTCAGTAAGTCACATTTGGGGTAAGTACGTGGCATAAACATTATTTTTGATGAAAATTTCAGCTGGAGGATGAGCAGAACAGCTGTCAAGAAATAACAAAATCTTGCAGTCATCATCCAGTCCAGCTTCCCTGCCGTGGGCAAAAGCTACTGGTATAAAATGTTTGTGAAATCAATCAGAAAAAAGATGTCCCTGATGATCCATGCATTTTTTGTTAGCATAATAATGGACTGGTAAGAAAATCACTCCTTGAAAACAGTGAGGATGCAAGCTTTTGCCTGTGACGGCAAGTTTACATTTATGTGTGTCTTATGCATTAGCACATCCCAATGCAACAATTCTGCACTTGGCATCCTTTGTTCCTATAGAGGATGTCTCATCAGCTGTAGTCAGTGTCTTGCTGGGGCAATAACACCAAAACAGTGATGTGTCAACAACTTTATGGACTTCCAGTGTCAGATTTTCATCAGTGGAAACTTTGGCAAACTTGTCAATAAATTTCTCTGCTGCCTCATGGTCAGCATATGCTTTATTACCAAAAATCTTTTAAAATTCAGTGCTGTGTATTTTCTTAAGTTTCTGCAAGTAGCCTAATAAATATTCATAATTCCCCTCAATTTTCATTGAATCATGATAGATCTTTGCTTGTTTAATAATCAGCATACCATTAAGTGGCATGTGTTCACGGTAATGCTGATGGATGCACTCTTTCAATACATGATTGAGATCTCCATTTTTAGTTTGGTTCAGTGTTTTTCAATTTTTTAAATTAACTTCTGCTCATCATTTTCAGCACAGAACTTCAGCAGTTTATCCTTCTGTTTCTTCAGGTCATATATGGTGTTCATTCCAACACCATACTCTTCTGTAAGGCATTTCATACTTATATGATCATCCAGTTTCTCCAAATAACTTGAATTTCTGTGCAACAGACAAACATAAATGCTTCCTCTTATTCTTATCACTGTTACCATAGGGGTGTCTGCAGGCCTTTTTGACATTTTCCATAATATTTTTATACCACATTGCAGAGAATAAGCAAAAAACCACAATGAGTAAAACATATGTCTTGGCCCTATATGGAGCATCATGGGAGAACCTGCTGTTTGGTGTGTCTAGCCTGCACACATGATACTGTATTGTCCTTTGTGGAAATAATTGCATGAGTGTCCATGGAGAAGACACATCACAGCTAAACAGGGCTGGGGGGTCCTTTTATCCTTGGGAAGGCTGAAAATTGTGTGCTGTATGTTTTGACTACAAGCTGTCACATGAGGTCAGGTGTGGAATTTTCCATTTGTTGGCACTCAACATGTTTTCAATTTTGAAGCCTTGCAGATTTCATAGTTTTGGAATAGGGATGCTTAACCCGTACACGAGAATAGTAATATACTGATGCTAAAACTAGACAAAACACTATAAGAAAACTGTAATCGAGACTGTCCTGGCTAACATGGTGAAACCCCATCTCTACTAAAAATACAAAAAAATTAGCTGGGCGTGGTGGCAGGTGCCTGTAGTCCCAGCTACTGGGGAGGCTGAGGCAGGAGAATGGCGTGAACCTGGGAGGTGGAGTTTGCAGTGAGCCGAGATCATGCCACTGCACTCCAGCCTGGGCGACAGGGTGAGACTCTGTCTCAAAAAAAAAAAAAAAGAAAAGAAAACTGTAGATCAGTATCCTCATGGACACAGATATAATTAACCTTAGTAACATTTTAGCAAACTAAACTCATATAAATGTTAAAAAGGACATGTATTCTGAAAAAGTAAGATTTATTCTGGGAATGTAAGGTTGGCTTAACATTTGAACATCATAATCAAGGTAAATCACCAAATCATAGACTAAAAAAAACATGAATAGAGGCAAAATGATCATTTGATAAAAGTCAATATTTATTCAGGATAGAAGCTCCAGCAAACTTGGAATAGAAGGAGACTTCCTTCTCTTAGGATGGGGATCTGTAAAAAGCTACGGCTAACATTATACTCATGAAGAAAGACTGAAAATTTCTCCCTAGAGGAGCATTGGGAGGATGTCTGCTCTCATCTCTTCTGTTCAATATTGTACTGGAAGTTTCAGTCAATGAAATAAGATAGAAATAAAAGACATATACATTAAAAAGAAGCAAAATCATCTTAACTTCCAATGCAATGCTTACTTATGCAGAAAATCCTTAGAAATATAAATAATGCTACTAAAACAAATAAGTTTAGCAAAGTCAACAAAGCCAGTACAAAAGCAATATGATTTTTATATATTAGCAATGAAATAATTGAGGAGTAAAATTTAACAATGCATTTACATGTATAGTTAGGGGTGCATTTAACAAATTATGTGCAAGACCTATATGCTGAAAACTACCAACATTGATGAGAGAAATTAGATAAGATATAAATATATGAAGAGTTTCCATGCTCATGGATTGGGATACTCAACATAGCTAAGATATCAATTCATTCCCATTGATCTATAAATTTAGTGCCATTCCAATCAAAATCCCAATATATATTTCATAGATGTTGAAATACTGATTCTAAAATTAATATGAAAATGCAAAGAACCTAGAACATTCAAACTTATTTTGAAAAAGCAAAAAATGGGAAGACTTAACACTACTGGATTATGAGATTTAGAATAAAACTACATTAATCAAAATAGTGAGGTACTGGCAAAAGGACAGACATAGCACTCAATGGAACAAAATGAAGAGGCTATACCTAAACCCTCATTTATATGGTCAACAGACCCTCATTAAATGTTCATGATTTTTCTAGAAGGGTGCTGCATAATTTAATAAAGGATACTCTTTTTAACAAATGGTGCTGAATAATTGGATATCTATTTGCAAACAAAGAAACAAAAAAAGAACCATGATGTTTTGTTCACTTTGTATGAAGGATTTTAATGGAAATGGACAATAGATCTAAATGTAAAAAGTAAAACTATGAATCTTCTACAAGAAAACATAGGAGAAAATGTCCACGATTTGGATTAGACAACAAATCCTTAGATGGACACAAAAAGCCCAAAGCCAAATACAAAAAAATGGATAAACTGTACTTCATTAAAGTAAAAAACTTTTGCTCTTCAAAACATATTGTGGAAAAGGGGAAGGGCAGGCCACATGCTGAATGATATTTGTAAAATATAAAGCCAATAAAAGACTGTATGTATAAATATATAGAAGTCATATATTTCAGACAATCTGACAAAAATATGGGCAAAAGATCTAAATCTACTTACTTTATCAAAATTAAATGGAACCATAGTGAGATATTGCTACACAACCACTAGTCTAATTATTTAGTCTAACTAAAATGAAAGAGTGACAATATGAATTGTTGTGTAGGATGTGGAGGAACTGACCATCTCATAAGCTGCTGTTTGAAAGGCAAATGTGGCAGTTTCCCTTACAATTACACATTCTCTTGTCAAATGACCCAGTAATCCCACACTTAGTTATTTACCCAAGTGAAATAACATCATGGAGTCATGCAAAGACTTGTACGTCATTGTTCTGACCCAAACTGAAAAGAAGCCTAGATGTCTATCAACTGGGGAATGAATAAACAAAGTGTGGTATATTCATACAATGGCATATTAACCAGCAACCAAATGGAACAAGCTACTGATACAAGAAACAACATGTATAAATCTCAAAAGCACTATGTTGAATGAAAGAAGCCAGACACAAAAGACAATGTACTATATGATACTCACATCATACACATCATACATCACTCGTATCACTATATGATACTTACATCAAATTCTAGGAAAAGCAAAAATACAGCGAGATAAAGTGATTGGCGGATGCAGGAGACCAGGAGTAGGAGGAAAAGATTGATTGCAGAGGGCATAATCTTTGAAGATAGAAATAGTCTATGTTGTGATCATGACAATGTTTACATGATTATAAGTATGGGACAAAACTTATATGCTTAAAATTGGTTAATTTTATTATATGTAAACTAAATACTAATAAAGGGACTAAAATAGTTCTGAGGACAAGCAATCACTAAGGGAATTTGTTACCACTAGACTAGCCTTATAAGAGATGCTTAAGAAAGTTCCAAACATAGAAATGAAAGAACAAAATCTGTTACCACAAAAACACATATAAGTACATAAGCCAAAGACTCTATAAAGCAACTATGCAATCAGACTACAAAGAAACCTGCTAACAACATCATAACAGAAACAAAACCTCACATATCAATATTAACCATGAATGTAAATGGTCTAAACACTTAAATGACATAGAGTGACAGGATGAATAAAAAAAACAAAAGCCACTTTTTGCTGTCTTCAAGAGACCCATCTTACATGCAATGACACTTATAGGCTCAAAGTAAATGGATGGAGAAAAATCTATTACGCAAACAGGAAGCAAAAAAGAACAGGGGTAGCTATTCTTCCATCAGGTAAAACATACATTAAACCAACAATAATAAAAACGGACAAAGAAAGTCATTACATAATGATAAAGGGTTCAATTCAACAAGAAGACTTAACTATCCTGAATCTAAATGTATCCCACATTGGGATTCATAAACAAGTACTTATAGACCCAGGAAAAGACTTAGACAGTCACACAATAATAGTGGGAAACTTCAACATCCCACCAAGAAGCATTAGACAGATTCTCTCTTTGTAGAAAACTAACAAACAAATTATAGATTTAAATTAGACACTTGACAGATTGGACCTAACAGACATTTTAAGAATACTCCCCTCAACAATCATAGAATGTACATTCTTCTCATCTGCACACAGAACATAATCTGAAATTGACCACATGTTTGGCCATAAGGCAAGTCTCAATAAATCCCAAAAAACTGAATCATACTAAGCATTTTTTCAGACCACAGTGGAATAAAATGGGGAAAATAGTGGGAGGTGGGTGAGGGATAAGAGACTGCAAATTGGGTTCAGTATATACCGCTCGGGTGATGGGTACACCAAAATCTCACAAATCACCACTAAAGAACCTACTGATGTAACCAAATACCACCTGTTCCCCCAAAACCTATGGAAATAAAAATTAAAAAAAAAATAGAAATGCCCAGAAGAACTCTCAAAACCACATATTTTACATGTAAATTAAACAACTTGCTCCTGAATGTCTTTTGGGTAAACATTGAAATTAGGGCAGAAATTTGAAAATTCTTTGAAACAAATGAAAACGGAGAAACAACATACCCAAATCTCTGAGAGCAAAAGCAGTGTTAAGAGTAAAGTTTACAGGGATATACACCTACATCAAGAAGATAGAAAAATCTCAAATTAATAATCTGACTTGTACCTAAAGGAATTAGAAAAACAAGAACAAACTAATCCCAGAGCTGGCAGAGGAAAAGAAATGGCTAAAATCATAGCAGAACTAAAAAAAACTTGAGACTGCCAAAAAACATACAGATGATCAATGAAATGAAAAGTTTGTTCTCTGAAAGGATAAACAAGATTAATCGACTACTAGCTAGATTAACAAAGAAAAAGAGGGATCTAAACAAGCACAATCAAGTCAGTGTGGCTATTCCTCAGGGATCTAGAACTAGAAATACCATTTGACCCAGCCATCCCATTACTGGGTATATACCCAAAGGATTACAAAACATGCTGCTATAAAGACACATGCACACGTATGTTTATCACGGCACTATTCACAATAGCAAAGACTTGGAACCAACCCAAATGTCCAACAATGATAGACTAGATTAAGAAAATGTGGCACATATACACCATGGAATACTATGCACCTATAAAAAATGATGAGTTCATGTCCTTTGTAGGGACATGGATGAAGCTGGAAACCATCATTCTCAGCAAACTATCACAAGGACAAAAAACCAAATACCACATGTTCTCACTCATAGGTGGGAATTGAACAATGAGAACACATGGACACAGGAAGGGGAACATCACACACTGGGGCCTGTTGTGGGGTGGGGGAAGGGGGGAGGGATAGCATTAGGAGATATACCTAATGTTAAATGATGAGTTAATGGGTGCAGCACACAAACATGGCACATCTATACATATGTAACAAGCCTGCACGTTGTGCACATGTACCCTAAAACTTAAAGTATATTAAAAAAAAAAAAAGAAAAAGAAATGACAATGGTGACATTACAACCAATCCCACAGGAATACAAAAGATCATCAGAGATTATTATGAACAACTCTATGCACACAAACTAGATAATCTAGAGGAAATGGATAAATTCCTGGAAACACACAACCTCCCAAGACTGAATCAGGAAGAAATTGAAAACCTGAACAGATCAGTAATGAGCTCAGAAATTGAATCAGTAATAAAAAAAAACCTATCAGTGAGAAAAAGCTCTGGACAAGATGGATTCACAGCTGAATTATATCAGGCATAGAAAGAAGAGCTGGAGGCAGTCCTTCAGAAACTATTCCAAAAATTGAGAAGGAGGCTCATTCTAGAAAACCAGTATCATCCTGACACCAAAATCTGGCAAAGACAAAACAACAAAAAAGAAAATTACAGGTCAATATCCCTAATGAACATAGAACAAAAATCCTCAACAAAATACCAGCAAACTTAATTCAGCAGCACATCAAAATGTTAATTCACTATGATCAAGTAGGCTTTATTACACAGAATAAGGTTGGCTCAACATATGCAAATGAATAAATGTGATTGGCCATATAAGCAGAATTATTAAAAAAAAAGATCATCTCAATATACACAGAGAAAGCTTTAGATAAAATTCAACATTACTTCATGATAAAAAAAAAAAAAAACCTCAACAAACTAGGCATTGAAGGAACATACCTCAAAATAGAAAGAGCCATCTATGACAAATCCACAGCCAACATAATACTGAATGAACAAAAGCTGGTAGCATTCCCCTTAAGAACTGGAACAAGATAAGGATGCCTACTCTCACCACTTCTATTCAGCATAATACTGGAAGTTCTAGCCAGAGTGATCAGACAAGAGAAATAAATAAAAGACATCTAAATAGGAAAAGAGGAAGTCAAATTATCTCTCTTTGCTGACAGTATGATTCTATACCTAGAAAACCCTTAAGTCTCCACCAAAGTCTCCTAGACCTGATAAACAACTTCAGTAAAGTTTCAGGATAAAAAATCAACATATTTAAGTTAGTAGCATTTCTGTACAACAATAATGTTCAAGCTGAGCATGGAATCAATAATGTAATCCCATTTGTAATACACACACACACAAAAAATACCTAGGGATACATCTAATGAAGGAAATGAAAAATCTCTGCAAGAAGAACTACAAAAAACTACTGAAAGAAATCATAGGCAGTACAAATGAAAAAATATTCCATGCTCATGGATTGGAGGAATCACTATTGTTAAAATGTCCATATGGCCCAAAGCAATCTATAGATTCAGTGCTCTTCTTATCAAACTAGCAATGTCATTTTTCACAGAATTAGAAAAAGCTATTCTAAAATTCATATGAAACAAAAAATAAAAAAAACAGCCTGAATAGCAAAAGCAATCCTAAGCAAAGAGCAAAGCCAGAGGCATCACTTTACTTTAAACTATACTACAAAGCTACAGTAACCAAAAGAATATGGTACTGGTAGAACAATAGACATACAGACCATTGCAACAGATTAGAGAACCAGTAAATAAAGCCACACAGCTACAACCAACTGATCTACAATACTGACAAAAATAAGCAATGGCAAAAAGATTCCTTATTGAATAAATGCTGTCAGAATAACTTGACAACCATATGCAGAAGAAAAAAAGTGGACCCCTATCTATCATAATATACAAAAATTAACTCAAAATATATTAAAGATTTAATGTAAGGCCTCAAACTATAAAAATCTTAGAAGAAAACTTAGGAAATACCATTGTGGATATCAGCCTAAGCAAATAATGTATGACTAAGTCCTCAAAAGCAATTGCAAGAAAAGCAAAAATTGACAAGTAGAACCAAATTAAAATAAACAGCTTCTGTACAGCAAAAGAAACTATCAGTAAATAACATACAGAATGAGAGAAAATATTCAGAAATTATGCATCTAAATTAAGGACTAATATACAGAATCTATAAGGAAATTAAGCAAATCAACAAGAAAAAAAAACCTCATTAGAAAGTGGACAAAGGACATGAACAGACATTATTATTTTTTGAGACAGAGTCTCACTCTGTCACCCAGGCTGGAGTTCAATGGCATAATCATAGCTCACTGCAGCCTCGACCTCCTGGGCTCAAGTGATCCTCCCACCTCAGGTTCCCGAGTAGCTGGGACTACAGGCGTATGCCACCACGCCTAGCTAGGTTTTTTTTTTTTTTTTTTTTTTTTTTTTTTAGAGATGGGGTTTTACCATGTTGTCCATGCTGGTCTCAAACTCCTGGGCTCAAGTCACCTGACTACCTTGGCCTTCGAAAGTGCTGGGATTACAGGCATGCACCACCATGCCTGGCCTATGAACAGATACTTCTCAAAATAAGACATATAAGCATTCAATAAACATAATTAAAAATGCTCAATGAAAACCACAATGCAAATGAAAACCACAATGAGATACTCTCTCACACTAATCAGAATTACTTTTATTAAAAAGTCAAAAAATAGCAGATGTTGGTAAGGCTGCAGAGAAAAGGGAATGCTTATACACTGTTGGTTGCAATCTAAATTAGTTCAGCCAGTGTAGAAAGCAGTTTGATGATTTCTCAAAGAACTAAAAATAGAACTACCATCTGACCTGGCAATCTCACTTATGGGTATATACCCAAAGGAAAATACATCATTCTACCAAAAAGAGGGGTGCACTTGTATGTTCACTGCAACACTTCACAATAATAAAGACATGGAATCAACCTAGGTGCCCATCAGTGGTGGACAGGATAAAGAAAATATGGTACATATACATCATGGAATAGAACAAAATCATGTCCTTACAGAAACACAAATGCCGTTGGAGGTCATTATTCTAACTGAATTAATGCAGAAACAGAAAACCAATATTATGTATTCTCACTTATAAGTGGTGGCTAAATTTTGGGTGCACATGGACATAGACATGGGGACAAGAGATACTACGGACTCCAAACGGAGGGAGGAAGGGAGGGGTGCAAGGGCCGAAAAGCTTCCTATTGGACACTATGTGCACTATCTCCATGACAGGACCAATAGAAGCCCAAACCTCAGCATCAGACAACACACCCTCGTAACAAACCTGCACATGTACCCCCGATATCCAAACTAAAAACGGAAATTAAAAAATTTTTGAGAAGATGGATTTTTGCAAAGGACTATATCTTTGTCTTGTAGCTTTATTGCCTTGAGTTCAGAGAATATGCCCTGATGGTTTCAACCACTTTTAAATTCCATTCTATTCTATTATTTGTGCTCAAATGCACTTGGAAACAATGTATGCTTTATTCATAGGGGACAAATTTCTATTTGTCAATTAAATGAAGCTTGTTAACTTTATTTCCAAATCTTCCTCTAGAATTTATTATGCTTCTTTATTTTACATATGGTTTCTTACTATTCCATTATGTTTCACAGCCAAATTATTAATAAACATTTAAACCATGTTTAAAATGTTCTCATTTCTGTAACTGCTACCGTTTCTTAAAACCATCATCTATCCTTCCAAAATGAAAACCATGACACATGGCTCATTTTGCTTGAGTATGTCATTAAGGGCTTCTAAAAAATTCCAGTGAGTTTCACAGGTAGTTAAAATAATATTTATACACAGTGGAATACTATGCAGCTGTAAAAAAGGATGAGTTCATGTCCTTTTCAGGGACATGGATGAAGCTGGAAACCACCACTATTGCAAGGACAGAAAACCAAACACCGCATGTTCTCACTCATAAGTGGGAGTTGAACAATGAGAACACATGGATACAGGGTGGGGAACATCACACACTGGGGCCTGTTGGGAGGTGGGGAGCTGGGGGAGGGATAGCAGTAGGAGAAATACCTAATGTAAATGACGAGTTGATGGGTGCGGCAAACCCACATGGCACACGTATACCTGTGTAACAAACCTGCACGTTGTGCACATGTATCCTAGAACTTAAAGTATAATAAAAATTAGTATTTATTGTGCTCTAATTCTTAACAGAAAGTTGGCTGGGCATAGAGTTTAGGTTAAAATTATTGTATTTCAGAATCATTTTACATCACAAAGTCTTCTTGTATTTCATGTTTCAGTTGAAATGTTTGATGCCATTCTTATGTAGGTTTTTTTTTCCTCCCAAGCAGGTTTTAAGATTGTCTTTTCATACTTTTACTTTGTACTTATGCCTTCTGAAATTTCTCCAAAAGTTATCTGGATAACTTGTTTTCACTGATCTCGCTTGGTCCTTAGTGATAGATGTTAATTAGAATACTTTCTTCTCGCTTTAGTCTCTTTTTATTCAGTGATGAGTTGATATATATTTTTATTTTGTACCTTGTCTTTTGTGATGTTGGTTTGCCTAAGATTGTAGGACATTCATAATGTCCTACAATATAAATTAATTGCATTTATAACTGAATGGTTAAAGCAAAAAGTCTTCTATTGCTTATTCCTTTTGTAGTTCATCTACTCTCATTTTATGGGGGAGTTCTCAAGAGATAATGGGGGTAGCATCTTATGTTTTTCACCTGATGGATTTAACTGGAAGTCCTCGTGAATTATTCTTTAATACTACTTGTATATTTATATCAGCAAACTTATTAAATATTGGCTTTACAGAAGGTCACACAAGGTGGGCAAGAAATTAATACACTTTTGATACCCCAGTCTCCTCAATATTTTTTTAGTACCATTGTGTCAGGGGTCCCCAGTACCATCCTCAGGTTCAATAATTCACTAGAAGGACTCACAGGACCCAGAAATGCTGTTATATTCAGAGTTACAGTTTTCTGTATTGGCCCAAGTTCTGTCATATAAAGAACTCTTAGGCAGAATATTCTAAGGGTTTAGAAATTATCTCTCAGGAACCAGTAAAGAGCTGGTACTTTCTTTAGAATGTGCAGGTTCAAGCACACCAAGCCTAGTGACTTAACCCTTTATTAAACAACCACACAATGTCCTCACTTCAATTTCCTTTTCACACATATTTTCCTGGACTGGGAAGGGGAGATGTGGTTGTGGTCCATATGCTTGTGAACCCAACCACCACACATTTTCACCCGGAGACCAAAGCTGATGTCATGAAAAACATTCTGGAAGGAGGTTAGTTAACAGTAGGGCTGGCAAAGATGTTAGATCAGATGAGGAATGATCATAACGCAATTAAACTCGAAATCTATAATGAAAAGATAACTAGAATGTTTCCATACATTTGAAAATATTTCTAAATAAAACATGGGTCAAAATAAATAACAGGATGAAAAACAGATATACATTGGACTCTATGATAATAAAAATAATAAATTTCAAAACATTTAAAATGCTAAAAAATTATATTGAGAAATATTTTAGCTTTAAATGCATAAAATAGCCCAAAATAAGGCCAATTATCAGTGATCAAATCATTTATCTAAAGAACTAGAACATAACAACAAATTAAGTAGAATGAAGGAAATAAATACAAGAACAGAAAATAATGAATAGAAAATAAGTATATTTAGGGAAGATTAACGAGCCAAAAGTTAGCTTTTGAAAGGCAAATAAAAATAGCCCTCTTTCAAGACAGAAAAAGGAAAGGGGCAGGAGAGAAAAAAAGGCACGAATAACCATGTCATGGTTGAAAATACAACACCACTTCACATCCTAAAGGCATTGAAAGATAAAAGAATTTTACAAACAACTTTATACCCATAGATTTTAAAATTTGGATTAAATGGACTAGTTCTTTAAAACACAAAACTCATAAACTAGATATGAGAAATACTGACTCTGAATGTCTATGTCTCATTAAGTAAACTGAATCCGTAATTAAAAACCTTACCATAAAGAAAATTTCAGGTGCAGTTGGGTTCACTGGTGAATTCTATTAAACATTTAGGGAAGAAGTAAACGCAATATGTGCAAATATTTCCAAAAATACACAAGGAGGGAATATTCCCCAATTCATAGTTTTTAGACATAATATTTTGGGTACTAAAAGCTGAAAAGGCCATTACAAGAAAGGCAAAATTACAGTTCAATCTCAGTTATGACTTGAGATTTTAATAAATTAGACAAAATGTAAAACTGAATCCAGAAAAATACAATGAATTACAAACATACATGTTTTCACGTTTACATGGTTGATTAAACATATGAAATTTAAACAACTTAACTGCCCATAAGAGAATAAAGAGATAACTTATAGTTGATCTAAATGAATGTAGAAAATGTGATGAAATCAGGCATCCAAACCAGATATGGAAAGGGAATTTTCTTAAAGAGAGCATCTAAAAACAAGACTACAGCAATGGTGTATTTAATAGTGAAATGTTGAAAGCTTTTTAATTAATGTTAGGAATAAGGTACATCATCTCTTCTATTGAACATTGTATTTGAGGTCTTAGTGAAATAAGGAATGAAAAAGAAGGAAAAGGTACAAAGTTTTGGCACAAAGAATTCATTCTGTCATTATCGTTAGACGACATGATATGCAAAATAAATTCCGACAACTACAGATAAATTATTAAAATTTATAAGCATGTTTACTGATGATGATTAATAGAGTGGATACAAGCTCAGGAAACAAAAATAAATTGCCTTTTTTATTTTATTTTCAAGAAGCACATTTTATTTTATTATTTTTGTTTAGGGTTATTCCTCATAGTTCTTTTTTTTTATTATACTTTAAGTTTTAGGGTACATGTGCACAATGGGCAGGTTAGTTACATATGCATACTTGTACCATGTTGGTATGCTGCACCCATTAACTCGTCATTTAACATTAGGTATATCTCCTAATGCTATCCCTCCCCGCTTCTATCCCCCCACCACACCCCACAACAGGCCCTGGTGTGTGATGTTCCCCTTCTTGTGTCCATGTGTTCTCATTGTTCAATTCCAACCTATGAGTGAGAACACGCAGTGTTTGGTTTTTTGTCCTTGCGATAGTTTGCTGAGAATGATGGTTTACAGCTTCATCCATGTCCCTACAAAGGACATGAACTCATCATTTTTTATGGCTGCATAGTATTCCATGGTGTATATGTGCCACATTTTCTTAATCCAGTCTATCATTGTTGGACATGTGGATTGGTTCCAAGTCTTTGCTATTGTGAATAGTGCCGCAATAAACATACGTGTACATGTGTCTTTACAGCAGCATGATTTATAATCCTTTGGGT
This sequence comes from Homo sapiens, assembly GCF_000001405.40. Taxonomy (NCBI): domain Eukaryota; kingdom Metazoa; phylum Chordata; class Mammalia; order Primates; family Hominidae; genus Homo; species Homo sapiens. The sequence continues at coordinate 7,386,803 of NC_000011.10, read as the reverse complement.
ATATACCCAGTAATGGGATTGCTGGGTCAAATGGTATTTCTAGTTCAAGATCCCTAAGGAATCGCCACACTGACTTCCACAATGGTTGAACTAGTTTACAGTCCCACCAACAGTGTAAAAGTGTTCCTATTTCTCCACATCCTCTCCAGCACCTGTTGTTTCCTGACATTTTAATGATCGCCATTCTAACTGGTGTGAGCTGGTATCTCATAGTGGTTTTGATTTGCATTTCTGTGATGGCCAGTGATGATGAGCATATTTTCATGTGTCTTTTGGCTGCATAAATGTCTTCTTTTGAGAAGTGTCTGTTCATATCCTTCACCCACTTTTTGATGGGGTTGTTTTTTTTTTTCTTGTAAATTTGTTCGAGTTCATTGTAGATTCTGGATATTAGCCCTTTGTCAGATGAGTAGATTGCAAAAATTTTCTCCCATTCTGTAGGTTGACTGTTCACTCTGATGGTAGTTTCTTTTGCTGTGCAGAAGCTCTTTAGTTTAATTAGATCCTATTTGTCAATTTTGGCTTTTGTTGCCATTTCTTTTGGTGTTTTAGACATGAAGTCCCTGCCCATGCCTATGTACTGAATGGCATTGCCTAGGTTTTCTTCCAGGGTTTAAATTGCTTTTTTATATACCAGAAAAAAAACAGGTTAAACAAATAAAAATAGAAAAAACCTCACACCTGCCTTAAAAATATGAAATACCTTGTAATACACTTACCAAAAAGTCCAATAGTTTTCTGCAGAAAAAGATAAAAATATTATTGAGCAAAGTTAAGGAAAGTCTAAATAAATAGAGCAATACTCCATGTTTATGAGTTGGAAGACTCAATATTGTGAAGATATTTCCCAGACTTATCTACAGGCTAAATATAATTACGGTCAGATTCCAACTTGACAGACTGATTCTAATTTTTACTTGGACATGCAAAGTGCCAAGAATAACCAAAATTCTTTTGATAAAAAGCAAAGTAGAAACATTTGCTCTCCTGGATAGGAAAACTTATGAGAATGCAACTGAACTAGTGTCCAGGATGGACTGGACTAGTGTAGCATTTGTGCAGGGTAAATAAACCAGTGGAGCTGCACAGAGAGCCCAGAAACTGACTCATGCATATAGATATTTGCTTTATGTATTGATTTTTTTAAACTTTTTTTAAGGTTCAGGGGTACATGTGCAGGTTTGTTATATAGGTAAATTGTGTATCATGGGGATTTGGTATACAGATTATCTTGTCACCCAGGTAATAGGCATAGTACCCAGCAGGCAGTTTTTCAATCTGATTCTTTTCATTTGCCTTCCTACACCACTGCCAGGCATGCTCTTTGTCCTAAAATGTTGTCCTCTATAGAAAGAAATGAAACCTGATGTATTCACTAAGAGACTTAAATGTCTGACAGAGTTTGGGATGAATTAGCTGCATGGACACACACGCACACACACACACACACACACACACACACAGAGCAAACAAAAACAATATAGTTCATTCCTCTATTCTTCATTCAACAAACATTTACAGAAAGCAATTATTTGTACCAGAGTACCTGGTACTCTGGGTTCTGGGAATCTGTCAGTGAACCAAACAGGCAAAAATTATTTACTCTCATGGAGCTTATATTTCTTGTGTGTGAAGACAGACAATGAGCAAAATAAATTATACACACATGCACACATATACACACATATACAGAAGTATACATATAATACACATATGTAATGCAATGGGAAGAAATAAGCAGGAAAGGGAGTTAAGTAGTGGGGAGTTAAATAATATATTAAATAGGGAGGTCAGGAAAGGCATTATGAGAGAGTGACTTTTGAATAAGGACCTGGAGAAATGAGGTAAGGAAGCAAGCCATGCAGTTAATTGGGGAAAATTCCAAACAGAGGAGCAAGCACAGATGCCCTGAGGTGAGAGAGTAGCCTTCTGCATTTGAGGAAGGGCAAGGCAGGTGTAGCTGGAGTATAGTGAGAAACAAAGAGATTGAAAATGATGAGGTCAGAGAGGCTGTGGTGGATCAGATCATGTAAACTATGAAAGGATTTTTGCTTGTGCTCTGAGTGGGAATGGAATTCATTACAAAGATTGAAGTAGAAAAGTAGCACAACACAGCTCAAGTAGCACTATTACAGGATAGCCCACAGCAGTGTTAAGAATAGTCTGGGGAGATCAGGGCCATCAGTTAGAAGGTTACTTCAGTGAACCTGGTGAGAGGTGACATGGCTTGTTCCAAAGAAAGCAGTGCAGGTGGTGAGAGGTCATCACATTTTGAAGATAAAGCAATAGGATTTTCTAATGGAAGAAGTGATAGAGAAGAGTCAAGGACAATTCCAGAATTTTTTGCCTGAGCAAGTGGAGAGATGGAATTGCCATTAACACCCATTTCCAAGTGGAGGGGGAGAAGTACTGGACTATGGGAGAGATCAAGAACTCAGTTTCACATACATTAATTGTGAGATGCCTATTAGACATCCAAATGCAGATGCTGAGTAGCCAATTAGATATAAGAGAATGGAAATCAGGGGAAGATTCAGGTTAGAGATACAAATTACCAACTCCTGGGAGGAAAAAAGAATGTAACCACAGAGACATACATGGTTCAGCTATACATCATGTTTACATAACAATAATGATACAAACATGAATAATTATCTCCACAAGTGTATAACGATTTTGAGAAAATGGGAGAGGGAAGTAAGGTGTGAGGGTGTGTGTGTGTGTGTGTGTGTGTGTGTGTGGCTAGTGAATTTAAGAGCTAAATCTTCATCTTCCATAATAAAATTCAATAGAAATATAAAATTAAAAATCAAGTCAAATCTAACATTTTATATAAAATATGGAAGCATATTTAAAAAGAAACAAAGTAGCTGAAAGTATTTCTGAAGACAGGGAATTGAGGTTAGAAGTCTAACCCAAAAGATGACTTCACTTGTATTTAAAAACTCGTGCAGCCTAGACATATAGTGCAAGGGACTGAAGCTGAATTCAAGTCTTGACCCCTCATTTAATCATTCTGCAACGTGAAATAAACTATGTAATTTCTCAGTTTCTCAATTTTCTGTTCGCATTCTCCTCCTTTGGAAAAGGAAACTAATATCTACAGCATAAGGTTGATAAAAAGGCTAAATGAGAAAATGTCTTTATGCAGTAAATACTGAACATGACGTAGCTGTTATTACACTTGATTACACATTTGTCACTTCCACCAGTCTGGGTACTTTTCAAGGGGAAGGCCCACTTACCCACCTCTCCCCAGTGACTGCAACTTAGGAGTGGCCCAGTCCCTGTTTCTTTCACTAATGAATTGATGTGCAAATGAAGGAAAGTTTCGAGGGTCCTTGGATATGTGTTGCACCCTCAGTAGCCCAGCTTCCTGGGGTCTTTGGATCAAATGTCCAGTGAGCCACCGGGCTCTCTGGGGACATCTGGTTTCCCTTCCCTCCTTCCCAGCCACCATATTTCCTAGTACTACTGGCTAACTGAGAAATCCTGTACTTACAGAGCCTCTTTCTAAAGCAAAAACCATTGTGAGAGGCAACAGCAAGAAACCATTTATTTAGCAAGGGGAGAGGAAATCTTAATTGTAACATTTCTCTCAAGTGTCCTTAATCTTCACCTGTAATAATCACACTGATGGTCCAAGCCGGGTCCACCTATAACATGGACGACGTTAATAGTTTGATCATCCTATTTTCTCAGAAATGCCAACTCTATTCCTGATATTTTCCCCAGACATGACAAGATTGGCAAAAAGTCCTTCTTAAGCGATGGATCCTACTAATAATTAGCATTCACTGTTAAAGTAACTGTTGACTGCACTTTACTTATAGATATTAACATGATTAATTGAATTGGAAGTGTGCCTGGAGGATGACAATTTCTGAGCTGGTGCTGGGGCTCCGGCAAGCTCCGCAGCCTCACAGGGCCATGGGATGGGAAGGGTCTGGGATCAGCCCACTCCTTTTCTCTTTCTGAATTACTCCCTCAAATGCTTCCAGGTCTAATTACCTAGGACTAGCCCCAATTTGAAAATAATTTTCTTTGGCCAATGATATGTTCAGCTAGGAATGGACAAGATAACAACATCACATTATGTGCAAAGCTCCTTACGGTCAACGAAAAGCATTCACATCGCCATCATATCTGATCTTCTCCAGTTCCCTGGTTTAACATGCCATTTATATGTGAATGACTCCAACATTTATATCTCTTCCATGCACCATAGACTCATATATACAAGTGTTTTCTTATTTAGTGATCAAATAAGCAACTCACTATTAATATTTTGAAAATGGAGCTAATTTTTCCTCCCTTGCTCACAGCCTTCCTACCTAAGTTGCCTGAAGGCAAGATGAATCTCAGTTTGGAAAAAAAAAATTCCTCTCAGTGGCTAAAGCTAAAAATCTGGTAGTCATCATATCTCTATTGCCCCTCTTCTCTCAGCTTCCCACATCTGCAAGTCATGACATTTATACTTCCAAAAATATCTAGAATTTGTCCAATTTTCTCCTTTTCCATAGTGCTACCCTATCTTAAGATACCACCATCTCTCTCACATGCGCTACTGTAGAACAATGAAGGCAAAAGGAGAAGTGAGACCATTGGGCAGGATGGCTGCTATGACAAGCTAATATCATAGGATCCTATGTCATACACGAGTTGCACAGCATAGAAGGGAGCCTCAGTTGCTTGTTTACATATCCTCATGCCTACACTGCAACATGACTCTGAGTCTGGGCTTCCCAGTCTGGGCTGATGCACTGACACACAGGTGAGTGCCCACAAAAGGCTTCAGAAAAGGCTTGGTTCTGCTTGTGGAGATGATGAGACATTATAGTTCCTTCCTTCCCCACATGATTGGGATTCCCCTCCTCCAAAGGCTTCTGGAGTACCAGTGGCTGGAAGGCTCCTATCTCATATCCACCACGTAGGAAGCTGCTTGTATCCTAGAGCTGCAGTGGCAGATGGGATTGATAATAACAATAACACAAAGAAGAATTTAATGACAGTAAGTGTAATAATTGCTCAATCTCAGTAACCTCTGTGCCTTCCTGTAAAAAAAGAGACAGCTCTAGCTTGTCTTGAATGACATGATGTCCAGCTTTGCACTGCTGGGATTTGAGTCTTTCACATTTCAAAACACGTCCCAAACAGTCAGGGAAGGTGTGGTACATTTGGCAGACACTCTCTTCTGTGACAAACTTAGCCAACAATATCTCACTGAGGGCTTACCAGGTACTCTGCTTTTCTCAGTACTAGAGGCAACTGGCTTCTTTCTGCTCCATAGGGGCCCACTGTCTAGGATGACAGGGCAGAGCTTCACCACAGGGCAGTGGCCAAGGACCCTAACTGGCAGAGAGGGAAACCATATAGGTAAATGTAAAGAGCTCAGTCCTTTTCTTGGAAAAGTAAGCTCAGTGCTCATCTCATGCATGCTACTGGGATTGATTAAAAAGTATGGTTTCTGAACCCCTAAAAATCATTGTGTCCCAATAGATTCATTAAAAGCAGATGATACCAGACCAATATCACCTCCTTTTTTTTAACTTAGGCTATTGGACTCACATATTAGGGAGCTGTTGTAGGCACAGTAAATGTGGACCTTGACACAACATCTGGTAAGCTCTCTCCTGATACCCTTATGGATGATCTGGATAGATTTAGACCAGATGATAGTAAAATGAGGTGAATTTATAATCTAGTTTGACAACCATAGCTAAAGCATGCCACGAATGATTCAACAACCTAAGTATTATCCAGTTCTGTAATTTTATCAATTGTTTAGAAGGAGAAATAGAATTTCGGTATGGCACACTAGGCATAATAAGTACACTGGAGTACAGAATCAAGATCCATAAAGATTCTGACAGATAGGTAAGATCAATAAGGCCTAACAATATAAATGTATCAAGATAAATTATCTGAGGGCCTAAAAAGTCAATGATACAACATCTGAAGTAGATGCAACCTAATGCATGTGAAAATAAAAGGCTTTATGGTTTAGTCTTATTTTGAATCAAAATGCGATATGGCTACCAGAAACTCATTTTGCTTTAGGCTGTATCAGTAGAGGTATAGTCTGGACAGAAAGGGATGTGCACCAGCCATAACCCACTAGAGACATTAATTCTTTTCTGAATATCTTAATTTTATTTTTTTATTTTCTGTTTTTATTTTTTGCTGTGCTACTTATATATTTTTTATTTTTGTAAATTTTGGTGGGTGCAAAGTAGGTATATATTCTTATGGGGTGCCTGAGAGGTTTTGATACAGGAATGCAATGTGAAATAAGCACATCATGGAAAATGAGGTATCCATCCCCTCAAATAAGGTATCCATCCCCTTATCCTTTGAGTCACAAATAATCCAATTATACTTTTTAAGTTATTTAAAAATGTACATTAAGTTATTGACTATAGTCACCCTATGGTGCTATCGAATAGTAGGTCTTATTCATTCTAATTTTTTTGTGCCCATTACCCATCCCCACACTCCCCCAGCCCCTCACTACCCTTCCCACCTTTCCACCCTTCCACTTTCTATCTCCATGAGTTCAAGTATTTTGATTTTTAGATCCCACAAATAAGAACATATGATGTTTGTCTTTCTGTGCCTGGCTTAATTCACTGAACATAATGATCCCCAGTTCCATCTGTGTTGTTGCAAATGACAGGATCTCATTCCTTTTTATGGCTGAGTAGTACTCCATTGTGTATATGTACCACATTTTCTTTATCCATTCATCTCTCGATAGACACTTAGGTTGTTTCCAAATCTTAGCTATTATAAACAGTGCTGCAACAAACATAAGAGTGCAGATATCTCTTTAATATTTTGAGTTACTTTCTTTTGGGTATATACCCAGCAGTGGGACTGCTGGATCATATGGTAGCTCAATTTTTAGCTTTTTGAAGAACCTCCAAACTGCTCTCCATAGTGGTTATACTAACTTACATTCCCATCAACAGTGCACAAGCATTCCCTTTTCTCCACATCCTTGCCAGCATTTGTTATTGCCTGCCTTTTGGATGGTAATCTCAATTTTAGAGATATGTAAGCAGATGAAAGACAGTTGAGTAACCACCATGAGAGAGGGTCAGGATTACATAAGGAGTAATGAGGAACTATTAAGATTTAAATTAAACATTAAAGAAACACAAGATTCCTGTCAGCACAAATTTGGAGGGGTGTCAGTCACACAGAAGAGAAACTAAACTTCTTCATGATTCCAATGATTAGAACGAAGACCAACAAGGAGAAGACACAAGAAGATTTAGAATATTCTTCTCTATCACAGTCTAAAACCACAATCTGTTTGGAGTATGCATTGTATCTGAGGGGAAGATACGGAGACTGAGAGACCAGAAATGATGAGGGCTGTTGAATAATAATGCTTAATTCAGCATCCTAGGAACACATGTACTTTAAAAGGGGATATGGGAAAAAGGAGGTGAAGCCTTTCAATCCTTGGTGCACCTGACACAGGAATTTGGGGTACTGGAAACCTCTTATTTTTTCTAACATGCTTTCTTAATAGATACTTTGAAATTCAAACATGATTTTTAAAACTCTGCCTATTTCCCCAGGGAGCATGTCTAGTCAAGGAGAGTCCTTGGCTAAAACAAAGACAGCAGTTTTCAAAGTTAAAGGGCTACAGAAAGGCTTTAGCATTTAATTTGATGTTAAGAACCTATTCTGAAAAGACTTTTTTATTTTCATTTTTTTACAAATCTACCAATACTCAATAAGAAAAAACCCAAAAGTAACTGGAGATGAAAAATTGTTTTTTATTTAAAAGCTGTGGGAATATCAAAGCATCCTTAGAACTGAGTGTTGTTTGCTAGCTCTGACTGCCACAGTGTGTTTTATCGGCTTTTGAAGAAAAGAACACATTAAGATGAGCTGGAAATAATTTTGAATTGACCTTGCATTCTCAGCATCTTCGTCATCCTGAAATTTCCCATCAAAACTAAGAATTCCTGCAGTTTATGGGAGACGGGATGATGAGATTCTCTAGTAAAGATGCCTTCTAAAGAGAAGCATGGCAGCAAGTGAATTAAGCCAACATTCTCAGTAGTATGAACAATCATAAAGAAAAAGGCAATATTTTATTCTACCATGGGTGGAGACTTGCTCCATGGATACTCATAGGACATAGGATTTTTTTTCTTTTTTTTTTTTAAATGTTTCCCTGGAGAGGAGCACTATGCACCTCCCTCATCCCTCTTCCATCTCCATCAACTGTTCCTCCATCACAATTACCATGTAACTCTTAGAGCTTAGTACTTGGGTCACCAAGTCATGTTCATTCTAACTGTAAAATGTGTGCTGATTACAACTCTTTTCCTTCAGTCTCTGAAAGATTACTCAGGAGCAATTTACCTCTTCCAATGCATCCTCTGTGTAAACACAGATCTGATTATTTCACTCCTAGCTTAAATCGTTCCATGGATATTGGGTGCTCTTAGGTTAAATTCCAAATTCCTTAGCATATTATATAAAAAATGACTTTTCCAGCAGTTCTTTCTCCTAACATACTCAATTCTCCAATCAGGCTAAACTATTCTTAACCCCCACACCCACCTTCTGACTCATCGCAAACCTTCTCTTTCATTTCTTTGTGTGCTGTTTCTTCCTGAATAACTCCTGCTCACTTCTCTGCTGGTAATTTTTTTTTTTTTTGTATCTTTGAAGACCCAGACCTCTCTGTGCAATCTTCAGGGCCTCTCCTAGCCTGTGCTCTCTGCTTTGGTAATTCTCTGCCTATGTTCCTATTACCACATGGAATTTGATATATTTGCCACTCTGAGATGCTGAAGGCAGGAGCTATATCTTCTTCCTTTTGGCACTTTTACCTTGGGCTATGGCCTTTTTATAGAGAAGAATCCAGAGTCAGAGGTTAATTAACTTGTCCAAGCTCACATAGCTAGTTAGTGCTGAAGCCATGCCCCAACCAGGCAGTCTGACTACAGAGCCTATACCATTCCCAAGTGGGGAGCCCATGCATAGACTAAGAAGCTCTTAGTGGCTAGTAAAGAGGGAAGTGGCCATATTCTCTTCTCTTGTGTGGCGGAGATATGAGGGAAACTGGAGGAGCTGGACTGGGAATTAAGTGTCTCCAGATTCTTCCCTTTTCCATGCAATGTTTCCACCCTTGTGGAAGGGCCAAGAGATGGCCTTGCCTCTCACCTTTTATCAGCAGGAACTTATTTTTGCGTTTGAAGCTGGTGGGAAAAAGAAAAAAAAATAAAGAAAGAGAAGCTACCTTGACTGAATCCTGCTTGTGAAATAGGGCAAATGATGCTTTAGTAAAAGAGGATCTGCCTTTCCTCCAAGCACAGGCATTGAAGAACACTTCCCTCTGGGTCCAGTGCAATTTCCTAAAACTCTTGAGGGAAACAAAAGGCTTTGTTCCAATAAAAGGTAGCTTAGGAATAATCAAGACTTCTCAGATGTGCTTCAAATAGAGACAATAATAATTCTCTCTCACTCTCTTTCTAGTTAAATAAACTGATATATGTAAAGTGTTTAGCACAGTGTCTGAAATACATATGTTAACTAATTCTCTGGGTTGTACCCTCACCTCCTAGAACAGTGCCTGGCATAGAGTGGGTCCATAATTCATGAACTCAGTACATCAATGGATGAATAGCAGTAGTCTCTACAGGAAGGGAACAATAGGTTGATCAGGGACAGTTGACATCAGGGACTTCTCTCCACCACTCAACTCTCATTCAAAGATACTCTTATGTTGTTATCTACATACTAGATAAAGGAGATACAAACATGCTAGAGGCATTTTCTATGTTGTGGACATAATTACACTGGAAAGAAAACAAATAAGATATCCTTTTTAAATGGAATGGCTTTGGGCTGCAGGGAATGATCACATATCATCAGAGAGGTTGAACAGCTTGCCCATGGTCACAAAGTTCACCAGTGTCAAAAATCAGTCTGGAAGATACTTTCCATCCCTGTATGCTCTCTCTGACCCTAAATCTTCATTCAAAGGTGGACATTTTTAGAGTGTGTTAAAAATTCCTATGAGAATTTTAGAACAAGCCTCCCATTTCAATTCCCGGGATGTAGCAGAGGTCTGCAGTTTGCTCTACCCAATGCTATATTAGAGACTAACAGGCCTTTCTAGAAAGAGTAAGCCAACTGCTACAGGGAATCCACTTCTTGGTAACAGCCCAAGGTCATTCCATGTGCTGAGATGGTTTGGCTGACAAACTAGGGCACCAGAGTAGCCCTGATGACTTGGGAAATTCCATGACTTAGTCTATGGTGTGTAGGAATCTGCTCTTCTTTCCACAAAGGCATTGCTCTCATTTACTGGGAATACAAGCTAAGGCAGCTTTGTAGGAGGTTGGGGAGAATCTGGACATGCTGAAGAAAGGAGAGGAGAGGAGAGGAGAGGGGAGGGGAGGAGGAAGGAAGGAAGGAAGGAAGGAAAGAAAGAGGGAGAGAGAAAGAGAGATAGAGAGAGAGAAAGGAAGAGATAAAGAGAAAAAGAGAGAAAGAGAAGAGGGAGAGAGAGAGAAAGAGAAACAGGTAGGTTTTCACTTTAAAATTTTTCATTCATTTATTAAATATATTTGTTGAATATCTACCATGTACCATGCATTATACTAGGTGCTGGGAATACAAAGCAGAGGTGAATAAGAATGTGTGACATAGTAGAGTTGTCATGCAAGTTGCCATTCTAGAACTCAGACAGTTAACATATTAAATAAGTAAACTATATTGTATATTAAATGGTGAAAACTGTTACTTTTAGAAAAGGGAGACAGCACCCAGCAGAAAGAAATAAAATTTTAAGCAGGATGGTCAGGGAAGACCTCGAAGATCTAAGAGGAGACCTGAAGGAAGTGAGGGAGCAGGCCATGTGAATATCTAGGGGGAAGTGGTTCAGGCAGGGAAAACAACCCTGAGCAACAGCATGGAGGCTAGTGTGGCTAGAGTGGAGAAACCCCATCATCTCAGCCCCAAAACTCCTTAAGCTGATAAGAAACTTCAGCAAAGTCTCAGGATACAAAATCAATGTGCAAAAATCACAAGCATTCATATACACCAATAATAGACAAACAGAGCCAAATCATGAGTGAACTCCCATTCACAATTGCTACAAAGAGAACAAAATACCTAGGAATCCAACTTACAAGGGATGTGAAGGACCTCTTCAGGGAGAACTACAAACCACTGCTCAAGGAAATAAGAGAGGACACAAACAAATGGAAAAACATTCTATGCTCATGGATATGAAGAATCAATATCATGAAAATGGCCATACTGCCCAAAGTAATTTAGAGATTCAATGCCATCCCCATCAAGCTACTATTGACTTTCTTCACAGGATTAGAAAAACTACTTTAAATTTCATATGGCACTAAAAAAGAGCCCATATAGCCAAGACAATCCTAAACAAAAAGAACAAAGCTGGAGGCATCACGCTACCTGATTTCAAACTACATCACAAGGCTATAGTAACCAAAACAGCATGGTACTGGTACCAAAAGATACATAGACCAATAGAACAGAACAGAGGCCTCAGAAATAACACCACACATCTACAACCATCTGATCTTTGACAAATCTGACAAAAGCAAGTAATGGGGAAAGGATTCCCTATTTAATAAATGGTGTTGGCAAAACTGGCTAGCCATATGCAGAAAACTGAGACTGGACCCCTTCCTTACACCTTATACAAAAATTAACTCAAGATGGATTAAAGACTTAAACGTAAGACCTAAAACCATAAAAACCCTAAAAGGAAACCTAGGCAATAATTCAGGACATAGGCATGGGCAAAGACTTCATGACTAAAACACCGAAAGCAATGGCAACAAAAGCTAAACTTGACAAATCAAATCTAATTAAACTAAAGAGATTCTGCACAGGGAAAGAAACTATCATCAGAGTGAACAGGCAACCTACAGAATGGGAGAAAATTTTTGCAATCTATCCATCTGACAAAGGGCTAATATCCAGAATCTACAAGGAACTTAAACAAATTTACAAGAAAAAAACAATCAACCCCATCGAAAAGTGGGTGAAGGATATGAACAGACACTTCTCAAAAGAAGACATTTATGTGGCCAAGAAACATATGGCAAAAAGCGCATCATCATTGGTCATTCGAGAAAAGAAAATCAAAACCACAATGAGATACCATCTTGTGCCAGTTAGAATGGCAATCATTAAAAAGTCAGGAAGCAACAGATGGTGGAGAGGATGTGGAGAAATAGGAACGCTTTTACTCTGTTGGTGGGAATGTAAATTAGTTCAACCATTGTGGAAGACAGTGTGGCAATTCCTCAAGGATCTAGAACTAGAAATACCATTTGATCTTTAAATCCCATTACTGGGTATATACCCAGTGGATTATAAATCATTCTACTAGAAAGACACATGCACACGTATGTTTGTTGCAGCACTATCCACAATAGCAAAGACTTGGAAACAACCAAATGCCCATAATGATAGACTGAATAAAGAAAATGTGGCACATATACACCATGGAATGTCACATATCCATAAAAAAGAATGAGTTCATGTCCTTTGCAGGGACAGGGATGAAGCTGGAAACCATCATTCTCAGCAAACTAACAAAGGAACAGAAAACCAAACACGGCATATTCTCACTCATAAGTGGGAGTTGAACAATGAGAACATATGGGCACAGGGAGGGGAACATCACACACCAGGGCCTGTTGGGGGTGTGGAGCAAGGGGAGGGATAGCATTGGGAGAAATACCTAATGTAGATGATGGGTTGATGGGTGCAGGAAACCACCATGGCAAATGTATACCTATGTAACAAACCTGCATGTTCTGCACATGTACCCCAAAACTTAAAGTATAATAATAATAATAAAAGAACTCTCTAGGACAATCTAGAAAAATGTAAAAAGAATGTTGGACATGTTCATCAGGAAGCCTTTCCCCCAAACGAAGTGTCCCAATTACAACAATTGCAGGCATCTCCTTCCAAGGTCTCTAACAGAGAAAATTTAAGGCTTTCCCACCCTCCAGGTGCTTCCAAACATCTGGAGGAGGGAGTCCAGGCATTATTCTGAGTTATGTGAAACTGCCATTTTTGTAGGTTGAAACTGGTGGGATATGGGGAGTTTCATATGTTCAACCTATTACATGGCTCAGGGCCAGTAGAACTGTGTTTATTGCTGCCCTAGGTACACCCTGCAGCTTAGTTCATGAGGGCTTATTCCAAAATAAAATACAAATCTGAACAACTCAGGGCCTCTGGAACAGAGACAAAGCCTATGCTTGGCAGCAGGGGAACCAAGAGCAGTTTCCAGAGCAGGTAAAACAGGGAGCCTTAGGAACCTCCAGAGCTCGACATATGCCAGTATAACAATATAGGAAGAGGAGAGGTGAGGTAGGGAAAAATCTCTCAAGGGTGAAATAGGGGAATGGGAATGATAAAATAACACGTGTAGCTGATGTATTAAAAAATACATTCCAGAGGAGAAAATAATAACAATGCTCCAACTCTTCTATTAAGTTTAGTATAACCCTGAAACCAGTATCAGACAAAGATGCACAAAACAAGGAAGCATATCCATCAAAACAATAACAACAAAGGATGCAAACAAAACTATAGGTCAATTCTTATGTGAATATAATTTTAAAATACTATATAATGTATTAATGAATAAAATCTATCAGTATTAAGAATACACGTCGGCCAAGTAGGATTTATCCCAGAGGCATGGATATTTCAAAATTAGTAAACTAGGAATATAATAAATCATATTAATGAACTGAAGGAGAAAAATTATGCAAACATCTCAATAGAAAAATATTGGGGAATATTTAGCATCCATTCCTAATAAAAATAAATATAAAACCTAATACTGTAACACTAATAACATTATCATTATATTCAGGATCAGTATCGGCTGTCACCACAATTACTCAACAGTTTGGGAGGTTCCAGCTTATGCCATAAAATAATAAAACACGTAAAAGGTAAAATTACAGCAAAAGAGAAGCAAATATATAATTTTTCAAAGAGCATATAATTGCTTAGCTGGAAATCCAATATAACCAAGTGAAGAACTATTGAAACTAATGAGACCAGTGGCTAAGAATAAGTATATAAAAATAAAGAATTCCTACAAATCACAAATCCAAAGATAAACAACACAACTAAAAATGGGGAAAAAAGGAGTGCTTGAAGCCAAGAATTCAAGACCAGTCTGGGCAACATAGAGAGATTCCCCCCTCTACAAAAGAATTTTAAGAAATCACCTGCCTGGGCAATGTAATGAGACCTCATCTTCATAAAAAATTTTAAAATTAGCTAAGGATTGTGGTGCATGACTGTAGTTCCAGCTACTCTGGAGGCTGAGATAGGAGGATCACTTAAGCCTGGGATGTGGAGGTTACAGCAAGCTGAGATTGTGCCACTGCACTTCAGCCTGGGTGACATGTGAGATCTAATCTCAAAAAACAAACACACAGAGCGAGAGAGAGAAAAGAAATGAGCAAAAAAACCCCACATAAATTTAATAAAAGAAGATACACAATATGGTGCTCATCATTAGTCATACAGAAAAGCCACAACGAAATGCCATCATCAGAATGGTTGAAATAAAAAAGATGACAACATCAAATGTTGGCAGAGATGTGAAGCAACTGGAACTCACATCACTGCTGGTAGGAATGTAATATAATAACAACCACTTTGAAAAGATATTTGTGTTTCTTACAAACATAGATATATCCTATGATCAAGGAATTCTACTCCTAGGTATTTACCCAAGAGAAATAGAAACATAAGTCCACACATAGACTTATACAAGAATCATCATAGCAGCTGTATTCATATTAGCAAGAAAACAAACAAAAAATTTGAAACAACCCAAATGTTAAAGAGCAAAGAAATGGATAAACAAATTCTGCTATATTCATACAGGGTAATATTATTTAACAACGAAAAAGGAACAAACTACTGATACACTCACAGCATAGATGAACATCAAAGGCATTACGCTGAACAAAAGAATCCTCCACACACATTAAAATATGAAGTGCAAGAAGAGGAAATCACAGTGATAGAAGTCAGAAAGTGGCTGTTTTGGGGGTACTGACTGGAACAGGGCATGAGAAAACTTTCTAGGGTGATGAAAATGCTCTATACCTTGTTTTAGATGGTGGCCTTGTTTTAGATGGTGGTTATATGTGTGAACGCAAATGTCAAAACTCATTAAACTGAGCACTTAAGATGTATGCATTTTATTAAATGTAAACTATACCTCAATATAAAGACAGCTTTTTTTCTATATATAAGAGATTTAAGAAATAAAAAAATCCCACTCTCAATGGCAGCAAAAATATAATGTACATAGAAAAAATCTTAAAAATTATGAATCTAGATTTTTAAAGTTTACAAAATTTTATTAGATGATTATTTTAAAAGAATAGAGTAAGTGGAGATAGTCTATGCTCCTGGAAGGAAACATTTCATGTTGTAAAGATGTTCATTCATATCAAAATTATATATAAGTAAATTCCAGAGCAAGACCACTATTTATTTTAAATATATTTTCTAATTGATTTAAAGGTTTATTTGCAAGATCAAATGAATGAAACAACCAATCTCTTTAACATTTATAAGAATAAGATGAGGAATTTATCTTACTGGATAGTAAAGTGTATTATTAAGCGGCTTTAATGATAATATCAGCCTACTGCTATCAGAAAAGTGAAGATCAATGGAAAAACACAAAGTACAAAAGTCTATCAAAGTATACAGTAAAATCTACTATGTTGGTACATAAGTATCTCAAAAATATGGAATACAAATGCACAGAAACTGGAAACATACTTAGATGTTACAAAGGGATTTCTATTCTCTAACAACTAAAAATTCTATTCAAACCCCAATCACATATGACTTTAGTAACATATTTTTTAACAATACATTCCCAACATTTCCTTTCATTCACAATAGATCCCATAGTCAACATGCTTATTGTAAGATAATGTCTGTTTGAGGACAACAGTGAATAGCTCTCAAATTCTAATTATCTCCATATTTATCCCAACTTGACAACATTTTTGAGGCTTATTCTTCATGGTTAATATCAGCACTTTTCAATATCCCACCTTCCTTGTGCATGTGTTTTCTTTTGAGTGAGCATAGGGTTGCTTTTATAAAACATTGGTTTGTTGAGACATAATTTATATCCCATAAAATCTACCTATTTTAGGTGTAAAATATCATAAATTTTAGTATGCTCACCGAATTTTCCAACCATCATCACAGTCTAATTTTGAAACATTACCATCACCTTAGAAAGGAACTTCATGCCCATTTACAGTCACTCTCTATTCCCATCCCTAGTCCTAACCACTAATCTACTTTAAATCCCTATACATTGCATACTCTGTTGTATCTGGCTTCAAAATAGGGGCAAAAGGAAACAGTCTTTAAAAAAATCTTATAAATGACACAAATCAGATGAAGACGAAAATACTGCTAGAAGTGACTTGTTTCAGCAATGCCACTATGAAATACTTTTCAAGAGCTTTATCAGCAGATGCATCACTTAACATTTGCAGAGACCTGGATGAGACTGGAGACTATCATTCTAAGTAAAGTAACTCAGGAATGGAAAGCCAAGCATCAGATGTTCTCACTGATATGTGGGAGCTAAGCTATGAGGACGTAAAGGCATAAGAATGATACAACGGACTTTGGGGACTTGGGGGGAAGAGTGGGAGTGGGGTGAGCGATAGAAGACTAAAAATATGGTGCCGTGTATACTGCATGTGTGATGAGTGCACCAAAATCTCACAAATCACCGTTAAACAACTTACTCATGTAACCAGATATCACCTGTACCCCAAAAACTTATGGAAAAATAAAATAAAGAAAATTTGAGAATAAAAAGAGAAAAAAAGAACTGCAAATTTTTAAAATTTATGTGTTGAATTTATGTGATGTCTTTGTGTGTGTGTGTGTGTGTGTGTGTGTGTTTGTGTGTGTGTGTGTGGTGTGTATGTAGAAATAAAGTTAACAAGTTAACAAGCCTATATATCCTTAAAAAAAAACCCATTATCCGGAGAACTGGCTAGCCATATGCAGAAAACAGAAACTGGATCACTTCCTTACACCTTACACAAAAATTAACTTAGATGGATTAAAGACAAATGTAAAACCCAAAACCATAAAAACCCCAGAAGAAAACGTAGACAATACCATTCGGGACATAGGCATGGGCAAAGACTTCATGACTAAAACACCAAAAGCAATTGTAACAAAAGCCAAAACTGACAAATGGAATATAATTAAACTAAAGAGCTTTTACACAGCCAAAGAAACTATCATCAGAGTGAATAGGCAACCTACAGAATGGGAGAAATTTTTTGCAATCTACCTATCTGACAAAGGTCTAATATCTAGAATCTACAAGGAACTTAAACAAATTTACAAGAAAAAAAAAACAAACAACACCATCAAAAAGTGGGCAAATAATACGAACAGACACTTCTCAAAAGAAGACATTTATGCTGCCAATAAATGTGGAAAAAAAGCTCATCATCATTAGAGAAATGCAAATTAAAACCACAGTGAGATACCATCTCACGCCAGTTAGAATGTTGGTTATTAAAAAGTCAGGAAACAACAGATGCTGGAGAGGATGTGGAGAAATAGGAATGCTTTTACACTGTTGATGGGAGTGTAAATTAGTTCAACCATTGTGGAAGACAGGGTGGCAATTCCTCAAGGTTTTAGAACCACAAATACCATTTGATCTTGCAATCCCATTACTGGATATATACCCAAAGGATTATAAATCACTCTACTAGAAAGACACATGCACACATATGTTTGTTGCAGCACTATTCACCATGGCAAAGACTTAGAACCACCCAAATGCCCATCAATGACAGACTGGATAAAAAAATGTGGCACATTTCTTTATATATAGACACATGCACACGTATGTTCATTGCAGCAATATTCACAATAGCAAAGACTTGGAACCAACCCAAATGCCCATCAATGATAGACTGAATAAAGAAAATGTGGCACATATACACCATGGAATACTACACAGCCATAAAAAAGATGAGTTCGTGTCCTTTGCAGGGACATGGGTGAAGCTGGAAGCCATCATTCTCAGAAAACTAACACAGGAACAGAAAACCAAACACTGCATGTTCTCACTCATAATTGGGAGTTGAACAATGAGAACACATGGACACAGGGAGGGGAATATCACACACCAGGGCCTGTCAGGGGATGGGGGCAAGGGGAGGGAGAGCATTAGGACAAATACCTAATGCATGTGGGGCTTAAAACCTAGATGATGGGTTGACAGATGCAGCAAACCACCACAGCACATGTATACCTAAGTAACAGACCTGCACATTCTGCACATGTATCCCAGAACTTAAAGTAAAACAACAACAACAACAAAACCCCATTATCCAAATGTCAGATCTGGCTATTAAAAAGCAGTTTAGTGATATATAAAGCTTAAATGTGCAGACTGACAAAAAACTAAAAATATGAGTATGGGTAATACACTAATATTGGTAGTTTAGGAAATGTTACTTTATTCAGATGGATTGAGATAACTTAGTATTTGGGAAAAATTAGTTAAAATCATTAGCTTATACTTTTACCAAATTAATTCCAAATGGATTCAAGTTTTAAAGCAGATATCACAATTTAGAGTGTGGCCTCTGGAGTCAGACTACCTAGGTTAGATTGCAGGGTCTGCCACTCTCTATGTGACTAAGTCACTTAAACATTTGTGTTTCAGTTTCTTCTTTTGTAAAATGAGTTATAACAGTATGTGCCTCATGGGGTTTTTGTGATGAATAAAGGAGATCATATACAAGGCTCTTAGAAGGGCCTGGCAAATGGTTAGTGTTAACTTAGGAAATGTTAGTTCTTAATGTTGTTGTTATTGTTAATATAGGCAGTTTTTATAAACTCAGGAATGAGGGTGTGGGTTGGAGGAGCATTCTAAGCCTAAATCCAAATGCAGAAATTCCAGTGGAAAAACATTTTGTATCTGAATAAACACAGCAATATCAAAAAGCAAACAAAACCTGACACCTTTAATTTCAAAGAGATCTTAAAAATTACTAAGAAAAAACATAAACCCCAATACAAAAATGAGTAAAAAAGAAGCAGGCAAGTCACAAAAGAAGAAAAGGAAATGGCTTAAATAAACTTACAAAAAGATGTTTAACTGCATTAATGTTATAATAAACACAAATCATGTCAAAATCACCATGCCATATTTCGTCTATTACATTAGCAAGCAATGAAATTATGATAACAGAAAAAAACCTTGGAGGTCTACACTAAATAACAGGATAACTATAACAACTAAAGCAAAAATGAAAGCAGCTATAAAGATGGTCTCCTGGAAGGCCGGGCGCGGTGGCTCACGCCTCTAATCCCAGCACTCTGGGAGGCCGAGGAGGGCGGATCACGAGGTCAGGAGATCGAGACCACGGTGAAACCCCGTCTCTACTAAAAATACCAAAAAAAAAAAAAAAAATTAGCCGGGCGTAGTGGCGGGCGCCTGTAGTTCCAGCTACTCGGGAGGCTGAGGCAGGAGAATGGCGTGAACCCGGGAGGCGGAGCTTGCAGTGAGCCGAGATTGCGCCACTGCACTCCAGCCTGGGTGACAGAGCGAGGCTCCGTCTCGAAAAAAAAAAAAAAAAAAAAAAAAAAGATGGTCTCCTGGAAAGAAGGGTAATGATAAGAGGGCATTTGCTGTCTTCTTTATACCTTCGTATACACCAGAGCATGGAATATCCACGAGAATCAGGTATAATATCTATAAGTCATAAGTTTACTATGTGTATATTTATTCACAAAAATTTATAATATATTAAAGCTAATTCAATAATAATAATAAATGTTTATGAGGGAGAATTGAATCTGGCACTTGAACACAATTTGTGGAACTATACAATAGTAAACCTAGACCAGTTGTATCAATATATGATCAGAAGCTATAAAATATATATAACATTTGGCCCCAAATTTCTATTTCTAGGACTTGAGGAAATAATTGGACAATGTAAAAAATATATATATGTGGATTTATATCACAGCATAAAGCCAAAAACTGTAGCAACTCAATTATTAATCACCAGAGGATTGGTTAAAATATGTAATAGTAATAAACATGAAATGGAATAATAATAACCAGGAGGATTATGAGTTAAAATGAAGATGTGGATGTCTATTAATTAATGTGGATGTCTATTAATTAATATGGATGTCTATAATAGATGTGGATGTCCATTAATTAGTGTGGATGTCTATTAATTAACTCTATTAAGAGTTTTATTAAGAGAAAAACATCAGATTACAAAGAAGTATGCATAGAGTGACCTCAGGTTTATCGAAAATAAGTGTGCATAGTTATGTTTATGTCTAAGTATTGAAAAAAATCCTCAAGTACATACACCAACATATTAGCAGATTGTTAGATTAAGACTGCATAGGTAGAAAGGGGCCAGGACCTGGGAATTCGGGAGGTTAGAATAATAGTCTGTATGAGAGAGTGATCCATTTGCAGAAGAAGGCCCAAAACCCAGGTATGTCAGAGCTTAGAGAAATTGCTAGCCATAGAGAGACCAAGATGAGGTGTCAACATGTCCTCATGACTGAGCAGCAACGAATCATGGGAGCCAGGATTGGAGAGTCATGTGGTCAGATGGGAGCACCTGGAGGACAGCTGGGCCACAGTCACATTTCAGTACCTTGAAGGGTAAGTAACCAAAGCAAGTAGGACTTTCTTCAAGGGCAATTACAAGGCTATAGGGTACATCAGCAGAACAGGGGTCAGAGATCAGTATCAGTGTCCCAAATTAGAGGCCCAAGGGCCACCAGTGTGGCATAGTACTGACCTTACAGATTGTGGCTAGAGCAGGATTGGAAGGGAGAAGCCTGATACATTTCAACAGTAAATACGACCCGATCCTGCTCACATATTTCACAATTTTAAGTCATTTTTGGTAACTAAAACAATAACTACAGCAACTAGAAAAAGCAAAATTAAAACAGGTATGAAATCCCCTGAAAATGCCAGTAAAGAGAAAGTAATGAGAACCAGAGGCCAGTGAAAACTGTTGGTGAAAATACTCTGAGAAGAAAGTTTAATTCGCTAATTCATTCATTTATTTTTTTAAAAATTGTCACCTATACAATGTCAGGCATGGCAGGAGGTGTTAGGCTTCGTGGTGAGCAAAGACAAACGAAACAGTCCCCTGACCTTGCAGAATTCCAATTCAGTTTGCTCAGAAGTCCATATAAAATACCAACTACAGTTAAAGAAACAAAATGCACACGATATCAGAACCTGATGTACTCTAAAGTCTTAAAAATAGTTTAGACTCATAAAGACAGAAAAGAAGAAATTTAAGGTTTTCTTCCTTTCGGCTGAGAAAATACCAAAAAATTGCTCTCCTCTATAAATTGGGAGGGGAATACATCTTTTATTCCATCTTGGATTTTTTTAGACTGAAGCATTTATTTTCCCAACGAATCATTTGTTCCCATTTCCCCACCCCATCTTGAGGATTTCTTAGTAATTTCATCGCTTTTTTTTTTCCACAATCATGAAGACAAAAATGCTTACACTCCATTATCAGAGCCTTTCATTTCATAAGCCTTGCAGTCAATGGAGCGTTTCACTGTGCAAGGAAGTGAAGGCAGAATATGTGCGGGGTGGGCCTGGGAGGAGGGGTCTGGATGCCTGAAAATCACACTCACTCAGACACATCAGGGCACAAATTGAGACCCCT
Source organism: Homo sapiens (assembly GCF_000001405.40). Lineage (NCBI taxonomy): Eukaryota > Metazoa > Chordata > Mammalia > Primates > Hominidae > Homo > Homo sapiens. The sequence goes on along the minus strand of NC_000011.10, from coordinate 7,364,988 downwards.
AGCAATCCATAAAACCTGTCTGGGAGGCAAGTCTTAACTGTCTGAACAAAGGTTCAGTTTAGGACAGATTCTTTTTTCTTTCCTTTTTCCCTCTAGCATTTGCTCCCTCATCCATCTGTCACAGCTGCAGAGCTCCCCAGCCATGAAGGAATCTGACCCCAAATTCTATTTTAGTCCTAGTGATGCTTTGCATTTATCAGAAATAAATGCAACCATTGAAGACAACTAATTCTGCTCAGGCAGGTTAGAGTTTTCAACTGGGTCACAAAACGATCTTAAATATCCACATGAACTGTAATAAGGCCAATGAAGAGACAGCAGAGAATTTCCAACTAGCCAGTGAAAAACTGGAGGAGATAATTTGTCTTTGTCATACTCTTTTAATTTTTCAAATTAGTGTCAGTTTTAAAGTCAAACAAATCTGGGGTTCAGTCCCAGCTCTGCCATCTGCATGGCATACACCCCAGCCATATGAGTTTGGGTAAGTTATTTAACATTTGTTTCTTTATCTATAGAATGAAAATAATCACATTATTGGATTTTTTGGTGGGCATTAGAAATATGTCCCTAACACTAGAAATTTAACAAAATGTAGCTATGTATTGATTGACCAGGCCTACTATTTCTTCTTAAAGCTCTGACCTTTATTCATCATCAGAAAATGACTTTGCTTCTGACTTCATGTAGAAAACAAAAATCATTAGACAGAAACTGCCTTAACTCGCTGCCAACATCACTACAAAGAGGTTTGCATCTTTATCCTTCTTCCAATGTTGGGAGATTCTTTTTTGCATCTTTATGCCTCTTTCAATGTTGCTTCTCATCCTATCAAGTAGGATGAATACCCCACCCCACTAAGCTTTCTCAGAAACTCAGTGGATTATCTTTGCTGTCCTCATTCTTCAGTCTTTTCTTTCCCACTGAATTCTCTGTATTAATATTTAAACATATACTCTATATTTTTAAATAAACCTCTTCCTTGAAAGCATGGCCCTCTCCCAGCTACTGCTTGTCATTTTCTTAGCTTATCTGGCCAAATTTCTCTAAAAGCCTATTTAAAAGAAATAACTCTAATTCCATATCTTTGACTTGTTCCTCAGCTCACTTCTATCTGGGACAGGCACCAAGGGCTCTACCTAAATTGCTGTCACCAATGTGCCCCTATGTTGCTGAACAGACACCTCTCCATTCTCATCTTCTCAGTGGTATCTGTTATAAATGATCACTCCCTCCTTGTGAAAACACTCATTACTCCTGGATTCCATGATGTTAGATTCTCTTGCCTCTCCTTTTTGACTTTATCTTTTCAATTTCCTTTGCGGAAGCTTCTACTTCATTGGACCTTTAAATGTAAGAAGTTTTCAGGGCTTGGGACCAGGCACTGCTTTCTCTTCACCCATCTAAAAGGATCCTTTCCCAAGCCTTCAATATGTTCAATGTAAAGATTTATCTTTAAGTTTCAAGCCCATTTATCTAACAGCCTATACCAGCGTCACTCCTTGGATAGTGTACAGACACCTTACATTCACTATGCACAAAACTGAATTCATGATGTTCCACTCTAAATATGTTTCATTTCTGGTATTCTACATTTCGGTACTAGTATTGCCATTTACCTAGATGCTAATGTCAGAAAGCTGAGCACATCATTTTCCTTTCATGAGGTCTTGGTGTTAAAAGTACTCAATTTAATTGGACAATGTGGGTAAGTTGAGGAAAATGTAGGCTAGTTGTTTTCCCACTAACTTCTCTAGCTAGTCCAGTGAAGTCATTCTGTAGTAGCAGCAAGAGTAGATTCCAGGACACCAATAAGAAAGTTATGAAAAAAAAATTAGCAGAGAAATGATAGTATCTTGGGCCCAGATAGTACTAGTGGAGATTCAAGGTAAATGTGCAAAATGAGATTTACAGACACTGGTGACTCATGGAATGTTTGAGAAGAGCAAAAGAAAGGTATAATGGAGCTGTCCCAAGTTCCTGACATAACTGATGAAAGAAAGACACGATGGCCAAAAAAAAAAAAAAAAAAAAAAAAAAAAGGCCAATAAATGGCAAGAAGAAAGATAAAAGAGACAAAAATTTAACATATTAACTAGAAAGCAAAAAATCATAAAATGGGAGAAATAAATCCATATATATCAGTCATGGCGATATATGTAAATGGTTACATCTTCAATTAAAAGATGAAACTGATTGGATTTTAAAATCTAGTTCTATGTTATTTACAACAGACACTTCTAAGATATAACACATTAATGTTGAAAGCAATGAAATATATATATATGCGATAAGTACTAACCAAAAGTTCATATAATGTTGGAAAGCATGGTCTTCAAGGTGAAAAACATTATTCAGGTTAAAGCAACTATGGCATACCCTACCAATTTTTCAGCCTAACATTCTTCAATTTCCCTTCTTCCTGACTAATGGAATTTCAATTGGGTTTGGGGCACCCATGGGCCCAGTTAAAAATATTCATTTTTCTAGACTCTTTTGCATCAAGGATGATCAGTGACCATTTCTGGACACAAATATATAGGTGGAAAACTACTGGGGCTGGTCACGGTGGTTCAGGCCTGCAATCCCAGCCCTTTGGGAGGCCAATGCAGAAGGATCACTTGAGGCCAGGAGTTTGAGATCAGTCTGGCCAACATTGTGAAACCTAAAAATACAAAAATTAGCCAGGCATGGTGGTGCAGGCCTGTAGCCCCAGCTTCTCAGGAGGCTGAGGCAGGAGAATCACTTGAACCCAGGAGGTGGAGGTTGCAGTAAGCCGAGATCACACCACCGCACTCCAGCCTGGGTGACAGAGGGAGACTCCATCTCAAAAAAAAATAAAAAAAAAATAAAATAAAATAAAAAAGAAAGAAAGAAAGAAAAAGAAAAAAAGAGAAGAAAAGAAAACTACTGGATGGTACTTTGGGGAAAGCTATTATTTTCCTGATGTAATTATTTCCTGATAGTTTTAGCTAGCATAGGGCTTTTGCCCTTCAACCTTCTACCACCTTCTTATGTGTAATGCCAAGTTGATACTGGAGGAAGAGGAGCTTTTCAGTGACCATAAATTTGAAAATGAAATTGCAAGAGTGGTGGAATAGGAAATTAGAAGGATATGAGTCTTTGAAAACTAACTTGAAGAGCATGACCAGTCCTGAGCTACTACTAAATTTCTTATTTCTTGAGAAAAATGTAATTCTTTTACTAAGCCACTCTAGTTGATTTTCCACAACATGCAGCTGATCTCATTTCCAGCCAACATAATAATATAAGGAACAATTTGCCAGGAAGATATAATGACCCTGAACCAGCATATATTTGCCAGAAAGAGCAATCAACAAATTCACAATCATAGAGGGAAAGTAAAACACACTTCTGTAAATGATAACCCAAGCAGACAAAATATATAATAATATCGATTATTTGAACAACACAATTAACAAAAGGGTTTGATCTAGGGAACACATATGGAACCATGAATTCAACAACAGGAGAGAATAATTTTTTTAAGGAATCATGGAATAGTTATAAAAGTTGACTATATACAAGGCTACAAAGTAAGTCTCTGTTAATCCAAATAACTGGTATTCTTCAGACAATGTTCTACGACCAAAATTCACTATAAGTCAAAGACAAAATGTCAAACAAGTCCACAGATTTGGAAGTTCAAAAACACACTTTTAAATAACAGTTAAAACAGTGATTATTATGAGAATTAGAAGCTACTCAGAACTGATGACCCACAAGATGCAATGAAAGACCACATCAAAAAGTTGGAAAAAAGACAAACTGCAACAAAAAGCAAAAGTCAAAACAAAATAGAAGTAAGGGAGGAAATAGAAAAAATAAAGAAAAAATATAATACCAAAAGCTGATTTTAAAATTAGTTATTTCCTTGATAAAAAGAATCAAGAAAAAAGAGATAAAAAATGTTAGAAATGAAAAGCCATAACTATGTGTATTTTAGGAACTTTTAGAAATGTTAGAGAATACTATGACCAACTTTATGCCAAGAAATTTGAAAACTTAATGAAATGGAAAATTGACTAGAAAAAAACCAGTTACCAACGTCAGAATCAAGAATAGATAACTTGAAAAAATTATAACTATTAGATCAATCAAATCAGTTATTTAAAACCCACCTCAAAAAGCCCTCTAAGATAATCTTCAAGGAGACAATATCTTATACAAATTTTCCAGAGGAAAGATTTTAAAAAGGAATTTTTCCAATTCATTTTATGAAGCTAGTGTAACTTTGATATCATAACAACATGAACAGTAGGAGAGAGGAAAATTATAGGCCAATTGCCTTTATGAATAAAGCTATAAAAATCTGAAGAAATGAGAGCCAAATCATGAGTGAACTCCCATTCACAATTGCTTCAAAGAGAATAAAATACCTAGGAATCCACCTTACAAGGGACGTGAAGGACCTCTTCAAGGAGAACTACAAACCACTGCTCAATGAAATTAAAGAGGATACAAACAAATGGAAGAACATTCCATGCTCATGAGTAGGAAGAATCAATATCGTGAAAATGGCCATACTGCCCAAGGTAATTTATACATTCAATGCCATCCCCATCAAGCTACCAATGACTTTCTTCCCAGAATTGGAAAAAACTACTTTAAAGTTCTTATGGAACCAAAAAAGAGCCCGCAATGCCAAGTCAATCCTAAGCCAAAAGAACAAAGCTGGAGGCATCACACTACCTGACTTCAAACTATACTACAAGTCTACAGTAACCAAAACAGCATGGTACTGGTACCAAAACAGAGACATAGATCAATGGAGCAGAACAGAGCCCTCAGAAATAACGCCACATACCTACAACTATCTGATCTTTGACAAACCTGACAAAAACAAGCAATGGGGAAAGGATTCCCTATTTAATAAATGGTGCTGGGAAAACTGGCTAGCCATATGTAAAAAGCTGAAACTGGATCCCTTCCTTACACCTTATACAAAAATCAATTCAAGATGGATTAAAGACTTACATGTTAGACCTAAAACCATAAAAACCCTAGAAGAAAACCTAGGCATTACCATTCAGGACATAGGCATGGGCAAGGACTTCATGTCTAAAACACCAAAAGCAATGGTAACAAAAGCCAAAATTGACAAATCAGATCTAATTAAACTAAAGAGCTTCTGCACAGCAAAAGAAACTACCATCAGAGTGAACAGGCAACCTACAAAATGGGAGAAAATTTTCGCAACCTACTCATCTGACAAAGGGCTAATATCCAGAATCTACAATGAACTCAAACAAATTTACAAGAAAAAAACAAACAACCCCATCCAAAAGTGGGTGAAGGACGTGAACAGACACTTCTCAAAAGAAGACATTTATGCAGCCAAAAAACACATGAAAAAATGCTCACCATCACTGGCCATCAGAGAAATGCAAATCAAAACCACTATGAGATACCATCTCACACCAGTTAGAATGGCAATCATTAAAAAGTCAGGAAACAACAGGTGCTGGAGAGGATGTGGAGAAATAGGAACACTTTTACACTGTTGGTGGGACTGTAAACTAGTTCAACCATTGTGGAAGTCAGTGTGGCGATTCCTCAGGGATCTAGAACTAGAAATACCATTTGACCCAGCCATCCCATTACTGGGTATATACCCAAATGACTATAAATCATGCTGCTATAAAGACACATGCACACGTATGTTTATTGCGGCACTATTCACAATAGCAAAGACTTGGAACCAACCCAAATGTCCAACAATGATAGACTGGATTAAGAAAATGTGGCACATATACACCATGGAATACTATGCAGCCATAAAAAATGATGAGTTCATGTCCTTTGTAGGGACATGGATGAAATTGGAAATCATCATTCTCAGTAAACTATCGCAAGAACAAAAAACCAAACACTGCATATTCTCACTCATAGGTGGGAATTGAACAATGAGAACATATGGACACAGGAAGGGGAACATCACACTCTGGGGACTGTTGTGGGGTGAGGGGAGGGGGGAGGAATAGCATTGGGAGATATACCTAATGCTAGATGACAAGTTAGTGGGTGCAGCGCACCAGCATAGCACATGTATACATATGTAATTAACCTGCACATTGTGCACATGTACCCTAAAACTCAAAGTATAATAAAAAAAAATCTGAAGAAATTAGAAGCAGGGAAAATGAAGCAATATATGGAAAAAAATAATAAATCATGACAAAGTAGGGTTTATTACCAGCATTCAAGGATGACTTAACATTAGACAATCTAATAATGTATTCCACCACATAGCATGATGGAAATGGAAAATGTAAAACAATATTATCTTCTCATTAGGTTTTCTAAAAACATGAAAATTTAACACTCATTCATGAGAAATATATTTTGCAAGCTATGAATCTTTAATCTGATAAAATATGTCCATCAAACATTCACCAAAGACATCATTCTTAATGATGAAACACTAGAACCATCCCTTTAAGAACAAGACAAGAATACTTGCTTGCCCCATTTCTGTAGAATATTGTACAGGAGGACCTAACAGTGCCCTACTTAAGAAAAATAATAATCAGCTGGAAGATTAAAAAGGAAGAAAAATTGTGTTACGTTGAAAATGACAATCGTTATGAGAATCTGCAAACTAATTTAATAACCAAATATAAAAATTTCCTGGATATAAAATCAATTTTCAAAAACCAATAGCATTTTTATTCACCAGCCAAAAAAACCATAACTTTAAAAGAAGACAATGTCTATGCTAGCATCTAAAACTATATTGTACTGATAAATAAATCTAAAAAAACTTATGATTTTAAGAAGACCATTATTATGACCCCTCTATAAAACAGTATTCGTCGTTCTTTAACCCTTTCTATACCATTTTCGTCTTCGCAGTACTCATCACCTCTTAACATGTATATTTTTTGTAATTATTTGTTTCTCCCACTTTTATACTTTTTTAGAGTATAAAGTCCTAAAAGCCAGTGTTTTTTCTGCTTTTATTCTCCGCTGCTTAACAGTTTCTAGAATAATTTCTGGCACATATTATGGCTCAATAAATATTTTTGAATGACTTAATGAGCACTTAAATCAATGGAGAAATAAATTATGTCTATAGATAAAGTCAATATTATAAAGATGTAAATTCTAGTCGAATTAATATATAAATGCAATGCAGTTTTTAAAATAAAAATGGTTACATTGGTTTTCATAGAGCTGGATAACCTGATTCTAAAATTCTAAGGGAATAATGAAGGGCTAAGAATAATCAATCCATGTAAGAGGGAGGAGAGGAAAGTTGAGTAGGAAATTTGTGCTGGGAGTTGAGTGAGAGGTGATTCATGGTAGCAGGTTCAACAATTACTAATATAATTAGTATTATATTGATGCAATTGATGGAATATAAACTGATGGAACAAAAAAGAATGCCCAGAGAAAAACAAATGCATATATGGAAGCTTACTTCACACTGCTTTGCTATCTTTAGGATTCTCTCAGAGAAGCTGGGGCCCAATTACTATCGGTTCATCTGCATTACCATCTTTGAGGAGACATTTAGTAATACCCACACTGGTTTTGAAGACCAGTGTAAAATTAATATTATTTTTGTCTTATGCTTTATTTGTATTATATTTTTCCAAACACCAGATATTGGCTCTCTTTTGCTATTCTATCAAGGTAAGATGATATTAACATAGTCCTTGACAATTTCCCAAGACACTGTCTTTTTTACATAATAGGTAAAGGGTTATTTTTTAGATGCAAATAGGATCATATCACTTTCCTCCTAAAAATCCTTCGGTAGGTTTCCATGGTGGTTTAGGGGAAAAAAATCTCAAATACTTAACATGGCTTGATTTTTCATCACGAAATTCTCTTTGAACAACTTCTCTTTGATCCTCTTCTTCTGGTACTTTCTATTCACACCTTAGCCTCACCATAAATGCTAGTTCTTTGGGAAAACTTTCCCTGACTCTTCATACCAGATTTTACCCCTTTGGTTCAGGTTCCTTGAGTATCTTGTATTTTTTCTTGCATTACTTCTCACTATTTTAATTAAATAACAATCTGTGTAATCATTTGCTTACGGTCCACCATTCTCCTAGCTGAAACACCATGAAGGTAGGGAACCTGGAACATAGCAGTGCAGTGCCTGGCACACAGTAACAGTTTAGTGTAGAATTGTAGAATGCATAAATTTGCATGTTTAATGTTACAATATGACTAGAAAAAAGTGAAATAAAAAATAACTATATTCCAAATAATAGAACCTGTAAGTGAAGCTTCTATTACTGATGATCAAAATTACTTTTAATTGCATCTACTGTAAAATGTGACAGTTGTCTCCAAAGGACTCATAAGGTTCAAAAAGTGGCTTTTGTTACTATCTCCAATGTTCTCAAGTCAGATGTTTAAGTTATTAAATCACAAAAGGAAAGGAGCATCAGTGGAGTACAGAAAAGTAATGTGCAGCAGGGTGTCTTCTCCTCCTTCTTCCCTCCCTGGAGGGCTCGCACTGCAGGGAGTCAAAGGAAGGTTGGGAGGAAGAAAACAGAACCAGCAGAAGGGGCAAAGCCCCCAAGCCAGGCACAGGTTGCTAAGGCTACAGCCTTGATGTTAATTGCTCATAATTTAGAACACTGAAATACAGGAGTAGTCATTTCACCCAAGGGACAATGTGGATGCTGAATGTCCGCATTTCAAAGAAGGTATTGAAATTAAATTTTGAGAACTAGTAAAACGACTCAAGTTTGAAAGCACAAATGGTAGACTCATCAGTCTTTCCAATTAGCTTCTTGGAACTGCTTCTTCCATCCTTTGATGGGATCATCACCGTTTTTTGACTGTAACTACAGTGACCAATCTCAGCTCCTGGACAGGCTCAAATACATTATCAGTTGTATCATCCTAGACCTGAAACAGATCATGAGCAGAAAAGAAACTATCATCCCTTTGGAATGATTTAGGATTGATTCCCAAATGAAAGCAAAGGAAAATGCTTGAGTGTGACCAATTAGATTCATATAGGAAACATCTCATGAGCTCCAACTTTGTGCAAGGCCCTGGGCCAGGCTCACTGTGGTAGACACAAGACAATCAGGAAGGGACTGGGCCACCAATGAGCTCCTGGTATATTTGGGAGCAAAGACACAGCATGAGAAATGCAAGCAGTACAACTGTGGATCAGTTATTAGAATCGTGGACCTCCAATTCCAGCTCCAGGTGACATTGAACAAGTTCCACTTAACCTTGATAAGACTTCCTTTCTGTCTATATATCATTTGACCAGATGATCTCTAAGGTGAGTTCCATCAATCCCACTGCCAATCCTTCTCTTTCACTTCGCAATAGCATATAAGTGATGTCTCAAGGACAGTAGCTGAGTATTTGTTTAACTGTCTACTCAATGGATCAGACAATAACTGCAGTAGAAGCTTATGGAAGAAGGTGGGGTAACCTGCATCACATACATGCTTTTGTTCCTTCTAGCTGAGGAAGGCAGGAAAGGATTTAAGGAGAAGGTGAGATTTGAGTTGAGGCCAGAAAGATCAACAGAAGAGATACTAGGAGAAGAGTGTTAAGGTAATTCCAACAGCATTTCCCTAATATTTTGTGTTGTGGTAAACACAGGAAGCCACATCTGGTGCACACTGGGGTAACCCCACCAGGTGAGAAGGTAAGGCTAGGGGGTAAAGAGAGCCCACCTGGCCTCCCACAAAGCTGAGGGGAAATTTGTATCTCAGCATACCTGTAGGTCATTAGTGGCACACCTGTGTCCTGCAGCTGGCACTTGTGCCTGCTGGGAAACTCCCATCTAGGAGTCCGATAGCAGGAAAGAGCATTCTGCCTTTTTCAGATTTCTGGTGGAGTCAGGTGTAGAAGTGTGTGAGAAGAGTTGCAGGGAGAAAACCTATGGAAACGTACTTTTATCTTGGTTGTCGACCTTGAAGAAATAATAATTAATGTGTATCGAAAATCCCTTCTCTATTACAGGTACTAGTCCAAGCCATAATTCATTTTTTTTAACAACTTCATAGGTAAATTCAGGTGTTAATATCTTTAGGAGAAACTGAGGCATAGGGAGAAATGGTACCATAGCATCTGTGGAGGGGTAGCCTGGGAGAGTATTCCTGAGAGGCAATGCCATCACTGTGTGAAAGGCAATATCACTGTGCTTGGGAAGGTGATAGTGCCAAGTTAGATGACAGATATATTTCAACTGCCCCTGCACTCCAAAAGCTGACACTTCCAGCCTAAGAACAAACTGTAAAGCATCAAGTTGGGCCCAGTACATAAGAAGCTTCTTGCAATGAAGTAGCAGTGCATTATGCTGTAGAAAGAACAGAGAAGCACACAATCAGCAGACAGCATGGGAAAGTAGAACCTGGAATTACTCAATCTACTTAGGAGCTTTTCAGAACTGAGGAGGGGTCACATGTCAGATTAAAGGAAGGAAGTCCAAGCCTCAGGGCCTGGGTTTCAACAGGAAAAGCCCTGGTGCAGCATCCCTCAGTGTATGTTCCCTACCTCAGGCCTGTTTGTGAGGCAAGCGAGGGTAGGTGACAAGACTAGAGAAAAAAACAGATGTTGGTTCTGCCAGGATTTGGACCATCACATTCACCATGGCCTAAGCCCACTCAGAATTGTCTATAGATAAGTTTCATACTTTATCATAAGACTGATGGTGAGCCAATGAAGTGCTCTAAGCAAGTGAGTGATGTGATTTTTATGTGGATCACTATGGCTGGAGTATAGGTGATGGACCAGAAAGGAGACAAGGGGGTAGCTTAGATCAGTTGTGTCCAAAGAGGATTCATATGCCCCAGAGGTGTGCAATGTGGTGCTCTGAAGTTTGTTATTTTAAAAATAAAATAAAGTCTACTCAAAGTGAACATAAAGATGGACACAGGTACCCTCTTTTAATTCCAATCAAATCATTATTTGAAATGTAATTTAAATTTCAATCATTACTATTAATGATTCACCATATTTGGTTCATATTGTTACTTCAGATATTTGCTAATTGTAGTATAAAGCCATTACAATCAAGATAGTTCAAAGACAATATTTCAAATATACAATATTTCATCTTTATCTTAGTAAAATTTTGTGTATGTTTTTAATGTGTTCATGAAAACTAGTCAAATAATACATGAATATAATTGATAAACAAGAAAATATACATATACTGGCAGTCAGTGCATGCTCAAAATTTTTTATGAATAGAAGTGCAGTGAATCAGTCCGGACCCATTCAGGAGAGAAACCATCCAGTAATTCAAACAGGGAAAGCTTAATATAAATAAATACTATAACAGAGGATCGAACTAATGAAGGATTGGCTAGCAAGAAGTACAATGAACTCTAAAAACTATAGGATTAGCAGATATGAGGAGCAGAGCACTCAAGGAAGAGATCCTCCCTGCCCTCAAGGCTGAAACACAGACCTTGTTGGAGAGGGCACAGCCATCACTCACTGAATGGCAGAGAAGTCAATGTGGTACTGCACCAGTAGAACTTACCGGAAATCTGCCATCTAGGTGCTAGGAAAAGCTGTTCATGGGAAGGTGTCTCGCCAAGGGGGTTCCTGGGGAAGCTGCTGCCCACTGGGTGCTGCTGATTGCTATATGCTGCAGGGGCTGAGTGCCGGAGAGGCCATGGGTGTTGTGGAGCCTTGCACTGAAGCTGCTGCCCATATTGCAGGAAAGTGGTTCCTGGGGGCTGGAGGAAGTGTGCCTCCCTGCAGAAGCCTCAGGGGAGGACACCAGAGCTAGGAAGAAAAAAACCCCGTTCCTCTTGCAATGCCTCTCCTGTGCCCTCTGCTGACAGAGCTTAACATTGTTCTGGGTGGTAAAAGGAAATATATTTAAAGGTCCCAACTTGACTTTTCCAGAGCAGAAAATGAAGGGTGAATTTGAAGCTGAAAGAAAATAACTTTGTAACTGGCACATGCACATCAAAAAATTGGGGGGCACATACCCCATATATGTATATTTACTTACTTACAAGTTTTATACGTGTATAGAATTCTAACATTATGTGTGTAATAAACATACAAAAGAGAAATAACAAAGATGAGAAAATATAAATAGAAGTCCTACTATTTTATTCTTGCACCCTAGTGTATGTCATCTCACACCCCACTTTTAAGATCACTGCACGCAGTCAAGACCTTCAGGGACCAGTACCAAATGGCTTACTCTTTGATGCCTTTCTCGTCTTCCTAGCTCACAGTAATCTCTGTGTATTTCACATGTTTGTATGCATCCTGCTCTGTGTTGCTACTTCAGCTTTTCATAGGTGTGTCTCATCTTCCATAACAAGTGCAGGGGAGCACATGTCATATTATTTTGTACTATTCTTCACGGGGCTAGGCATAAATTACACAGTCATCAGAGACCTGTTAGTTCACTGAGTATTCTTAAATAACATCAATATTTACCTTAACGCTTCACTTCTGTTATTCAGATCATAACCATCGAGAAGCATCATATATTTCTGAACTTTAAACTGTAGATCTAGGTCTTATTGTCATCCAGGGATAGTAGGCAAGTGAGTAATAAAGTGCATTCGTTGATTTCAGTATTGAATATCTGCTGCACAACTTTCTGACTAGTCTACATAAACCCTCTGTCAAGCCCAGTGTAGATATTGGGGACAGGTGTGCAAACCCAGCGGCTTTGCTGGAGAGACATTTATCTCCTCTCCATCTCTGATGTGCCTAGACATCAACTGAATACAAACTCCTGAGATTCTAACCTAATATGAGTTTATGCTTCTTCAAGAAGGAAAACGCCTACTTTCTTAAAATTCATTTATGTCAGAAGTCAGTCTGAGGCAGATTGAGCTACACTGGGTAAATTCTCACAGCACTTCACAAACACATATATTTCCCAAGCCCCTCAGGGATGTTCAGTTATCTGCTGAGCTAGTTGGGATTTGACTAAATAGCCACACAATTGCTCACCATCTGGGCCATCCTCAGACCTAGACCTGCAAAGAAAAGGAAGGTCTGTTGGTCCCTCTGTGCCCTCCCACTCCCATCCTGTTCCCACCACTCCTGTAGAGTTTTTTTTCCTGGAAAACACATTTGCAAGCCAATCACCACCAGCTCACCCATACAACAGACTCTGAAATAGAGTGGTTGGTTACTCATTAATTTTTCCTTCCTTTCTCCTTACTCTCAGGCCTGAGTGTCACACTCCTGGTGATGTCTGTAAAATAGAATCTTCCCAGCCCTGGGGATTCAAATACCAGCATATCTTTCAAGTAAACTCACAATTTGAGGATATTTTGCTTGCTAGAGAAGCAAAATGTTGACAAAACATGGCTTAGTCTCATCTCAAGTTTCTACTTCCATCTTCAGAATCGATGAGGATGCTGGAAAGTGCATCATTAATCCCATTGCATCATCTTATTGAAGATGCTGGTGTGGTGTTTACAAAAGGAGATGCTTTCTTTCCCCATAAAATCAATGATGACAGGGTAAGGCTCTGGGCAGGGAATGAGCAGTCTGGAGCTCCAGTCCGACATACAGCTCCCACACAAGGAGTCCGTAACTCAGCGGCTGCTCTCAAAAGTGGGCCAGCACTGCCACTGCATCCTACATTAGGTGGCTGCCATCGGACAGGCTGCCCAAAGCCTCAGGGCCCTCTTGCACTGACTGTGGGAGCTTGACCCTGGCTAGCCACATCCCTGGTCAATTAGCATGAATGACAGATGCTTAAAAATATAACCACTGCCCCAAACGACATTCAGATAATACTCTTCTTATATAAAGACCGAGGGAATTACTGGGCTTTCAGTTTCTTTCCCCACCAAAGTTCATGATACTTAACCATTAAGAAACAGGCAATATATACCACTTCATCTTTTTCAAGGAGGTTAAAAAAATCATTAAAGATAATTTTTTAAAACCCTAGTTATTTATGTAGGACCAGGACTTTATTAGCTGGCCGCTTTGATCTTGACTTTTTTTAAGACAAAATCATGACATCATTTAAAAAATCACTGGTTTTGTTACCCTGATACTTACTTCACGCCTAATCTCACTCCATAAGTGACCATCCCTCACACATAGGTTGAGAGTGAGCAATGGGATCAGGGTCAAGAATCCACTATAAATAATTGTTTTACACATTTAGAAATGTTTTTAAAGCTAAACATTTATCTGTTTGCTTTTAGATAGTGTCAAAATGCAAGTAGCATTTATTTTCTCTCTCTTTCTACATCACGTCTTCTGGAAAAATCATGCTCTCAGGTTGAAAGTTGGTGGTGGTGGCAATAGCAATGCCAGTCACCAAAGAAGGAGCTGTGGCAGTGGGCATTGAGAGGAGAAGAGATTGGACCTGAAAGAAAAGAGAATGAGCTCTAACATAAGCCTTGAGATATGGAAGATGAAGGAAAGTGAGCCCAGGCCCCAGGGCTGCATTTTGAGGTGTGTATCTATGAGGCAGAAGTAGGCTGAGACATAGGAAAGAGGGGATAAAAACTTGTGGCCTGCAGGACAGATCAATGCACGTAGGCAGCTCAGGTAGGAGGTGACTTTGGCCATTCTTCAAACTGATGTTATTTAAATATCTGTTCAGTGTTTATGAGAAGTTGGCTGCTCTGATGGGTAGACAAAGAGGGTTGTTGGAGACAGTGCTAGTCTTTCCTTTACCACCCAAATAGCTCAAGCCTGAAGCCTGCATTTGCCTGGACCTACACCTTCAGAAGACATATTAGTGAGCATCTACTGCAACTTGAGCTATTTGGGAATGTCATCACTTCTTCAGGTATTATTTCCAACCATATGTAATGTTCTTCTAGAAAGTTATACAGATTAATAGGTTCCTCCACCTCAATGTTTTAGTACCCTTTATTGATTAGTTCTCTGGAAATCTGTCCGGCCAGCCTGATCCTTATTCAGCCTCTGATGTATCATCTATTCAGCAAAAACTATATTGACCCATGAGGCATCCTCGGTGGGTCCCCCCCTGGCATGAGTGACTCACAGGGTGGAGTGTGATGAAAGCAGCAGAATGCCAGTGTCTCTGAAGTGTACTGGATTCAAATCATGATACAAACTCATTTTTATTCTAGAGTTGATGGAAGCATTGTTCAGGACCTATTTTTTTACCAAGATGGATATTTTGAAGTGTAGTATAATCGGGAAAACTGAGTTTTGGAACACAGGCTTCAAATAGACTTACATTTAAATGCTATCTCACCTTTATCACTTGTGTGGCCTTAGGCGAGTAATGAACCCTTCTATACCTCATTTTCCTATTCTGTCATATGGGCATAATAGCTATTTCACTTCTGTGAAAATTAAGTGGAAAACACACTAGAACTGGGGTCTGGCATATAGGCAATGTGCATGGATTTGTTGGGACAGACGTTGGTAGGGTGATAGGCCTGGGCTCTGGGAAGCTGAGGGAAACCCAGCCCTTGCTGTATGGAGTCTCTGCTAAGATGAGTAGGTGGCCCCTGTAGGAACATGACCCCTGCCCGCAGCCCACCTCAACTGGCTGGAGGCAGGGGCAACTCTGTGCATTTGGGCCTGCGCCTTTCTCTGTTGTCTCCAAGTCTTATTTGCACTCTGGTAGAGAGTTTTCATGGTGTGTGTGTGTGTGTGTGTGTGTGTTTGTATATTTTTTATTGTGGTAAAATGTACATCATAAAATTTATCATTTTAACCATGTGTAAGTATACAGTTCAGTGGCTATTAAGTACATTCACAGTGTTGTGCAACCATCTCTACTGTCTATTCCAGAATGCTGGCATCACCCCAACTAGACACTCTGTATCCATTAAACAATTTCCCCTCCCCCCAGTCCCCGGCAATGCTCGTGGAGTTCTTTAATCCCCAGTAAAGAGAGTAAGTGGCTCTGACAGTGAGCAGGAGCCCACTTGAAATCTCCTATTCCAAACCTACCTCTGAGTTTTATGACTCATTTGGAAGCCACTCCCTAAAAGCTGCGGGGAGCTCAAAAGCACATCTGGATGTGTGGCCCCTCTGCCTGACAGCCCAGCAGTACAGCCATCTTCCCACCCCCAGCCCGCCTAGCTGTGGCCCTGCAACCTCCTCAGCGTGAGGAGTTCAGCTTTCTTTTCTTTCTCCAGAACCAGTCACACCTCCCTCAGCTATTTCTGTAACTGCTAGAATGGAGAAATACACAGAGCAGAGACAGGATACGGGTCTGATGCCCATGACTGGATATGAAATCTAAGAGACAGTAAAAGAAAAACCCATTTTAAAAAGGGATCAGCTCAATTCCTAAAATCCACCCATCCGCACTTTGAAAATACAAAAAAAAAAAAAAAAAAAAAAAAAAAAAGGAGGTCTGATGGCTCTGATACCTGGAAGGGATTAAATGCTAAAGATAGCCTGAGGCATTGAGAATGCTGAGGGAGTGCTCAGTTCATGAAGCTGAGGGCAGTAAAATCTGGTATTAAATGCTAACAAGAGAGGAGTTCTTACAGAATGTTCAGTATCTGTGAGTCACTGGGACCTTCCTCCATTAAACGTGAAGCAATATTCTTTAATATCAGCAGGATTACAGATCTTACTGTCCAACCCAGTGTGTTAAGAAAGCACTATATGCCCAGTAAAGGATGCAAACTGACCCGAAATGATGGAAATGAACGATGGATTAGATTCTCTAATGCCTCCCTGTTTTGAGTGAAGCCATGCTGATGGCCAGGTGACATTTGCAGGGCCATCTGGTGACATTTCTTTTTGGGAACAGATTAATAGAGACTGAGGAGGGGGGTAGAGTTGGTACAGGGACCAACACAAGATTTTCAGGTGGCTTCCTGGAGTTGTATATGTCTTTGAAGGGGGAGGTCCTGTAGTTTTTCTAGGAGAATGTGGCCAAACCATAATTGTTAAACATTGCATGACCTGATGGGGGACTCCCTCTGTGCAGAAAGAGTTCCTTTAAATTCTGAAAGCATGAATTAATATAAAATCCAAGTATTCAGGAAAGTCCCTTGTTAGAAAAGGATGTCTCCCCCTTCCCCTCACTCCTCCAGGAACAGAGGGAAATAAATGTAGCTAGAGCAGAGTCGCTGTTTCACGGAATTGCTTCCTGCTCTGATGCCACAGACTTAGCCTTCTGCCAGCCTGTGGTTTCCTCCTTCAGTTTCCATGGGCATTCTAGTGCTAGCACGGAGCCTGTCTGTTGAAAGAACAAATGCTTCAGGAGGCCTGAGACCACTCTTTCACGCTCTGTCCTCACTCAGTTCTTGATCCCTGTCTCAATCTGGCAGACACCAAAATTCCTTGTCCTGCTTCCCACTCCCTCAAAAAGCTGCTGGCCAAGGCTGTTGTGAAACAAGAGGAAACCTTTTCCTCTAGGCACAAGTAGAAGCACATATCCACAATCTTCCTGACTCCCCAGTTCCCACAGCATGCTTATTTGACAGCTGCCAGCCCCAAGATCCCTGAAGCTGCATATGAAACTTCCCCATGCTTTGATGGAAATAGTTCGGCTGGGCGCAGTGGCTCACATCTCTAATCCCAGCACTTTGGGAGGCTGAGGTGGGTGGATCGCCTGAGGTCAGGAGTTCGAGACCAGCCTGGCCAACATGGTAGAACCCCGTCTCCACTAAAAATACAAAAAAAATTAGCCGGGTACAGTGGCAGTTGCCCATAATCCCAGCTACTTGGGAGGCTGAGGCAAGAGAGTCGCTTGAACCTGGGAGGCAGAGGTTGCAGTGAGCTGAGATCGTGCCATCGCACTCCAGCCTGGGGGACAAGCGTGAGACTTCATCTCAAAAAAAAAAAATATTTTGATGAAAACGGTTTGAAAGCAGTATTGGTTAATTGATAAGTCCCAGCTTCTCTTCTGGGTACGCTGACTGTGACCCCTCAGCCTCCAAAGAGAGAAGACAGACAAGCTTCCTTTGAAGGCTGTGCTCTGCATTTTGGCTTGTTCAGGGATGCCTGGCTAGCAGGGAAGCCCTGATCTCAGCAAACATGGACAAAGGGAATGAAGCCCTGTTCAGGAACAGGGGCCCCACCCACCTGCAGAAATGGTCCTTTGAGACAAAACTTTGTGTTTAGTTTCCTTACTTAAACAAATTACAGCAAAGAAGCAGGCAAAATAGTGTCACAACCATATAAAAATTGCAAGTGAAGAACCATGGACAGAGATTATACAGGAAAGATATATCAAACTTTAACAGTGGTTACTTTAGGGCAGAGGGACTATAGGTGACTTTGTATCAGAATTATCTACTCTTCTGTTTTCATTCAAGTTTTCTGTATTGAGCAGACAGATTACATAATCAAGGAAAATCCAGCAAATTATTTTTGAAAAGTAAAACATTTTAAAATTTAAAAGGGACGCAAGTTGAAGTGAGACTGATTTTGTAGTTACTATAAAAGAAATCATCAGAGCAGTACACGCCAAAAGACCACAAGCTCCCTGAAGGCAGAGGCTCTTCCATATGCTCAGTACACAGCCCTGTTTCTTCCCTCCCAGAGAAGACAGAGACATCAGAAGGGCTACACTTGACTTCTTACCTTTGGATTCATAAATGTATTTGCACTTGCATTGGCCTCTCCCTCCCACTGCAACATGGGAAGAAGAGTTTTATCAAAAGCAAATCCGCCAACTCTGTTCTGGGTCCCATCCATTCGTGCCATCCGATGGGGTCTCAGCCACAGGAACCCCCTCTGCTGCTCATCCTCTCTTTCTTGCATCTCCAGGCTTCCCCACTACTGGCTCTTAGCTGTCAGTATTTAAATAATCTGTTTTCTCCCATTTTGAAAAATTCCTTCCCAATTTCAGTCCTCCTCTTCCCTTTTGCAGCCAAATGTGCCACGGAGCTATTTAAACATGCTGCCTCCTGTTCCTGTCATTTGCTTTCCAGTCTACTCTGTTCTGGCTTTGGTCCTTACTGCTCTATGGAAAGTTCCCTTACTAAAGCCACCAATGACTTTGCCGTCACATAATCCAGTGGGTTCTTTTCAGTCCTTTCTTCATCAACTTCAATGTAGCTTTGTCACTCTCTCAGTCAGAGTGACTCTGACCACTCTTGGTTCCTTGAAACATTCTTCTAGTGACTTCCATGATACAATCAACCAGTTTTCCTTTTACCTCTTTGGCTCTCTCTGCTCAGATTAAGGTCTTCTTTTCCATCTGAAGTCTAAACATTAGTATTCTTCAAAAACTGGACCTCTGTCCTCCTCTTTTATCACTCTACATTCTGCTAGTAAAGACCTTTGTCAACATCTATTTTTCAAATACCATAAACAGGATATGTTGACAATTTGTTAATTCATATTTCCAACTCAGGCCCTGCTTCTGAGCTCCAGCCTAGTCTATACAACTGTTTTTTGATTTTTTTATACTTGAATGTCTCACAGGTAGCACAAACTGAATATGTTAAAAATGGAACACATGATCTTACTTATACCAGAATACAGCCTATTCTTCACCTAATATTTCCCATCTCAGTAAATACCAACATCTGGAGTTTGCTCATGCTGAAAACCAGAAAATCATCCATCTTTGACCACTCTCTTTCTTCAATTCTCACATAAAATCAATCACTTCTGACAATGACAGAGAGGCAGGAAATGAATTTACTCTCACATTTTAAACAACTAAAAATCTGGACAAAATATATGAAACAATGATTGGACATCAGGTAATGAAGATATGTGATCCTTGAGTGACAGGAAACAAATGAGGCAAGAACTAAAACTGCCCATGTCACCACCTGGAGAAAGTTTCAGAGACACAGTACAGACAGGTGAAAACCCAGGCAGAGCCTAGTGGGCTCCCTCAGTTGAGGAAACGGACTTGGGAGTCTGGAGAGGCCATCCCCCCTAGAATTTGCAGGGTAGAGTACCAGAGAAGAGAACGATAAACAATGAGAGAGCTCGAGAGACCTGTCTTAGAAAATATTGCTGAGGGAAGGTAAAGACGATGTACTAAATGGAGAGAGATACACTGTTTGTGATGGGAAGACTCACTATTTTTAAGATTCCTATTATTTCCAAATAATAGAAAGTGATTCTATATTTAATGCAACCCCAATAAAAATTCAAGTGTGTGTGTGTGTGTGTGTGTGTGTGTGTGTGTAAAATAATGAGCTGATTATAAAATTCATATGGAAATGCAAAAGACCTAGATAACTAAAACAACTTTGACAAAGTAGGGTAAAGTTGCAGCACTTACACTATTTGATTTCAAGATTTATAAATCTGCAATCAAGACACTGTGATATTGGAGTAAAGCTAGACAAATAGAGCGATGGAAAAGAATAGAGAGTCCAGAATAGACTCATATATATGATCAATTATTTTCTTCAAAGGTGCAAAAGACAATTGTGTGGATAAAATATAGACTTTTCAACAAATGGTGCTGGAACAACTTTATAGTATACACACACATATGCATTCACAAGAAAGAACTTCAAACCATATCATACTATACATAAAAATTAACTCAAAATGGATTGTAGTTATAAATGCAAGAGCTAAAATGATAGAACTTCTAGAGTAAAACAGTAAAAAAAAATACTGTATAAATTTGGATTAGGCCAGGACTTCTTTGACACGCCACTGAAAACATACCCTATAAAAGATGAAATTGAGTAAATGGACTTGAGCAGAATTAAGAATGTCTCTCTTTCAAAAGAAAGTGTTAAGAGAATAAAAAGCCATAGCTTGGGAGAAAATATTCACATACCATATATTTGATAAAGGACTGGCATCCAGAATATTTTAAAAGCTCTCACAACTCAATAATAAAAACGAAAAAAAAAGATGGGGGATTTAGGAAGAGAGACTAGGGGAACTGGGCTGCATGCCTCCTCCTGGTGGAAATTAATGAGGAATGTGCCAAAGAAGAAGGAAATAATCAAGTGTGGAAGTGTTCACAATGGAAAGCTTCTCTTCCCCTCTTCTGCCATAAAGACTGATGTGGTTTGGCTGTGCCCCACCCAAATCTCATCTTGAATTGTAGCTCCCATAATTCCCATGTGTTGTGAGAGGGACCTGGTGGGAGATAATTGAATCATGAGGGCAGTTTCCAGCATACTGTTCTTGTGGTAGTGAATAAGTCTCATGAGATATGACGTTTTTATAATGGGTTTCCCCTTTCGCTTGGCTCTCATTCTGTCTTGCCTGCCACCATGTAAGACATGCCTTTTACCTTCCACCATGATTGTGAGGCCTCCCCAGCCATGTGGAACTGTGAGTCCATTAAACCTCTTTTTCTTTATGAATTACCCAGTCTTGGATATGTCTTTATCAACAGTGTGAAAACGAACTAATACAGTAAATTGGTACTGGGAGTGGGGCACTGCTGTAATAATACATGAAAATGTGGAAGTGACTTTGGAACTGGGTAACGGGCAGAGGTTGGAACAGTTTGGAGGGCTCAAAGAAGACAGGAAAATGTGGGAAAGTTGGAACTTCCTAGAGATTTGTTGAATGGCTTTGACCAAAATGCTGATAATGGACCATTAAATCCAGGCTGAGGTGGTCTCAGATGAAGATGAGGAATTTGTTGGGAACTGAAGTAAAAGTGACTTTTGCTATGTTTTAGCAAAGAGACTGGCAACATTTTCCCCCATTTTAGAGATTTATGGAACTTTGAACTTAAGGGAGATGATTTAGGGTATCTGGCAGAAAAAATTACTAAGCAGCAAAGCATTCAAGAGGTGACTCGGGTGCTGCTAAAAGTATTCAGTTTTAAAAGGGAAACACAGCATAAAAGTTTGGAAAATTTGCAGCCTGACCATGCAATAGAAAAGAAAAACCCATTTTCTAAGGAGAAATTCAAGCCTGCTGTAGAAATTTGCATAAGTCACAAGGAGCCAAATGTTAATCACCAAAAGAATGGGGAAAATGTCTCCAGGACATGTCAGAGACCCTTGCAGCAGCCCCTCCCATCACAGGCCTAGAGGCCTAGGATAAAAAATGGGTCTGTGGGCTAGGTCCAGTGTACCCCTACCATGTGCAGCCTAAAGACTTGGTGCCCTACATCCCAGATGCACTAGCCATGGCTAAAAGGGGTCAAGGTACAGCTTGGGCTGTGGCTTTAAAGAGTGCAATCCCCAAGCCTTGGCAACTTCCACATAGTGTTGAGCCTGTGGGTGCACAGAAGTAAAGAATTGAGATTTGGGAACCTCTGTCTAGATTTCAGAGGTTGTATGGAAATGCCTGGATGTCCAGGCAGATTGTGCTGCAGGGGCAGGGCCCTCATGGAGAACCTCTGCTAGGGCAGTGTGGAAGGGAAATGTGGTGTTGAAGCCCCCACACAGAGTCCCCACTGGGGCACTGCCTACTGGAGCTGTGAGAAGAGGGTCACTGTCCTCGAGACCCCAGAATGGTAGATCCACCTACAGCTTGCACTGTGCACCTGGAAAGGCTGCAGACACTTAATGCCAGCCCACGAAAGCAGCCGGGAGGGAGGCTGTACCCTGCAAAGCCACAGGGGCAGAGCTGCCCAAGACCATGGGAACCTACCTCTTGCATTAGTGTGACCTGGATATGAGACATGGATATGAGACAGGATATCATATTGGAGCTTTAAGATTTGACTGCTCTGCTGGATTTCAGACTCCCATGGGGTCTTTAGCCCCTTTGTTTTGGCCAATTTCTCCCATTTGGAATGCGTGTATTTATCCAATGCCTGTACCTCCATTGTATCTAGGAAGTAACTAACTTGCTTTTGATTTTACAGGCTCATAGGTGGAAGGGACTTGCCTTGTCTCAGATGAGTCTTTGGACTATGAACTTTTGAGTTAATGCTAAAATGATTTAAGACTTTGGGGGACTTTGGGGAAGGCATGATTGGTTTTGAAATGTGAGGACATGAGATTTGGGAGAGGCCCAGGGGTGGAATGATATGATTTGGCTCTGTGTCCCCTCTCAAATCTCATCTTGAATTGTCGCTCCCATAATTTCCACATGCTGGGGGAGGGACCTGGTGGGAGATAATTGAATCATGGGGGCAGTTTTCCTTATACTGTTCTCATGGCAGTGAATAAGTTGCATGAGATCTGATGTTTTTATAAGGGGTTTCCCCTTTCACTTGGCTCTCATTCCCTCTTGCCATAAAGCCATGCCTTTTGCCTTCCACCATGATTGTGAGGTCTTGCCAACCACGTGGAACTATGAGTCCATTAAACCATTTTCTTTATAAATTACCCAGTCTTGGGTATGTCTTTATCAGCAGCATGAAAATGAAATAATACAAAGACTGACTGCTTCTTGCAAATATGACTGAGATGTGAGTCATATCAGTATGATTACACACAGTATGATTACACATATGTAATCATATATGTGATTTAAACTTGACTCCTCTGCTTCATAAAACCAACTCAGTCTCATGGCCGCTGTCTTAGTCCATTTTCATACTGCTATGAAGAAATATCTAAGACTGGGTAATTTATAAAGAAAAAGAGGTTTAATGGATTCAGTTCCATATGGCTGAGGAGGCCTCACAATCATGGCAGAAGGTGAAAGAGGAGCAAAAGCATGTCTTACATGGCAGCAGGTAAGAGAACGTGTGCAGGGGAACTGCCCTTTATAAAACCATTAGATCTCATGAGACTTATTCACTATCATGAGAACAGCATGGGAAAAATCCACCCTTATGATTCAATTACCTCCCACCAGGTTCCTCCCACAACACATGGGGATTGTGGGAGCTACATTTCAAGATGAGATTTAGGTGGGGACACAGCCAACGCATATCAGAAGCATCTTCCAGTAGCCCTTACATCCTGTGCCTAAACACAAGATTAATGTTTTCCAACTCAAAGGAGTCCGAGGTGTGTAGAGACTGGAGCAGTCCTCCAGTACAGCACAGCAGCTCTCTGAAGAAGCAGGAAGACTGCATTTTCATGCAGGTCCTGGATCCCATTTCTCTTCACTGGGTAGAATCTCCCAGCCAAGGTCTACAAGCACCTCTGCTGGTGTTTTCCAGCTAGTAACAGCTTCAAACTTCCCTGAGACAGAGCTCCCAGAGGTAGGGACAGACCATCATCTTTGCTGTTTCACAACCTTCACTGTTGATACTTTCAGGTGCTAGAAAATCCAAGGTGAGTAGGAACTGGAGCAGACCCCCAGCACACTGCAGCAGCCCTGTGAAAAAGTAGCCAGAGTGTTTGTTATGTGGCTCCCTAATCCTGTATCTCCTCACTGGATGTGGCCTCCTGGCCTAAGACTCCACTATTCCCCACTGGGGCTACTGAGCCAGTAATAGCTCTGCAATTGCCTGGGACAGAACTCCCAGTGGGAAGGGTGGATTACCATCTTTGCTGTCTTGCAGCCATCACCCTTGCTGTCTCCAGGCTCTAGAGAGTCTGCAGGCACCAGGGGCTTGTCCAGACCTCCAGTACAGAACACCTACCTCACAGAAAAGTGACTGGATTGTTCTCCATACAGGTCCTGGTCCTCACTTATCCTCACTGGTTAGGGCTGCCTGATCTCAGACTCTAGCACAATAACCCTGCTCCTGCCTGACCACTTCAATCAGAAGCAGCCCAGCAGTTAAAAGAATACCCACATGCAGAGATGAGAAAGAACCAGCACAAGAACTCCAACAACTCCAATAGTCAGAGTGTCTTATATCCTCCAAATGTCTGCACTAGTTCTTTAACAAGGGTTTGTTACAAAGCTTAGTTGTCTGAAATGACAGAAATAGAATTCAGAATATGGATAGGAACAAGGATTGTTAAAATTTAGGAGAATGGCAAACTCATCTCAAGAAAACTAAGAATCACAATATAATTATTCAGGAGCTGATAGAAAAAATAGCCAATATAAAAGAGAACCTAACTGACCTGATAGAGCTGCAAAACACATTACAAGAATTTCACAATACAATTGCAAGTATTAACAGCAGAACAGACCAAGCTAAGGAAGGAATCTCAGAACTTTTAGACTGGCTTTTTGAAATAAGGCAGTCAGACAAAAATAAAGAAAAAAACAATGAAAAGGAACAAACAAAACCTCTGAGAAATATGGGATTATGTAAACAGGCCAAATCTATTAATCATTGTCATTCCTGAAAGGTATGAGGAGAAAGCAAACAACTTGGAAAACATATTTCAGGATATTGTCCATGAAAACTTCCCCAACCTTCTTAGAGAGGCCAACAGTCAAATTCAGAAAACACAGAAAATCCCTGCAAGATTCTACGCAAGAAGATCATCTCCAAGATGCATAATCATCAGATTTTCCAAGGTTGAAATGAAAGAAAGAATGCTAAAGGCAGCTAGAGAGAAAGGACTGGTCACCTACAAAGGGAACACCATCAGACTAACAACAGACTTCTCAGCAGAAACTCTACGAACCAGAAGAGATTAGGGGGCCTATATTCAAAGTTCTTAAGGAAAAAAAAATCTTCAACCAGGAATTTCATATCCAACCAAACTAAGCTTCCCTAGTAAAGGAGAAATAAGATCCTTTTCCGACAAGCAAATGCTAAGGGAGTCTGTTATCACCAGACCTGCCTTACAAAAGATCTTGAAAGGAACACTAAATATAGAAAGGAAAGGCTGTTAGCAGTCAGTGCAAAAACATACTTAAGTACACAGACCAGGGACACTAAAATGCAACCACACAAACAAGCTGGCGTAACAACCAGCTATCAACACAATGACAGGATCAAATGCACATATATCAATATTAACCTTGAATGTAAATGGATTACGTGCCCCATTTAAAAGGCACAGAATGGCACGCTGGATAAAAAAAGCATGACCCAAGGACATGCTGTCTTCAAGAGACCCATTCCACATGCAATGAGACCTATAGCCTCAAAATAAAGGGATGGAGGAAAATCTACCTAGAAAATGGAAATCAGAAAAAAGCAGGAGTTGCAATCCTAACTTCAGATAAAAACAGACTTTAAAACAACAAAGATCAAACAAACAAAAAAAGCCCAAAGAAGGTCATTACATATTGGTAAAGAGTTCAATTTAACAAGACCTAATTATTCTAAATATATATGCATCCAACACAGGAGCACCCAGATTCATAAAGCAAATTCTTAAGAGACCTACAAAAATACTTATACTCTCACACAATAATAGTGGGAGACTTAAACACCCCACTGCCATTATTCAACAGATCACTGAGGCAGGAAATTAACAAAGATATTCAGAACCTGAACTCAATATTGGACCAAATGGACCTGATATACATCTACAGAACTCTCCACTCAAAAACAGAATATATATTCTTCTCATCACTACATGGCACATACTCAAATCGAGCACACGATCAGACATAAAACAATCCTTAGCAAATGCAAAACAACCAAAATCATACTAAACACACTCTCAGATCATAGCACAATAAAAATAGAAATCGAGACAAAAAATCACCCAAAACCATGCAATTACATGGAAATTAAACCACCTGCTCCTGAATGACTTTGGGGTAAATAATGAAATTAAGGCAGAAATCAAGAAGTTCTTTGATACTAATGAGAACAAAGACACAACATAACAGAATTTCTGGTACATAGTTAAGGTAGTGTTAAGAGGGAAATACACAGCACTAAACACACACATCAAAAAGCTAGAAAGGTATCAAATTAACAACCCAACATCACAACTAAAAGAACTATAGAAGCAAGAGTGAAGCAACTCTAAACTAGCAGAAGACAAGAAATGAAAATCAGAGCTGAACTGAAGAATATTGAGACATGAAAAATCATTCAAAAGATCAATGAATCCAGGAGCTTGTTCTTTGAAAAAGCTAATAATAATAGATAGGTCACTAGTTAGATTAATAAAGAAGAAAAGAGACAATATCAATTAGAAATGACAAAGGAGATGTAACCACAGATGCCACAGAAATACAAACAACCATCAGAGACTACTACAAACACCTCTACGCACACACATTTAAAAACCTAGAAGAGATAGATAAGTCCCTGGACACATACATCCTCCCAAGACTGAACCAGGAAGAAACAGAATCCCTTAACAGGCCAGTAACAAGCTCTGAAATTGAAACAAGAATAAATAACCTACCAACCAAAACAAGTGCAGGGACAGAGAGATTCATAGCCGAATTCTACCAGATGTACAAAGAAGAGCTGGTGCAATTCCTACTGAAGCTATTCTAAAAAACTGTGGAGGAGGGAATCCTCCCCAGCTTATTCTGTGATGCCAGCATCATCCTGATATCAAAGCCTGGCAGACACACAAAATAAGAAAACCTCAGGCCAATATCCTTGATGAACACTGATGCAAAAATCCTCAACAAAATGCTAGCAAACCAAATCCAGCAGCACATCAAAAAGTTAATCCACCACAATCAAGTAGGCTTTATCCCTGGGATGCAAGGTTGGTTCAACATACACAAATCAATAAATGTGATTAATCACATAAACAGAATTAAAGACAAAAGCCACATGATTATCTCAATAGATGCAGAAAAGGCTTTTGATAAAATTCAATACCTCTTTATGTTAAAAATTCTTAATAAACTAGGCCTTGAAGGAACATACTTCAAAATAATAAGATCCATCTATGACAAACCCACAGGCAACATAATACTGAATGGATAAAAACTGGAAGCATTCCCTTGAAAACTGGCACAAGACATGAATACCCTTTCTCACCACTTCTATTCAACATAGCATTGGTAGTCCTGATCAGAGCAATCAAGCAGAGAAAGAGCAATCAGGCAGAGAAAGAAATAAAGCACATCCAAATAGGAAGAGAGGAAGTCAGACTATCTCGGGTTGCAGACAACATGAACCTATACCTAAAAAAATCCATCTTTTTGGCCCCAAAGCTCCTTAAGCTGAGAAACAACTTCAGCAAATTTTCAGGATACAAAAATCAACATATAAAAATCACTAACATTCCTACACACCAGCAACAGCCAAGCCGAGAGCCAAATCAGGAATGCAATCCCATTCACAATTGTCACAAAAAGAATAAAATACCTAGGGATACAGCTAACCAGGGAGGTAAAGATGTCTACAGTGAGAATTACAAAATACTGCTCAAAGAAATCAGAGATGACACAAACAAATGGAAAAACATTCCGTGCTCATGGATCAGAAGAATCAATATTACAATGGCCACACTGCCCAAAGCAATTTAAAGATCCAATGCTATTCCTATTAAACTACCAATGACATTCTTTACATAACTAGCAGAAACTATTTTAAAATTCATATGGAACCAAAAAGAGCTCGAATAGCCAGGGCAATTCTAAGCAAAAAGAACAAAGCTGGAGGTATCACATTCCCCAACCTCAACATGTTACCCTGTTACTACAGGGCTACAGTAATTGAAACAGCATGATACTGGTACAAAAACAGATGCATAGACCTGTGGAATAGAATAGAGAGCCCAGAAATAAGGCCACATACCTATAACTATCTGATTTTTGACAAAGCTGAGAAAAAACAAGCAATGGGGAAAAGACTGCCTATTCAATAAATGGTGCTGGGATAACTTGCTAGCCATATGAAGATGATCGAAACTAGACCCCTTCCTTACACCATATACAAAAATTAACTCAAGATGGATTAAAGATTTAAATGTAAACCCCAAAACTATAAAAATCCTGGAATACAACCTAGGCAATACCATTCTGGACATAGAAATGGCAAATATTTAATGATGAAGATGCCAAAAGCAACTGCAACTAAAGCTAAAATTGACAAATGGGATCTAAATAAACTTAAGAGCTTCTGCACAACAAAAGAAACTATCAACAGAGTAAACAAACAAACTACAGAACAGGAGAAAATCCTTGCAAACTATGCATCTAACAAAGGTCTAATATCCAGCATTTATAAGGAATGTAAACAAATTTTCAAGAGAAAAACAAACAACCCTATTAAAAAGTGGGCAAGGGACATGAATAGACATTTTTCTGAAGACAGATACGTGACCAACAAAAATATGAAAAAGAGCTCAGTATCAGTGATCATTAGAGAAATGCAAATGAAAACGCCAATGAGATACCATCTCATGCCAGTCAGAATGGCTACTACTAAAAAGTCAAAAAATAACAGACGCTGGCAAGGTTATGGAGAAAAGAGAATGCTTATATGCTGTTGGTGGGAGTGTAAATTAGTTCAACCATCGTGGAAAGCAGTGTGGCGATAATGAGCTAAAAACAGAACTACCATTTGACCTAGCAATCTCATTACTGGGTGTATACCCAGAGGAATATAAATTGTTCTAGCATAAAGACACATGCATGTGTATATTCGTTGCAGCACTATTCACAATAGCAAGACATGGAATCAACCTAAATGCCCATCAACGGCAGATTGGATAAAGAAAATGTGGTACATATATACCACAGAATACTATGCAGCCATAAAAAATATTCCATGGACTACTATGCATCCATAAAAAAGAATGAGATCATGTTCTCTGGAGGAACATGAATGGAGCTAAAGGTCATTATCCTTTGCAAACTAACACAGGAACAGAAAACCAAATACCACATGTTCTCACTTACAAGTAGGAGCTAAATGATGAGAACACATGGACACAAAGAGGGGAACAGCAAACACTGGAACCTTCTGGGGGTGGAGGGTGGGAGGAGGGAAAGGATCAGAAAAAATAATTATTGGGTACTAGGCCTAGTACCCAGGTGAAGAAATAATCTGTACAACGAACTCCTATGACATGTGTTTACCTATATAGCAAACCTACAGATGTACCACTAAACCTAAAATGAAAGTTAAAGAACACTATTAAAAATTGACCAAAGATTTTGTACAGTTTATCAAAAAAGATAAATAGATGGTAGATAAGCACATGAAATGATGCTCAATTTCATTTGTTATTAGGGAAATGTAAAAATCACAATGAGATTCTATTTCATACCTCTTAGAATGTCTAAAATGAAAGACCAACTCTACCAAGTGCTGGTGAGAATGTAGAGCAACTAGAACTTTCACAGTTCATAGCTGGTGTAAATGTAAAATGATACAATCATTTTGGTAAACAGTTTAGCAATTTCATCAAAAGGTAGACATACACCTACCATCTAATCCAGCAGTCTATTCCTAGGTCATTATGTGAGAGAAGTAAAAGCATATGTCCATACAAAGCACATGAATGTTCATGGCAGCTTTACTTGTAATATCTCAAACTGAAAATAACCCAAATGTTCATTAATAGGCAAGGGATAAACAAAAAGTGGCATATCTATGCAATGGAATAGTACTCAGCAATAAAAAGATTGAATTATTAATACATACAACATGAATTAATCTCAAAAATAATTATTCTGATTGAAAGAAGTAAAAGCGGAGTACCTTCTGTATGATGCTTATTTCTATAAAATCCTAGAAAATCTAAACTAATGTAGTGTGACAAAACAGATCAACACCTGCCTGGGGATTGGGGGGATGGGTGGCAGGGAGTGGAGGCAGGAGAGGTTACAAAGGGGTACAGGCAAGGTTTTGAGGTGACAGATACGTTCATTATTTTGATTGACTATGGTAAATGGTTTCACAAATGTATATATATGTCAAATACTGTCAAATTGTGTGCTTTAAACATATGCAGTTAATTACATACAATTATTCCTCAGTGAAACTGCTTAAATAATTTCTGGAATCTGCTACTTTTCTCCATGTCTATTAACCACACGCGAGTGGCCTTCTATAATAGATTGACCATCCCCTCACTCTCCCCTCCTGTCCATTCCTCACTGCAGCCAGAGTGATTTTTTAAAAAAGTAAATTTCTATGTGTCAATTCACTGCCCAAAATTACTCATAAAGACTCAAAGACTTATTCTTGTCTTAAAAATCTTAATTATTCTTGCTCCTTCCTGAGTTCTGGTCTCTCTTCCATTTTATTTCCCTATCTTTAACCACCCTGCACTTTTTGTCCCCTGAACTTGCCAAAACTGTTCCTGTCTTGGGGCCTTTCCACATTCCTGTTCCTTTTGCGTGGGACTCTGCCCTTCTTCAGGCAAATGCCTAACTATCCTTTTGTCTCAGCTTCAATGTTATTTCCTCCAAGCATCCTTCTTTAATATACCAGGCCAGGTTAGGTGCCACAGGAAGCGCTTGCCTACGTTTCCTCTGCAGCACCAATAACACATGTGAGTAATTATCTGTGCAATGTTATGTTTCACTATCTGTCCCTTCTTCCCACATTTCCATCTCCCAAAACCAAAAGCCCCAAGAGGGTAAGGGCCATTATGTGCTTGATGTCCAATACATTGCCTGGCAGACAGTGAGTATTCAAAAACATTTGTTGAATGATGATGGAGACAAAACTGCAACTAACTTCCTGACCCAGAACTCACTTCCTGACTTGCAAATTGGATTTTTCTCAGCCCACTCATGCAAAATTCATCCTTCCATATCTGATAGCCATATGTACTTGTCCTATAGCTATTTAGGTCTCAAACTGGTAAGCATTAAGAAATGTGTAATAGAGGAGTATCTTTACATATTAAAGACTTCAAAACCAAAGTATTAGACTTTTTATAAAAGAAGGTTAGCAATGTTTACCAGAGCCAAATTCATAGATCTGTTCAGTTTTTAAAGTCAGTCATGCTCATCTTAAAGATACATTTATTCTGGAAGCTACATTTCAAGACAGGTAACATAGGAGAAAACCAGGTTAGAGAGCCAGGGCCTTATAGAAAACGAAGTCATAGCTCCTTGCTGAAGGCAGACTGACCCTTGATCCAGCACTACCATGTCTTTAGCAAAGCAGTGGCCTAGATTCTCCACATAGCTGAGTGTGTGGAGCTGGAAAGATAAAGATTGCAAATATGGCCACTTTCCAAAACAGCTTCCTAAGAAACAGCCTACCTTCCCCTCCCTCTCACTCCCCCACTATGTTTATTTAGACTCCCCTTAATTAGTGAATTTCAGCCTGGAAGCATAATCCAATCTGAAGGAAAATTTCCCTGGAGAGCCATCTGTTAGAATTAGACTACACTTAGCTACTGGACAGTAAGGCTGTATTGTAAATACCACAAACTGTTTCGATTCTCGAAAGGTTGAAAACTCATTTTCCAAGCAAGCAAATGCCAATCCATGGGACAAGGCTTTCTGTCAGGAAACTGGATCACTATTTTGGATAGTAATACTTCCATAGGTAGAAGACCATTAAATGTAGTCCCAGGGGAATGTTCTCCCTTACTGGTCTCACCTTTCTTCAGAGATGAAATTGCTGACCTTGACAACTCTATTTCTTTTACAGCTGTTCCAGGTTTGTAGAAGATTTGTTTTTTTCATCTAGCTCAACCCTCCCCATGTGTTCAGCCATGGAATAATTTAACTGTGTGAAGGGGATGCAGCAAAAG